>NC_000019.10:39665116-39968146 GCF_000001405.40 Homo sapiens | reverse complement strand
TCAGAGGTAGGTTTGCTTTTCCTCATTTTACAAATGAAACTGAGGTGCAGACAGGGGAAAGCCACTTCCATTAAGTTACAAAGAGAATTGGTGGCTCCTGCTCAGTGGAGATCACTGAGTAGGGAGGATCACTCTGCTGGGAGAACCCAGAGATTCATTAGATCTGGCTCCTGCCTTTCTTAAAGTCCTAGTGTCTGTGTTTCCACAAAAAAAAGGAAAACGACAATGACAATAAATCTTTTTGTTTTCCTCTGCATGAGCAACTCTTAATTCTGTAAGTTTTTTTTTTTTTTTTGAGACAGAGCCTTGCTCTGGCGCCCAGGCTGGAGTGCAGTGGCACAGTCTCGGCTCACTGCAACTCTGCCTCCCAGGTTCAAGTGATTCTCATGCCTCAGCCTCTGGAGCAGCTGGGACTACAGGCGTGGGCCACCACACCTGGGTAATTTTTTGTATTTTTAGTAGAGACGGAGTTTCGCCATGCTGGCCAGGCTAGTCTCAAATGCCTAACCTCAAGTGATCTACCCTCCCAAGCCTCGAAAAGTGATGGGATTATAGGCGTGAGCCACCGTGCCTAACATGGGCAATTCTTAATTCTGTATCCCAGGTTTCTACCTTACACCCAAAAGGCAACCTTGATTTTTACTTGAGACTTAGAATCTATTACTTAAAATGGAATCCATCATCTTGCCCCTGGCCTCCCATCCTCCCTGTTTCCAGGCTTCAGACTGAAACTCATCTGAGAGCTTTGCCTTTATTCCCCTAAGCCCAAATAATTGCCAGGTTCTCTCTGGCCCCTTTGGTAATGACAAATCAGTGTATCCCTTTGGAATTTTTATGGATAATAATCATAAATAACCATTTCCTGAACACTGACTATTGTCAACTAAGACAAAAATCAGGCCAAGTGCTCATTCCTGCTCCTATAATCATCTCAGCACTTTGGGAGGTGCAGGCAGGAGGGTTGCTTGAGCCCAGAAGCTCAAGACCACCCTGGGCAACATAGTGAGACCAAAAAATGTTTATAAAAATTAACCCAGCATGGTCGTGCGCCCGTAGTTCCAGCCACTCAGGAGGCTCAGGGGGGAGAATCACTTGAGCCTAGGAGGTCAAGGCTGCCAGTGAGCCAAGATTGTGCCACTGCACTCCAGCATGGGCGACAGAGTGAGAGACCCTGTCTCAAAAAAAAAAAAAAAAAAAAAAAAGGAAAGAGAAAAACCTACTTTTAGAGAATTAAAGTTAGTTTGATTCAGAAGTCTTACTGAGGATCACAACCTGGGAGAGTCTTTCAAAGTAACCGTTGGACTGCTCCGGAGGGTTTCAGCCTGCGGTTTTTATACAGGTGGCTGCAGCTCATGTTCTCAGAAGTTACATGAGAGCAAAATCCCATCAAGGTTTGGGTGTGACACATAATCATTAATCCTCTTCGATATTTTCCTACACACGGGCAGAGGCAAGGGCTAGGATCAATGAACTTTTCTTTTCTTTTTTCTTTTTTTTTTTTTTTTTGAGACCCAGTCTCCCTCTGTCACCCAGGCTGGAGGGCAATAGCACAATCTTGGCTCACTGCAACCTCTGCCTCCTGGGTTCCAGTGATTCTCCTGCCTCAGCCTCCCAAGTAGCTAGGATTACAGGTGTCTGCCACCACGCCCGGCTAATTTTTGAACTTATCTTTTCCAAAATACAGTGATTTGGGCCGGGTGCAGTGGCTCACGCCTGTAATCCCAGCATTTTAGGAGGCCGAGGCGAGTGGATCACCTGCAGTCGGGAGTTCGAGACCAGTCTGGCCAGCATGGTAAAACTCAGTCTCTACTAAAAAATACAAAAAATTAGCTGGGCGTGGTGGCGTGTGCCTGTAATCCCAGCTACTCGGGAGGCTGAGGCAGAAGAATTGCTGGAACCTGGGAGGCGGAGGTTACAGTGAGCCAAGATGGCACCATTGCACTCCAGCCTGGAGACAGAGCAAGACTCCCATCTCAAAAAAAAAAAATCTCTTTTCTTAGAAATTTGAAAAAAAGGCCGGGTGTAATGGCTCACATCTGTAATCCTAGTACTTTGGGAGGCTGAGGCAGGTGGATCACTTGAGGTCTGAAGTTTGAGACCAGCCTGGCCAACATGGTGAAACCCGTCTCTGTTAAAAATACAAAAATTAGCCTGACATGGTGGCATGTACCACTGTGGATTCTAAGTCCAATTTATCAATTTTTTCTTTTATGAATCATGCTGTTGGTGTTGTATTTTTAAAAACCTTAGCCTGGTGAAAACTCACAAAGTTTTTTTAAATGTTTTCTTCAGAAGTTTGATAGTTCGATTGGCTGGGTGTGGTGGCTCACATCTGTATTCCCAGCACTTTGGGGGGCGAAGAAGAAGTTTGATAGCTCGATATTTCACATTTACATCTATGTTCCATTTCGAGTTTGTTGTTGTTGTTTTTGAGACAGAGTCTCATTCGGCCGCCCAGGCTGGAGTGCAGTGGTGCGATCTCAGCCCACTGCACCTCTGCCTCCAAGGTTCAAGCGATTCTCCTCCTTCAGCCTCTGGAGTGGCTGGGATCACAGGTGCCTGCCACCACGCTCGGCTAATTTTTGTATTTTTAGTAGAGATGGAGTTTCACCATGTTGGCCAGGGTGGTCTCGAACACCTGACCTCAGGTGATCCACCTACCTGCCTCGGCTTCCCAAAGTGCTGGGATTCCAGGCCTGAACCACTGTGCCTGGCCGAAGTTTCATCTTTTTGCATGTGAATACCCAGTCGCTCCAGTACCATTTATTGAAAACATTATCTTTTCCCACTGAAATGCCCTGCAGCTTTGTCAAAAATCAGTTGATTATGCATGTGTGTACATCTATCTGTGGACTCTTGATTCTGTTCTGTTGATCTAATTTTCTTTCTTTTTTCTTTTTTTTTTTTTTTAAAGATGGAGTCTCACTCTGTTGTCAGGCTGGAGTGCAGTGGCACAATCTCGGCTCACTGCAACCTCCGCCTCCCGGTTTCAAGAGATTCTCCAGCCTCAGGCTCCCGAGTAGCTGAGACTATAGGCGTGCGCCACCACACCCGGCTAATTTTTGTATTTTTAATAGAGACGGGGTTTCACCATATTGGCTAGGCCTGTTGGCTAGGATGTTCTTGATCTCCTGACCTCGTGATCCCCCAACCTGAGCCTCCCAAAGTGCTGGGATTACAGGCGTGAGCCACCGCACCCGGCCAGCATTAAATCTTATAATCTATGAACCTGGTATATCTCCCTATTTATTTATTTATTTATTTATTTATTTAATTTATATTTTGAGAGGGAGTCTCGCTCTTTCACCCAAGCCAGAGTGCAGTGGCGCTATCTCGGCTCACTGCAAGCTCTGCCTCCCAGGTTCACGCCATTCTCCTGCCTCAGCCTCCCGAGTAGCTGGGACTACAGGCGCCCACCACCGCACCTGGCTAATTTTTTGTATTTTTAGTAGAGACGGGGTTTCACCGTGTTTGCCAGGATGGTCTCGATCTCCTGACCTCGTGATCCGCCTGCCTCGGCCTCCCAAAGTGCTGGGATTACAGGCGTGAGCCACCAACGCCCGGCAATCTCCCAATTTATTTAGCCATTCCTTAACTTCTACCAGCAATGTTTTTTAGTTTTCAGTGTATAGGTCTTGTAAATCTTTTGTCAGGTTATCCCTATGTATTTCATATTTTATGATATTATAAATGTTATTAAAATTTTTTAAATTTCTGATTTTTGTTTCCTTATGCTTAAAAATATGATTGACTTTTGCACATTATTCTGTGATCTTGTAAAAATCATTTATTAGTTTTAGGAGTTTCTGTAGATTTCCTGGAGTTTTTTTTGTGACAACTATGTCATTAGTGAATAAAGACAGTTTTATTTTTCTTCCTTTTCAATCGACATTACTTTTGTTTCCTTTTCCTACTTATTACATCGGCCAGGACTTTCAGTACAATATTGACTAGGAGTGGTGAATGCAAACATTCTTTTCTTTGTTCTCAATCTTTGGTGGAAAGCATTTAGACTTCTAACATTAAGTGTCTTTCAAAATGCCCTTTTAGCAGATTAAGGAAGTTTCTTTCTCTTCTTAGTTTGCTGAGTTGGTTTTTTTTTTTTAAACCCTGAATGGATGTTCACTTTTTTTTTTTTGAAATGAACCCTTGCTCTGTCACCTAGGATGGAGTACAGTGGTGCCATCTTGGCTAACTGCAGCCTTCGCCTCCTAGGTTCAAGCAATTCTCCTGCCTCAGCCTCCTGAGTAGCTGGGATTACAGGTGCCTCCTACCACACCCGGCTAGTTTTGCATTTTTAGTATAGAGACAGGGTTTCACAATGTTAGTTAGGCTGGTCTCAAACTCCTGACCTCAGGTGATCTGCCTGCCTCAGCCTCCCAAAGTGCTGGGATTACAGGTGTGTGCCACCACGCCCTGCTAGATGTTCACTTTTGTCAAGAAAATTTTGAACAGACCTTGTATTCCCAGGATAAGCCCTACTTGACCATGATGAATTGTCCTTTTTATATTGCTAGATTCAATTTGCTAATATGAGGGATACTGATTTATAGTGTTCTTTCATTGTAGTGTCTTTGGCTTCTGGTATCAAGGCAATGCTAGCCTCATAAAACAAATTGGAAAGTATTTCTCCTCTTATATTTTCTGAAAGAGAATTTTTTAGAATTCATGTTATTTCTTTCAATAATACTTGATAACATTCTCCAATAAAACTGGGCCTAGAGATTTTCGGGGGAAGATATTTAACTATAAATTTAATTTCTTTAATAGTTCTAAGACCTCTTTATCTTGTTCATCTTTGGTGAATTGTGGTAGTTTGTATCTTTCAAGGGACTGATCTATTACATGTAAGTTGTAAAATTTATAGATACTGTAGTGATATCTCTTCTATCATTCCTAATATAGGTAATTTTTGTCTTCTCTGTTTTTTTCTTGGTTCGTCTGGTTAGAGGTTTATTAGTTGTATTGACCTTTCATAAGGAAAATTTTTGGTTTCATTGATTTTTCCTGTTTTTAATTTCATTGATTTCTGCTCTTTATTTTCTTTTTCCTTCAGTGCTTTGGATTTCATTTACTTTTCTTTTTCTACAATATTAACGTGGAGGGTTAGATTTGAGATTTTCTTTCATGACATATGTGTTTGCTAATATAAATTTACCCCCTAAAAACTGCCTTAATTGCTTACATACATTTTGTTATATTTTATTTTCATTAAGTGAAAAATATTTTCTATTTCTTCTTAATACTTCTTCTTTGACTCCTGGATTATTTAGAAGTGAGTGATTAATTTCCAAATATTTGGGCATCTCCTAGACATCTTTCTGTTAATTGATTTCTACTTTAATTCTATTATGGTCAGAGAAGAGTAGCATTGTTTTGCATTTTTGCAAATCTCTTTAATGTCCAGCTTGATGGAAAACAACTGGATCTTAATGTCTGCTTTTTTTTCTGCTTTTTTTTTTTTTGAGACAGAGTCTCACTCTGTCCCCCAGGCTGGAGTGCAATGGCACGATCTTGGCTTGCTGCAACCTCTGCCTCTCAGGTTCAAGTGATTCTCCTGCCTCAGCCTCCCACGTAGCTGGGATTACAGGTGCGAGCCACTGCGCCCGGCTAGTGTTTTGTATTTTTAGTGGAGACGGGGTTTCGCCATCTTGGCCGGGCTGGTCTTGAACTCCTGACTTCAGGCAATCCTCCTGCCTCGGCCTCCCAAAGTGCTGGGATTACAGGCGTGAGCCACTGCGCCTGGCCAATGTCTGCTTTTGCATTCAATGTGCTGTGATAGTTTGTTTCGGTTAACGTATACCAAAAAAAATGTAGCCACACATATATAAGTAGTGGTAATATGGAAGTATATTTAATCTGCCACCATGAGCTTGACAGCTTCCCAAATGCTTATTGCCTTTCAGATTAGAATGATGTGGATATCTATGACTATAATTTTTCAGTATTTTATAACAAATGTTTCAACATTTGGAAAGCTGTATAACTCACTGCACCAATATTTTCCAAATTCCTGTTGCATGATGCTATAAAACTATGAATGGGTAAAAGATCCATGCAAAGTGCAATATAGACCAAGGGATTTTACTGTAATAGCATGGAAATAATTCACTGATATCGTTTCAGACACCATATTGCAACTAACCTTTAAGATACTTCCACTTGTAGAGTTTTGGTGTAATATTAAAACAAGAAGATTCCATTAATCTGATGATTATTAGCTAAATTGATTTGGGGCAAGGGCCAGTAGTCTTACTTACCATTGTTTTTGCACTATCAGTGCAAATATTAAGAGTGAAAAATTTGAATAACATCTTAGTATTATTATAAAAATAGTTTTGACCTCAGGGACCCTCTGAAGGGATCAGGGACATGCAAGGGTCTGCAGTCCCACTTTGAAAACTTCTCTACTAAGGAAAAAGAGAAAAGTCCAGTGTTTTCCTGCAGGAATTAGAAAGGTAGAGCATTGGTCCAGCCAGGAGGTTAGAGCCAAGGTGAGACCTGAAGGACAAGTACTAATTAGCTAAGAAAGGTGAGGAGAGCCAGGCGTGGTGGCTCATGCCTGTAATACCAGCATTTTGGGAGGCTGAGGTGAGCGGATCACGAGGTCAGGAGATCGAGACCATCCTGGCCAACATGGTAAAACCCCCATCTCTACTAAAAATTCAGAAAATTAGCTGGGCATGCTGGTGCACCCCTGTAATCCCAGCTACTCAGGAGGCTGAAGCAGGAGAATTGCTTGAACCCGGGAGGCAGAGGTTGCAGTGAGCTGAGATTGCGCCACTGCACTCCAGCCTGGGTGACAGAGTGAGACTCCAACTCAAAAAAGAAAAAAAAAAAAAAGAAAGAAAAAAAAACAAAGGCGAGGAGAAAGACATTCCAGACTTTAAAAAAGCAACCCAAGTGGGAGTATGTGTGGGAGACATGTAGGGTGAGAACAGGAGTTTTGGGTTGAGATAGGAGAGGAAGGCTTGAATTATAGGAAGTCTTGAATGTCACCTAAGGAGCTTACAATTTGTCCTGAGGGCAAGGGACAACCCGTGAAGGGTTTTAAGTGGCAGGGAGTGGGGGATTGGGGGAATGACTTAACAAGATTTGTGTTTGTTTAGGATGATCATGCTTACTGTGATGTAGATAGAGACTCAAAAGGATAAGACTCAGCAAAAAAACCCAGAAAGCTGTTGGAATAATCCAGTTGAGAGGTGGTTGCCAGAATCACTTGTAAAATGGTTGTGGATTTAGAAATAGATTGTTTTGAGAGATATAAAGAACATATAAGCAATGAGATTAAGAGAGTAATTAGAGCCGGGTGCAGTGGCTCATGCCTGTAATCCCAGCACTTTGGGAGGCCGAGGCAGGCAGATCACCAGAGGTCGGGAGTTCAAAACCACCTGACCAACATGGAGAAACCCCGTCTCTACTAAAAATACAAAATTAGCTGGGCATGGTGGTGAATGCCTGTAATCCCAGCTACTCTGGAGGCTGAGGCAGGAGAATCACTTGAACTCGGGAGGCAGAGGTTGTGGTGAGCCGAGATCGTGCCATTACACTCCAGCCTGGGCAACAAGAGAGAAACTCTGTCTCAAAAAAAAAAAAAAAAAAAAAAAAAAAAGAATAATTAGAAAGAAGGGTGAAAGGAAAAAAGAGGAACCCAGGATGACACTCCTAGCTTGGACTGCTGGATGATGGCATAGTGTTTGACTAGAATCTAGACATAGGAGGAGGGGCATATTGGAAGGAGAGCAATGAGGTTGAGCTAAGGTACCTGTGGGACATTCGAGTGGAAATTTTCCATAGTCAAATGGGTACATAGGACTGGAGGTGACGTACTTTCTGATTCCATTTGTATGACATTCTTGAAAACACAAGATTAAAGGAACAGAGACGAGGTCACTGGTTTCCAGGGGTTGGTGGGGAGGGATACTACAAAAGGACAGCATGAGAGAAGTTTTGGGGTGATGAAACTGTATCTTGATTGTGGAGGTGTGGGGAAAAGAAAGAGAGATCAGATTGTTACTGTGTCTGTGTAGAAAGAAGTAGACATAGGAGACTCCATTTTGTTCTGTAATCTGTAACCTTACCGCCAACCCTGTGCTCCCTGAAACACGTGCTGTGTCAACTCAGGGTTAAATGGATTAAGGGCTGTGCAGGATGTGCTTTGTTAAACAGATGCTTGAAGGCAGCATCCTCCCTAAGAATCATCACCACTCCCTAATCTCAAGTACCCAGGGACACAAACACTGCGGAAGGCCGCAGGGACCTCTGCCTAGGAAAGCCAGGTATTGTCCAAGGTTTCTCCCCATGTGATAGTCTGAAATACAGCCTCGTGGGAAGGGAAAGACCTGACCGTCCCCCAGCCCGACACCCGTAAAGGGTCTGTGCTGAGGAGGATTAGTAAAAGAGGAAGGAACGCCTCTTTGCAGTTGAGACAAGAGGAAGGCATCTGTCTCCTGCCCGTCCCTGGGCAATGGAATGTCTCGTGTAAAACCTGATTGTATATTCCATCTACTAAGATAGGGGAAAACCGCCTTAGGGCTGGAGGTGGGACATGCGGGCAGCAATACTGTTCTTTAAGGCATTGAGATGTTTTTATGTACACATATCTAAAGCACAGCACTTAATTCTTTACCTTGTCTACGATGCAGAGACCTTCGTTCAAGTGTTTATCTGCCGACCTTCTCTCCACTATTATCCTATGACGCTGCCACATCCCCCTCTCCGAGAAACACCCAAGAATGATCAATAAATACTAAGGGAACCCAGAGGCCGGTGGAGCCTCCGTATGCTGAACGCCAGTTCCCTGGGCCCCCTTTATTCTTTGTCTGTACTTTGTCTCTGTGTCTCTTTCTTTTCCAAGTCTCTCATTCCACCTAACGAGAAACACCCAGAGGTGTGGAGGGGCAACCTACCCCTTCATGGAGGTGGTTACACAAATCTATACATATCAATTTTACTGTTTTTTTTTTTTTTTTGAGACAGGATGTCTCTGTTGCCCAGGCTGGCGTGCAGTGGCACAATCTCAGCTCACTGCAACCTCCACCTCCCAGGCTCAAGTGATCCTCCCACCTTTCATGCATGTCTGTGTGAAGAGACTACTAAACAGGCTTTGTGTGAGAATAAAAGCTTTTAATCACCTGGGTGCAGGTGGGCTGAGTCCGAAAAGAGAGTCAGCCTTCTTGTCTCCAATGATTTGAGATGCAACCTTTATCATATACTAAATATCTATATGCATTTGGGTCTGCTCTGGATTCTCTATTCTGTTCCTTCATTCTGTGGTATTCATGTGCTAATACCACACTGTTTTCATTAGAGGTTTTCTGTTTTAATATCTAGTCAGGTCGGCCAGGCGCGGTGGCTCATGCCTGTAATCCCAGCACTTTGGGAGGCTGAGGCATGTGGATCACGAGGTCAGGACCTCAAGACCAGTCTGGCCAACATGGTGAAACCCCGTGTCTACTAAAAATACAAAAATTAGCTGGGCATGGTGGCACGCATCTGTAATCCCAGCTGCTCGGGATTACAAAAAACAAGAACAGCTAAGAAAGTTCTGAAAAACTCAGGAGGCTGAGGCAAGAGAATCACTTGAACCCAGGAGGCAGAGGTTGCAGTGAGCTGAGATTGTGCCACTGCACTCCAGGCTAGCGATATATATATATATATATATATATATATATATATATATATATTTATATATATGTAGTCAGGTCAGTGGTGCCTCCCTACTCTGGGAGATAGGGTGGGGGCAAAGGGAGATAGGGGTGGGGCCATTTTATAAGATTTGGGTAGGTAAAGGAAAATTACAGTCAAAGGGGTTTTGTTCTCTGGCAGGCAGGAGTGGGGGTCGCAAGGTGCTCAGTGGGGGAGCTTTTTGAGCCAGGATGAGCCAGGAAAAGGACTTTCACAAGGTAATGTCATCACTTAAGGCAAGGACCAGCCATTTTCACTTCTTTTGTGGTGGAATGCCATCAGTTAAGGCGGGGCAGGACATTTTCACTTCTTTTGTGATTCTTCAGTTATTTCAGGCCATCTGGGCTTATACGTGCAAGTCACAGAGGATGCGATGGCTTAGCTTAGGCTCAGAGGCCTGACACCACCTCAGCCTTCCGAGTAGCTGGAACTACAGGTGCACACCACCATGCCTAGCTGATTTTTTGTAGAGATGGGGTTTCACCATGTTGCCTAGGCTGGTCTTGAACTCCTGGACTCAAGTAATTCTCCTGCCTCAGCCTCCCAAAGTTCTGGGATTACAGGCGTGAGCCACCACACCCGGCCTATTTTGCTTTTTTTTTTTTTTTTTTTTTTAAAGATAAACGTGAATAGTGTCTGCTTTTCTATTATTCACAAAGGTAAACATGAACATATATAGATGGAAGGGCAATGGTTTTGGATAGGAGACTCACATAATAAAAATATCTCTCAAAAAGTTAGTTTAAAAATGTAATGCAATCCCTCCAAAAATATCATCAGGTTTTTATCTAGAATTAGAGAAGTTATTGTAAAACTTATTTGGGAGAATGAGAAAAACAAGAACAGCTAAGAAAATTCTGAAAAAGACCAGAGTAGGGAGGCACCACTGACCTGACTACACATATATATATATATATCGCTAGCCTAGAGTGCAGTGGCACAATCTCAGCTCACTGCAACCTCTGCCTCCTGGGTTCAAGTGATTCTCTTGCCTCAGCCTCCTGAGTTTTTCAGAACTTTCTTAGCTGTTCTTGTTTTTTGTAATCCCGAGCAGCTGGGATTACAGATGCGTGCCACCATGCCCAGCTAATTTTTGTATTTTTAGTAGACACGGGGTTTCACCATGTTGGCCAGACTGGTCTTGAGGTCCTGACCTCGTGATCCACATGCCTCAGCCTCCCAAAGTGCTGGGATTACAGGCATGAGCCACCGCGCCTGGCCGACCTGACTAGATATTAAAACAGAAAACCTCTAATGAAAACAGTGTGGTATTAGCACATGAATACCACAGAATGAAGGAACAGAATAGAGAATCCAGAGCAGACCCAAATGCATATAGATATTTAGTATATGATAAAGGTTGCATCTCAAATCATTGGAGACAAGAAGGACTTTTTAATCAGTGATACTGGAGTAAGCTGACAACTCTATGGAAGAATATAAAATTAAACCCATTCCTCAAACCACACAGCAGGACAAATGTGAAAAGGTCAGAGATCTAAATTTTAAAATGTGAAACCCTGTAACTACTAAATGTGAATGAATTTATTCATTTAGGTTTTAAGTTGAGACAGGGTCTGGCTCTACTGTCCAGGCTGGAGTGCAGTGGCATGATCTCGGCTCATTGCAACCTCTGCCCCTTTGGTTCAAGCAATTCTCCTACCTCAGCCTCCTGAATAGCTGGGACTACAGGCACACACCTGCACAACTGGCTAATTTTTGTAATTCTTTGGTAGAGATAGAACTTCCCAATTTTACCCAGGCTGGTCTCGAACTCCTGGGCTCAAGCAATCCTCCTGCCTTGACCTCCCAAAGTGCTGGGATTACAAGCATGAGCCACTGTGCCCGGCCAATGAATTTCTTTATAACCTGGCAGTGGTCAATTTTTTTTGCTACCTGATTCAAATTACAGAAGCAATAAAAGAAAGGACTGATACATTTGACTACATAATAATTACAATTTTATGCATGACAAAAACACAACAAGGTAAGAAAACAAAAGAACAGAATTCATAGAAAATGCAAACCCTTAAATGAACAAATGATTTATCTCATGATACTACAAATGCAACATAAAACTGTATCGAGATACCATTTCTCACCTATCAGATTGATAACATACTCTTGCCAAGGTTGTGGGAAAATTGGCACTCTCACATTGCTAGTGGGAATGAAAAATAGTACGTGCCTGCCTGGCGTGGTGGCTCATGGGCCAGGCACAGTGGCTCATGCCTGTAATCCCAGCGCTTTGGGAGGCTGAGGTGGGCGGATCACCTGAGGTCAGGAGTTCAAAACCATCCTGACCAACATGGAGAAACTCCATTTCTACTAAAAATGCAAAATTAGCCGGGCGTGATGGCACATGCCTGTAATCTCAGCTACTCGGGAGGCTGAGGCAGGAGAATTGCTTGAACCCAGGAGGCAGAGGTTGCGGTGAGCCAAGATCGTGCCATTGTATTCCAGCCTGGACAACAAGAGTGAAACTCCGTCTCAAAAAAAAAAAAGTCAAGTAAAAAAAGTAAAATAAAGAACAGTGTGAGCTGGGCGCAGTGGCTCACTTCTGTGATCTCAATAGTTCGGGAGGCTGAGGTGGGAGGATCACCTGAGGTCGGGAGTTCAAGACCAGCCTGGCCAACATGGTGAAACCCGTCTCTACTAAAAAATACAAAAATTAGCCGGGCATGGTGGCACACACCTGTAATCCCAGATACTTGAGTGGCTGAAGCAGGAGAATCGCTTGAACTTGGGAGGTGGAGGTTAGTGAGGTGAGATCGTGACACTGCGCTCCAGCCTGGGCGGCCGAGTGAGACTTGGTCTCATAAAAACAAAACAAAACAAAACAAAAAGAAGAAAACACAATGTGTATGATATGCTATAATATGCTACCTTTTGCAAAAGAAGGAAAGGGAAATGCACAGACACGCACACTTGTATATGTATGTCTTTCCCTATATTTTCAAAGAGAAATGATGGAAAGTTGAATGAAAATCCCATAAAAATGGTTACTCACAGGAGAAGGGAGGAAATGTGGAGAGGACAGGGATGGCAGCTAAAGCTCTGTGAAGATAACTTATTGTCAAGTTTTGGCTCTGGAACTGTGCAAATGTTTTACAAAATTAAAAATATTAAAGGCAGTTCCTCCCCTAGTGCTCAAATTATAGTGTCTAAATTCAATTTGGGGCCAGGCACGTGGCTCACACTTATAATCCCAGCACTTTGAGAGTCCAAGTCAGGAGGATCACTTGAATCCAGGAGTTTGAGAGCAGCCTGGGTAACATAGGGAGACCTTGTCTCTACAAACAATTTAAAAATTAGCTGGGTGTAGTGATGCACGTCTGTAGTCTCAGCTACTTGGGAGGCTGAGGCAGGAGGATCACTTGAGCCCAGGAGGTCAAGGCTGCAGTGAGCCATGATCATGCCACTGTACTCCAGCCTCAGCAACAGAGCAGGACTTTGTCTCAAAATAAATAAATAAATACAATTTGGTAATCATAGGAATTGTGGCTCTTTTAGAAATGGATGATTGTGGTTCTGGGTAGGAAATGTACCATAAACCAAGACAGCTCCCACTGGTCTAAGGTTTGACCACTTCAAATGTTAAAAATCCATGCATTCATAAGGATATTACATACACACACACACACACACACACACACACACACACGCACACACACGTTTTGGTTACCTTTAGAGAGAATGTACTAAAACTGAAAATTGAAGCATTTAAGTTGCTTTTTCTGTATTAACTACAATTTAGGGTAACCAGAGAATTAATGAGGGGATGCTTCTTTGTATAATAGCATTGTAGTTAATAAATGAAGAGAAAATAATACATTAAAAATCCCCATTTTGCAAAGCCCTGGTGAAATAATGGAACTAGACAGGTTTCCAGATTTAGCCAATAAATGGCATGGGACATATTTATACTAAAAATTAATTGTCACCTGAAATTCAAATTGAACTGGAGGTCTTGTATCTTAGTTAGCAACTCTACATCAAGGTAATGATCAACAATGGATATTAATATCATTGAGACAGATGCAGAAAAATCATTTGATAAAGTTAAACATCTATTTATGATTAAACAATTAAAAGTAGAAGGAAACTTCTTTAATACAATAATGTATACTTTCAAAAATGCTACGGTAAGCATCATACTTAATAGCAAAATATTGAAAACAGGCTGGGTGTAGTGGCTGATGCGTGTAATCCCAGCACTTTGGGAGGCTGAGGGAGGTGGATCACTGGAGCCCAGGAGTTCGAGACCAGCCTGAGCAAAAACCCCATCTTTACAGAAAAATACAAAAATCAGCTGGGCGTGGTGGCATGTGCCTGTAGTCCCTACTACTTGGGAGGCTAAGATGGAAGGATCGCTTGAGCCCAGGAGGCAAAGGTTGCAGTGAGCTTAGATTGTGCCGCTGAACTCCAGCCTGCGTGACAGAGCGAGACTCCCTCTCAAACAACAACAAAAACCAATGGAAAGTATTTTCTTTGTGATCAGAAGCAAGACTAGGATGCCCCCATCATATCTTTTATTCAATTATCTATTGGAAAGCCTAAAGAAAAGTTATAAAGATGAGAATGGAAGGAATTAAACTAATTCATAAGCAATATGATTGTATGTGTAGAGAACCCAAAAGAACCTACAAATACATTATTCAAATAATAAATCATTTTATTTATTGACTCCTGGTTTTGTGACAGGCAAGCTGGCTGACTTCCTGTTTTGATGTGGTCCAGAGAAAAAGAAGAAAAGCCCCTTACTCAAGATGTAGCTTACCTAATCTCCAGCCAATCAGCATCAAAGGCCCAAGAAGCTAGTAACCACAAGTTCCTGCTTTAGGGGCCTAGGGACTTCCCCAGGGACCTGCAAGTACAGCTAGGCTTGTTTCAACTTTTCCTTATTTTAATGCTAAAAATCATGCCCAGAGGTGATTTAAAATGCTAATGTTATATACAATGTATGAAAAAGCGTGTTGAACCACTGTGCAGGCACCAAAGAAATCCCTCCTAAACATTCAATGACAGGCACGTCACAGCAGCTAGGCCCCTATAAGACAGATCAACCTGCTCCCTTTGGGGTGCAGCCCACCCTTTTCCTTTTGCAGTGCTGACCTTTCTTGTGCACAAGCTAAAATAAACATTCTCTTTTTCTTTCTTTTTTTTTTTTTTTTTGAGATGGAGTCTTGTTTTGTCGCCCAGGCTGGAGTGCAATGGCACAATCTCAGCTCACTGCAACTTCTGCCTTCCAGGTTCAAGCAATTCTCCTGCCTCAGCCTCCCAAGTAGCTGGGATTACAGGTGTGCACCACCACACCCAGCTGTTTTTTTTCGTATTTTTAGTAGAAATGGGTTTTCACCATGTTGCCCAGGCTGGTCTTGAACTCCTGGGCTCAAGCAATCCACCTGCCTCAGCCTCCCAAAGTGCTGGGATTACAGGGGTGAGCCACCACACCCAGCAATCTCACTTGATTTCTATCCTGGAAGACTACAAGAACCAAGGATGATTGTAACATCTCCTGGTACCCCAGATGGGACCCTCATTTTAGGTCCCCACAGGAGTTAGCAAGACTTCCTGGAGGACAGAGGCAACTGACCAGGTGGTAACAAAGGTGGCCACTCTGGACCATTGCTTTGGTGTTGGTGCTTTGGAGAGTCAAGTCTGGACCCTAGGTGAGTCTGCTCTTCTTCTTCTCTCTCTCTCTCTCTCTCTCTCTCTCTCTCTCACCAGATGCCCAGTAAATGGCATGGCCAGGATTATATCTGGCCATCTCCTCTGCGTATTTCTTACCCTTTCCAAGATTTGAAACTTTCACCAGGAGTACAATGAGTGAGGACTACTAGAACATCTTGTCAAGTCAAAGGAAATGTTAGACTAAACTTAATACATTAATCACTAAACCTATCTGGATTGTTCAAGAACCGGCCAAACCAATCCTTGCCTTGACTTATGTCTGACATTGATAAGGGCCTCTTTCTTTCTTTTGTCTCTCCTTCTCTCCCTTATTTTTGGAAATTTGGGTGGGAAGTTGGGGTGATTCCAGTTAGCCCTTCTGGGAAACTTGCGTAGGCAGTTGGAGTGATTCTGGCTGGCCCTTCTGAGATTGGTCTAGGGAACTGCCCCAGACATGTGTGGGCTAGGTACCAGCCGGCAATCTGGAATTCTCTTTTGTTTCAAATACTGAAACCACTCAGTATTTTCCCTGACCGTATTCTTCTTTGTGGAGCCTGGACGTTTATAATCTGTTTTGTCAGTTGTCTGAATGGAAATGCGTTCTTGTTTCTGGTCCTTGTTGCATGGGTGAAGCCACCCTCCAGGATTCTTGGAAGGAAGCCTTACTCATTAGGCCAGATGAAATTTTTCCTCTGTCTAGTACATCATCTCGTTTCTTGTTAGAGTCCATGTAAATAAATGTGGGTGTAGAGTAAGTTCTACTTGGAGCTGATGTAAAATCTACTACTTGCTAGACTTTGTGGGTTGAAGCTGGCAAATCCAAGAGCTAAAGGCTCTCAAGCCCCCTCGTTCTGCTCTCCTCCCTCTGTCCTCTTTGGCTTGCTTAGTTCTTGCCAGGGATTTGAAGGTCTGGGATGAGTCAGACCAGGATGTGTGCTGCAATTGTGAAGACTGTCAGAGTCAGAGGCTGCATCCCTCACCAGACCTCTTGATTACAGGACACCAGCTCTACCATGGGAAACACTACAGACGTCCCAAAAGATTCCCCCCCTTGGATGCATCCTCTGTAATTGGGATCAGTTTAAATGAGATATTACAAAGAAAAAGAAGCTCGTGTTTCTCTGTGATGTTGCTTGGCCTCAGTATCCCCTGGGGTACCAAGAGAAATGACCTGAGAATGGGGTCCTTCAGTTACAACATCATTTTCCAATTGGATATATACTGTAAAAAATTCTAATAAATAGCTTGAGATTCCATACATGCAGGCCTTCAGGAAATTATATCTGGATCTCAAACTCTAGGACTCCTGCCAGGTTTATATGGTACCTCTCAAGCAACAGCTGAGAGATGAGCCAAGTCCTGTCTCAGATTTTAACCCCTAGGGCTCAATTCTCTCACTACCTTTCTAAGGGCAGGGTGGGAAGCAGGCCTCTCTGCTACTGTGGATCCTTTCTCCTTCTGTCTGGAGCCTCCTCCATACCATGCTGGGTCAGGAAGGCTTTCCCCTTCTACTCCTCAACAACCCTCAGTGCTGTCCCCAGTGTGGCTCCAACTGGGCTCCAAGTCAGCACCCTCCTTCACTTCCCCACCATACCAGGGCTGCTTTCCCCCTGGGAGGTAACGGATGGAACTAGAGGGGCAACTCAGGTACATGGACCCTTACCAATGTCAGACATAAATCAAGGCAAGGATTGGTTTGGCCGGTTCTTGAACAATCCAGATAGGTTTAGTGATGAATTTATTAAGTTTAGTCTAACCTTTCCTTTGACTTGACAAGATGTTCTTGTAGTCCTAACTCGTTGTTGTACTCCTGGTGAAAAAACTCGAATCTTGGAAAGGGTAAGAAATATGCAGAGGAGATGGCCAGATATAATCCTGGCCATGTCATTTACTGGGTATCTGGTGAGGCAGTCCCAGAGCAGAACCCGCAATGGGTTTATACGGATGACAGGGACTGGTTAAGGATCAATCACTTCCTTAATTGCATATCAGAGGGTGTCAGACAAAACCAGTAAAGTATAATAAAGTAAAATAATTGCTCAGGAAGTGGATGAAAATCCAGCTGGGTACCTTAATAGGCTCTCTGAGGCTTTTAGAAAGTATAGTAACATAGACCCAAGGACCAATGAAGGCCTAACACTTCTGGCCATGCATTTTATAACCCACGCTGTGCCAGACATTTGGGAAAACCTTCAAAAGCTGAAAGCTGACCCTTAGACCCTTCAAGCAACGTTGGTAGCAGAGGTCTTCAACATTTTTAACAACTGGGACCAGGCAGAGAAGGTGTAGAAAAATGAGAGAATAAAAAGGAAGACACACATTTTGGCTGCTATAATCATAGGCCCACCTTGAGGTGACCTTAGGTAACAGAGAAACCTGAATGCGGGGGGGTGGGGATTAAACCCCACCCAATGTCCATGGAAATGGGGTGCAACCAGTGTGCTTACTGTAAGAAGAGGCACTGGAGAAAGGACTGTCCATTCTTTTCTGGGAAGCCAGGATGGAGTAGACCTCCCCAGCCCACTCCTCTTGTTGCTGGCCTCTCAAATAAAAAGGCTACCCCCTCTGAATGAGGTGTTCTCAAATGCTTATCTGCCTCCAGTCCTGAAGAGTTCCATCACCATCACCACTGTGGAGCCTTGGGTCACCCTCAATATGGCAGGTAGGAAACTGAATTCCTTATGGATACCAGAGCCCCCTACTCTGTCCTGACCCATCCTGATGGATCTCTGTTCAGCGCCAGTTGTACAGTGACGGGAACAGATGGACAACCCAAGGTAAGACAGTTTACCTTTCCTTTGACTTGTAAAATTGGATCTAAGGCTATCACTCATTCCTTCCTATATGTCCCTGAGTGTCCCCTTCCTTTAATGGTTCATGACTTATTATCTAAGTTGGGAGCCTCAGTTTCCCTCCAGGGGAATGCCATACAAGTCTCAGTGCCTCCTGAGAAAGGAATCCATTTACTGGCCCTTTTGGTTCCCCAAGATCAGAAGCTACCCCCAGTCCTAGAAAAGATATTGATTTGAGTGGAAAAGTCTGTATGGGATACCAACATTTCAGGACAGGTCATCAATGAGGAGAATATTAAAATAAAGCTTAAGCCAGGCCTACCCTACCCACGCAAGCCAAAATACCATTTGAGGCCAGAAGCCCTACAAGGGATATGGCCCCTCCTGGAAACATTGATACAGAACAGACTAATTCAGCCCTGCAGTCCCCTTGTAATACTCCAGTCCTGCCTGTGAAGAAACCAAATGTAGAATACCAGTTTCTTCCACACTTTAGAGTAGTGAATGACTCAGTTGTTCCCACACATCCTTCAGTCCCTAATTCATACACACTCCACTCTCAAATCCCTGGGTGCACACAGTTTTACACTGTACTGGATCTAAAGGATGTTTTCTTTAATATATGCTGCATCCTGACTCCACCTACATTTTTGCCTTTGAATGGAAGGATCCAGAGACTCAGGAAGCTCCCCACTGTACTTGGACAGTGCTACCCCCGGGGTTTCCAGATAGCCTCCACCTCTCTGGGCAAAGCCCTGGAAGTCCTAATTCAGAAGCTAGGGCCTGTCCAAAGGCCAGTGACTTATTTTTTAAATCAACTGGACCCAGTAGCCCAGGTGTGGCCTGGCTGTCTTAGGGCAGTGGCAGCCACCAGCCTCCTGGTCAGGGATATCTCCAAACTCATGCTAGGCCAATCCCTTGAAGTTTATACTCCTTACCAGGTCCAGAATGTGTTGGAAATCAAAGGGAGCCACTGGCTAACTCGGGGAAGGTTAACTCAAAATCAAGCCCCACTGTTAGACACCCCAGACTTGACCTTAAAGATATATGAGTCCTTGAATGCTGCCACCCTCCTTCCCTTGCCCACCTTGGGGACACTGGAACACACCTATGTGGAAACTTTGGAGCAGATCTATTCTAGTTGGATAGATTTACGGGAGACCCCTTGAGAGAATCCAGATGAAGAATGGTTTACAGATGGGGGTTGTTTTGTAGAAAATAGAGCCTGCAGGCCAGGCATGGTGGCACGCCACCACACCCAGCTAATTTTTTGTATTTTAGCAGAGACAGGTTTCACCATGTTGCCCAGGCTGGTCTCGAAGTCCTGGGCTCGTGATGCGCCTGTCATCCCAGCTACTCAGGAGGCTGAGACAGGAGAATCGCTTGAACCTGGGAGGCGGAGGTTGCAGTGAGCCAAGATCACGCCATTGCACTCCAGCCTGGGTGACAGAGCGAGACTCCATCTAAAAAAACAAACAAACAAACAAATAAAATGGAGCCCGGAAGGCAAAACATGCTATTGTCAGCCTACGCTGGACCAGAGAGGCAAAATAACTTCCCCTAAGCACTTCAGCTCAGGAAGCAGAGCTCCAAGCCTTAGTTAAGGGCTCTTCAGCTTGAAGAAGGGAAGAGACTTAATATATATACTGATTCTAAGTATGGATTCCTAATGCTCCATACTCATGCAGCTGTCTGGAAAGAGGAGAATGCTAACTGCCAGGAGCACCCCGACAAAACCCAATGAAGCGATTTTATTCCTCCTTGAGGCAGTTCATCTCTATGTTAGTCTGTTCTTACACTGCTATAAACACATACCTGAGACTGGGTAATTTATAAACAAAGAAAGTTTAATTGACTCACAGTTCTGCATGGCTGGGAGGCTTCAGGAAACTTACAATCATGGCGGAAGGTGAAGGGGAAGCAAGGCACATCTTGCATGGCAGCAGGAGAGTGAGTGAAGGAAGCCACACACTTTTAAGCTATCAGATCTCATGAGAACTCACGTACTATTGTGAAAACAGCATTGGGGAAACTGCCCCCGTGATCCAGTCACCTCCCACCAAGTACTTCCCTTGACATGAGGGGATTACAATTCGAGATGAGATTTGGGTGGGGACACAGAGCCAAACCATATTAAGCTCCCTGCCCAAATAGCTGTTATGTCCTATAAAGGGCATCAAAAAGACAATTCTTTAATCAGCCAAGGAAACAACCAGGCTGATAGAGCTGCCAAACGGGCAGCTGGGCCGGGCGCGTTAGCTCATTCCTGTAATCCCAGCACTTTGGGAGGCCGAGGCAGGCGGATCACGAGGTCAAGAGATCAAGACCATCCTGGCTAACATGGTGAAACCCCGTCTCTACTGAAAACACAAAAAATTAGCTGGGCATGGTGGCAGGCGCCTGTAGTCCCAGCTACTTGGGAGGCTGAGGCAGGAGAATGGCGTGAACCCGGGAGGTGGAGCTTAGAGTGAGCTGAAACCGCACCACAGCACTCCAGCCTAGGGGACAGAGCGAGACTCCATCTCAAAAAAAAAAAAAAAAAAAAAGAAGTTGGCAGTGGTTGGCCAGGAGTGATGGCTCATGCCTGTAATCCCAGCACCTTGGGAGGCCAAGGTGGGAGGATCACCTAAGGTCAGGAGTTCGAGACCAGCCTGGCCAACATGGTGAAACCCTGTCTCTACTAAAATACACAAAAATTAGCTGGGCGTGGTGGTGCATGCCTGTAGTCCCAGCTACTTGGGAGGCTGAGGCAGGAGAATCGCTTGAACCCAGGAGGGAGAGATTGCCATGAGCTGAGATGGCACCATTGCACTCCAGCCTGGGCAACAGAGCGAGACTCCATCAAAAAAAAAAAAACTGAGCAGATGAAGGAGGGTATAATTTAAATGGTCAGGGTGGCTAGAAGATCAGCAACAATGCCTTTTCCTACCAGAAGCTGACCAATGGAAAGTCATCAAAAGACTTCATGAGGAAACTCATTATGAGAGAGACTCACTATGGAATTTAATCCAAAATCTCCTAGTGAGCAAGGCTTTAAAAGCTACAGCCTAACAGGCATGGTGGTTCACACCAGTAATCCCAGCATTTGAGGAGGCTGAGGCAGGAGGATTGCTTGAGCCCAGGAGATCAGGACCAGCCTGGGCAACACGATAAGACTGTGTCTCTACAAAAGCATTTTTAAAAATTATCTGGGCATGGTGGAATGCATCTGTGGTACTAACTACTTGGGAAGCTGAGGTGGGAGGATTGCTCGAGCCCAGGAGTTTGAGGCAGCAGTGAGTCAAGATTGCACAATTGCACTCCAGCCTGGGTGACAAAGCGAGACCTTGTCAAAAAAAAAAAAAAGAAAGAAAGAAAAAGCCACAGTGGGCCAGGTGCAGTGGCTCACACCTGTAAGCCCAGCAGTTTGGGAGGCTGAGGTGGGTGGATTACCTGAGGTCAGGAGTTCGAGACCAGCCTGGCCAACTTAGTGAAATCCCGTCTCTACTAAAAATATAAAAATTAGCTGGGTGTGGTGGCGCATGCCTGTAATCCCAGCTACTCAGGAGGCTGAAGCAGGAGCATTGCTTGAACCTGAGAGGCAGAGGCCGCGGTGAGCAAAGATCATGCCACTGCACTCCAGCCTGGGTGACAGAGTGAGACTCAGTCTCAAAAAATAAAAATAAAAAAGCCACAGTGGACTCTGTAACTCAAGCATGTGAAATTTGTCTTAGAAATAATTCCTGAGCCCATCCACTGGCTCTGCCCCAGTGCAGCATAAGAAGACCTATCCTGGAGAAGATTGGCGAATTACACAGATACCCCTAAAGGGGAATTCAAATATATTCTGATTTTTATAGACACTTTCGCAGGCTGGGTGGAAGCTTTCCCCACACAAACAGAAAAAGCAATTGAAGTTTGTAAATGACTGCTTAAAGGCCGGGTGCAGTGGCTCACGCCTGTAATCCCAGCAGTTTGGGAGGCTGAGGTGGGCGGATCACCTGAGGCCAGGAGTTTGAGACCAGCCTGACCAACATAGTGAAACCCCATCTACTAAAAATACAAAAATTAAGGCCAGGTGCGGTGGCTCACACCTGTAATCCCTGCACTTTGGGAGGCTGAGACGGGCAGATCACAATCAGGAGATCGAGACCATCCTGGTTAACACGGTGAAACCCCATCTCTACTAAAAATACAAAAAATTAGCCGGGCATGGTGGCAGGCGCCTGTAGTCCCAACTACTCGGGAGGCTGAGGCAGGAGAATGGCGTGAACCCGGGAGGCGGAGCTTGCAGGGAGCCGAGATCGCACCACTGCACTCCAGCCTGGGTGACAGAACGAGACTCCGTCTCAAAAAAAAAAAATACAAAAATTAGCTGGGCATGGTGGCACAGGGCACCTGTAATCCCAGCTACTAAGAAGGCTGAGGCAGGAGAATTACCTAAACCCTGGAGGTGGAGGTTGCAGTGAACTGAGATCGTGCCACTGCATTCCAACCTGGGCAACAAGAACGAGACTCTGTCAAAAAAAAAATTAAAAACCAAACCAAACCAGACAAACAAAAAGTAAATGGCTGCTTAAACAAGGAATTCCTAGGTTTGGGCTTCCAGCCTCCCTACAAAGTGACAACAGGCTGTCTTTTATCACCTAGGTCACCAAAGGGCTGTCTAGCAGTCTTAGCATCCAATACAAACTTCACTCTGCCTGGCATCCTCAATCTTCTGGGAAAGTTGAGAGAATGAATCAAACCCTTAAAAAGAACCTTGGCTACACTATGCCAAGAAGCCCAGAAATCATGGATTAAGTGCCTCCCTATTGCCTTACTAAGAATAAGATCCACCCCAAAGGGGAACTTAAAGCTCAGCCCTTTTAAAATGACCTATTGGAGCAGTCCTTTCTCAAGACAAACTTTCTAATAGATGAAGACTTAAATCAGGCTTTAAAATACATTATCAACTTGGGGAAAATTTAGCAGACAATATAATAATAAAATATTACCCCAGCTGGGTAAGATAGTTTGGGATCATTTCCCTATTAGGTGCACAGGTCATACTCAAGACATGGTGAGGGCCTGGCATGAATCATGCTCCCACTGTACCCTCTTCCTTTTTTTTTTTTTTAAACGGAGTCTCACTCTGTTGTCCAGGTTGGAGGGCAGTGGCACGATCTCGGCTCACTGCAACCTCCACCTCCTGGGTTCAAGGGATTCTCCTGCCTCAGCCTCCTAAGTAGCTGGGACTACAGGTGCATGCTACCATGCCTGGCTAATTTTTTGTATTTTAGAGATGGGGGTTTCACCGTGTTAGCCAGGATGGTCTTGATCTCCTGACCTTGTGATCCACCCGCCTCGGCCTCCCAAAGTGCTGGGATTACAGGCGTGAGCCGCCGCGCCCAGCCACTGTACCTTCTATCTCACTGTAACCTCTTCCTTTTAGTCTGGGTGCAGGGTACCTGGAGTCACAATAGCCCTAGGCATATAGTGGACCAGGTGAGGCAGGCCCTGGAAAGGCTAAAAACCTCCCTCAATTCTCTTGCTAATGTGGTGTTGGACAACTGCTAGGCCTTACCCTCCATAACTTGGGCCTTACCCTCCATAACTTGGTTCCTTCCTTTCTTAAGCCCTTATTAGCTATCTTTCTTCTTTTAATCTTTAAACCATGCTTCTTTAACCTGCTGGTAAAATTTGTGTCTTTCAGACTACAATAGTTTCATGTCAAGTTAATCATTGTGCAAGACTTCTAGGTTACTTATTAGCTGAACAGGAAGATGTTTGTACAGTCACCATACCTCCTGCTGCACTTGGATAAATACTACTGGGCGAGTAGAGGTTAACACCCAGGCAATTTACAATCAGGAAATTGGTTACACTCTTTTGATAAAGGAAGTCAACTTAGTGTACAATGCTGTCAGATGAACCTTACCCTTGTAAGGCTTGTAACTTGGTTCCTCCCTTTCTTAAGCCCTTATTGGCTATCTTTCTTCTTTTAATATTTAAAGTTTTTAATCTTTAAATTTTTAATTTTTAAACCATGCTTGTTTAACCTGCTGGTAAAATTCACGTCTTTCAGACTGTAATGCTTTCATGCCAAGTAAATGGTCTTGCCAGGCTTCCAGCCTGTTTCAGAGACCACTAGCCCAGAGCCGTATCAGCCCCTTCAGCAAGCCATAAGAAATTTCTACTCCTCCTGGAAATAGATGTAGAGACTATGTCCATGCTTAGCAGGAAGTAGTTCCAGAAGAGACCTTTGCTCCTTAAGAATAAGGAGAATGAGGACTGCGAAGGAGAACGCAGCAAGCCCAGGCGGCGGTGGAAAGGCTGGAGGACACACCTAAACATGTGGAATCCCAATGCCGGGCAGCCAGGGCCAAATCCATATCCCCCCAATATTGGGTGCCCTGGAGGTTCCAATCCTGCCCACCCACCACCTATTAATCCACCCTTTCCCCCAGGCCCCTGTCCTCCTCCCCCAGGAGCTCCCCATGGCAATCCAGCTTTCCCCCCAGGTGGGCCCCCTCATCCTGTGCCACAGCCAGGGTATCCAGGATGCCAACCGTTGGGTCCCTACCCTCCTCCATACCCACCGCCTGCCCCTGGAATCCCTCCTGTGAATCCCTTGGCTCCTGGCATGGTTGGACCAGCAGTGATAGTGGACAAGAAGATGCAGAAGAAAATGAAGAAAGCTCATAAAAAGATGCACAAGCACCAAAAGCACCACAAGTACCACAAGCATGACAAGCATTCCTCCTCTTCCTCCTCCTCTTCCAGCAGTGATTCTGACTGAATACAGGCCCTGGACCCTTCCCTCAAGTCCCACCAGTTCTGCTCTCCCATCAAGCTTCAGATGCCACGTTGTACTGGGGGAATGTAGCCCTTGTGCTCCCCACCCCCTACCTCCACCTGAGCCTCACCCTGCTGTTGAGCCCTGAGTGGCTAGGGGAAATAGGAAGAGGATTGCCATGGCCTGGCCATCTTGTTGCTGCTTGGAGAGATCATATAGCTAATGAATTAGGCAGGGGAGCTATTTTTTGAAGATGATGAACTAAATGTTGAAGACAAGTTTGAGATCTGTAAAATGTGATTTTTTACTTCCACTTATAATACTTGTGATTGGGGAGGTTTGTGGAAATTCAATTATGATGAAAAACCTCTATCTTTTTTGTAATGTTGGCATACTTGGGGGATTTAGTGGCAAATACATTCCCCAGCAGGCCTTTTGTTGGTTGCACTAACTGCAAGGTTGCTGGGAAGTAGAGTCCATTTGGTTGATGAGCTTTGACTGCGGTTTTGGAACCTTACCTCTCCTCCTTAGCCCAATATGCTGTCTCGGGTCCTATTCAAATAAAGTTATTTCTCCTGGTCTAAAAAAAAAAAAAAAAAAAAAAAGAATAAGGAGAATGAAATCTCTTGGCTGGGAGTGAGACAGCTGGCTGGCTTCCTATTTTGAGGTGGTTTAGTGAAAAAGAACAAAAGCCCCTTACTCAAGCTGTAGCTTGTCTGCAGCAGGATAATTAAGGAATCAGAGAGACCGTGGGGTTGAGGAGGAATTATTTAATTATTCAGGTGCACCGACCCAGTCAGATTAACATCCAAAGGACTGAGCCCTGAACAAAGAGTCAAGCTACCTTTTAAGCATTTCGTGGGGCTGGGGGAGATCTGTGCAGGGGGAAGCATATCACAGAAGTGAGAAACAAAGACAGTCATTCAATTGAGACATGCATTATATCATTTTTTTTTCAAGGAACAGCATGTTTTACGACTTGAGATTATCTGTCTAGTGATCTTACAGCTGCACAGCTAGAGAAACAGAGTCTTCACAATGCCTGGGAAAGGGAGAGATAAGGCTCACTAGCCATAGAAAAACAGGCAGTTAATTTTAAAGGACTCCAGCTCTTTCTCTTCCTCAGGGGGAATTGGGTTTTCTTACATACAACTAAGTTTTGCTTACACATTCTTTATTTCTTTTAATTCCTGTTCTATACCTAACCTCCAGCCAGTCAGCATCAGAGGCCCAAGAAGCTATTAACCACAAGTTCCTGCTTTAGGGGCTTAGGGACTTCCCCAGGAAGCCACAGGAACAGCTTAGGTTTCAACTTACAGTGATAATTTCCTTATTTCAATGCTAAAAATCATGCTCAGAGGTAGAGATTTAAAATGCCAATATTACATGCAATGTATGAAAAACCATGTTGAACCATTGTGCAGGCGCCAAGAAATCCCTTGTTAACACATGATGACAGGCACATCATGGCATCTGGACCCCTACAAGACAGATCGACTTGCTCCCTGTGGGGAGCAGCCTACCCTTTTCCTTTCACGGTGCTGACCTCCCTTCTGCACAAACGGAAACAAACTTTTTTTTTTTTTTCTCTTTAATACTGTGTCTGGTAATCTCACTTGATTTCTATCTTAGGAGACTACAACAAGCCAGGATGATGGTAACATCTCTGTCAAGATGACATAGATTTATTTTTCCTGGCTCCTCTCTGCTAAAAACCCTGGAATAACATAACAGACATTCTTAAGAGGACTCTGAAAGATAAAAAGAAGGAAAACTGACAAGGGCCTTAGAACTCGAGAAACATCTCAGTGGCCCAGCATCTCTCAATTTCCCACCCAACGACAGGACGTGGTCTAGATCCAGCATCTCCCCAGCCCCCTATCCAGCGGCAGAAAGCACCCAGGTAGGTGCTTTCCCCACCCTAGTGGATGGCAGAGATGAAGGAAGAGCCCTGCTGGCACCACGCAGCCCAGGGAAGTACTCTCCACCCTTTTGTGCCAGTGTCTCCTACTCCTAACGTAGCAGCACCAAGCAGGCCCCAAGAAAATGCTTTTAACCTCCATTGGTGGTACTAACAGGAATTGGGTATGAGCTCAACCAGCACCAGGCAAATGAAATAGACCGGAATAATAATGCAAGGGCTCTGAAAACTAAATTGTCATTGGAATCATAGCACACAAAAGTAGGCCAGGACCTGCATGCTAACCTAAAAACAGTGACTGCTAAAATGGAAGAGTTAAATAGGATCCAGGGTCTCCTCTCATAATACCAGAAATGTCCAGGATATAATTTAAAAATCATACATAATATGAACAACCAGAAAAATCACAACTTGAATGAGAAAAGCCAATCAACAATCTAACACTGAGATGAAAGATTTTAGAATTATCTGACAAAGATCTAAAGTAGCCATCATAAAAATGTTTCACCAAGCAAGTAGAAATTCCTTGCAAAGATGGGAAAGAAAAGAAAATCTCACCAAAGAAATGGAAAGTATGTTCTTAAAGAATCAAATGAAAATGATAAAACTGAAAAATACAATAACTAAAATAAAAACTCACTGGAAAGGCTCAAGAGCAGAGCAACTATGACAAAGGAAATAAGAAGTGAACTTGAAGATAGAACAATAAAAATTACCCAATCCAAAAAACAGAGAGACAATCAACTTTAAAAAAGAGAAACAGAAAATGACTAACAAGGGCTCAGAGAACCTGCAGGACAATTATAAAATAGCTAACATTTGTATTATCAGATTAACAGAAGGAGAAAAGAAAGTGGGGCTGAAAAATATTTGAAGAATAATGACCAAACCTTCCCAAATTTGGCAAAAGACATAAACCTACAGATGCAAGAAGCTAAACAGAATAAATCTGACGGATTCCATGCCAAAACACAGTATAACTAACTTATGAAAACAAAGGCAAACAATGAAACTATCTTGGAAGCAGCTAGAGAGGAATTATAAATTGTCTATAGGGAACACTGATCAAATGACAAAAAATTTCTTATCAAAAACCATGGAGAAGAAAGCCTGGAGCAATACTCTTCAAGTGCTGAAAGAAAATAACTATCTGCTGAGAATCTTTTTTTTTTTTTTTTTGAGACAGTCTCGCTCTGTCCTCCAGGCTGGAATGCAGTGGTGTGCTTTTGGCTCACTGCAACCTCCACCTCCCAGTGATTCTCCTGCCTCAGCCTCCCAAGTAGCTGGGACTACAGGCGCCCGCCACCATGCCCGGCTAATTTTTGTACTTTTATTAGAGACAGGGTTTCACCATGTTGGCCAGGCTGGTCTGGAACTCCTGACCTTGTGATCTGCCCGCCTCAGCACCCCAAAGTGCTGGGATTACAGGCGTGAGCCACTGTGCCCAGCCGAGAATCTTATATGCAGCAAAACTATCTACGGGGTATGAAGAAGAAATAAAAAGCTTTTAGATGAAGGAAGACTACAAGACTTTGCCGTCAGCAGAATTATTTTTAGAGAATGATTAAAGGAAGTTCTCCAAAGTCCAAATGATTACAGGAAAAGGCTCAGAACTTTAGAAAGGAAGGAAGAACAGCAGAATGGACAAAAATAGTGATAACTATAGCAGATTACCCTTCTCATGAGTTTTTAAAAATCGTAGTTGGTTGAAGCAAAAATTATAGTATTATCTGATGTCTATAGGAAGAGACAATACTTAAAATAGTTATATGTGTATACACACACACGCATATGTATAAGTGGGAGGGTAAAAGGATCTATATGGATGTAAAGTTTCAACACTTCAATCAAAGTGGTAAAATATTCATAAGTTGGATTATAATCAGTTACATATGTATATTGTAGTACTAGAGCAAGTGCTAAGAAAATTCTACAAATTATGTATTCGAAAATAATATGAATCAAAATGGAATGCTAAAAAATGCTCATGTAACTCACAGGAATGCAAGAAAAAATAAGAATGAGAAATGGAACAAATGGAAAATGAATATTAAAATGTTAATCTTAAGTCCAAACATATCAATAACTACTTTAAATGTAAATAGTCTATCTCCTTACATGAAATAAAAGGCCAGAGATTGGTAGAGTGGATTTAAAAAATGATCCAACTAGATACTGTCTCCAAAAAACTTTACTCCAAATATAACAACATAGGTAGGTTGAAAATAAAAGAATAGAAATATATATTAATTTTATTAATTTATGTTATTATAAATATAAATTTTAGGCTGGGTGCAGTGGCTCACCCCTGTAATCCCAGCACTTTGGGAGGCCAAGGCAGATAGATCACTTGAGGTCAGGAGTTCAAGACCAGCCTGGTCAACATGGTGAAACCCCGTATCTACCAAAAATACAAAAATTAGCCAGGCGTGGTCACAGGTGCCTGTAATCCCAGCTACTTGGGAGGCTGAAGCAGGAGAATTGCGTGAACCTGGGAGGCAGAGGCTGCAGTGAGCCGAGATCATGCCCTTGCACTCCAGCTTGGGCAACAGAGCGAGACTCTGTCTAAAAAATAAATAGATAAATAAATAAATAAATATATATATAATTTTAAATATAAATTTTTAAAAGGAAGGAAGTACTATATTAATACGAAAATACTTTCCTTCAGAGCGAAAAACATTGCTAAAAACAAAGGATCATTCTGCCAAGACATTGCAATCCTAAGGTATATGTACCAAACAACAGAGATTCAAGTACATGAAGCAAAAACTGATAGAGCTGAAAGGTGAAATAGACAAGTCCACAAATATAGTTGGAGAATTAAAAACGTCAGTCTCACCAAATTGATAGAACTACCAGGATAAAATATGTGAGAATATCAAAGAACTGAATAACAGCATCAATCAACAGGATCTAATTGATATTTATAGAATGCTCTATTCAACAATAGACAAATCCACAAATACATTTGGGAAATTCAAAGACTTGCTCTTGTTAGCAACAACAACAACAACAAAGAAGTAGTTCTTTCGTTTCATTGATTTTCTCATGTTCAGTTTTATTAATTTCTGCTCTTCATTATTTCCTTTCTTCTGCGTTGTGTTTGTTTTGGTCTTTTACTACTTTATTGTGTAAGAAGAGCTTAGAATATTGGTTTAAGAACTTTCCTCTTTCCTAATGTAAATATTTAATGCCATAAATTTCCCTTTAGCTATATCCCACATATTTTGAAATATCTTCTTTTCATTTTCATTTAATTCTATGTATTTTTGATACTTCCTCTTTGGCCCATGGATTATTTAGAAGTGAGTTGCTCAATATCCTTGTGAGTGGAGATTTTCCTGTTTTTCTGTTATTCATTTCAAGCTGATTCCATTATGGTCAGAGAACATCTCCTATAGAATTTCAATTATTATAGGCAGAGAGGAAGTGTGAATGTCAAATGTTAGAGGGAAGGAACTAGAGGCAAGTGGCAAATAATGGGTCATTGGAGAGTTTAACAAAACGTTCAGTGCTTATGGAAGTCGGATTGTGGGATCCAGAGCGTAAAGGAATTAAGTTAGAAATTGCCCGCAAGCCTGAATTTAGCTGGAGAGAGTAAATTCTCTTCCACTGTGCTCCAGTCTATAAAGCCAAGACTAGTCAGAGGGGCCCAGGGGTCTGGGATGGTATAGCCAGTGCCCATGCTGCAAGGAGACGGAAGCAGATAAGCAGGAAGAGGCCGAAAGGCTCAGGTACACAAATACCCTTGTTTGGGCTCAGAGCAAGGCTGCCAGTGGAGGGATGGATGCGATTTCTCTGACCATAAGGAAGTGTCCCCAGAGTTTATTTCCCGGGTCACCAAAGGGTTTCCTGAGAATTGATATAATACAGGGTAAAGCACAGGGGTGTACACACACACATACACACACACACACACACACACCCACACACACACCCACACACACACCACTTGGGCCTTAAAAGGAGTGAGAAAGAAGACCCAAGGGGATTGGCACATACAGAGTATTAATTTGTGAGATCTCCCACCACAACCACCCCATTTCTGGGGACTCTGGCTGTGGAGAGCGATGATGAATTTTGAAGGCAGGAAGCTTCTTTCTGTGATCAACCAGGGGAAACCCCAAGGCTTAGAGAGAATTGAGGGCCAGAAACACCCATGAAACTCACCCTGATTCTTTCCCTTCACCTCCCATTTGTCTCTGAGTGCCTCTAATTACAAGAGGCATATGGCACACAGAGGATTTTATTTTCTTTTTTCTTTTTCTCCCCAGGCCAGAATGCAGTGGCATGATCACGGCTCGCTGCAGCCTCAGACTCCTAGGATCAAGCAATCCTCCCACCTTAGCCTCCTGAATGGTGGAGACTACAGGTGCATGCCACCACACTCGGTTTATTTTTATATTTTTTGTAGAGAAAGGGTCTCACTATGTTGCCCAGGCTGGTCTTGACCTTGTGGCCTCAAGTGATCCTCCTGCCTCAGCCTCCCAAGTAGCTGGGACTACAAGCGTGCACCACCGTGCCTGGCTAATTTTTGTATTTTTTTGTAGATACAGGGTCTCACTATGTTGGTCTTGAACCAGGCTGGTCTCAAACTCATGGCCTTAAGCAATCCTCCTGCCTCAGCCTCCCAAAATGCTGGAATTATAAGCTGAGCCACTGCGCCTGGCCTCAGACAGAGAATTTTCACATCTTGGTTTGCAATTGCTGTTTCCTCCTAGGAATCCCGACGTCTCCTCCTCCGAGTCCTTCTCTGTCTCAGGGACCCAGCAGCCCCTTCCACCAACTTTTAGACCCCTCAGGGACCCAGGCATCCTTTTCCCAAAGCTTCCACTTCCTGTGGGTCCCCTGCCCCTGCTTGTTTCTTGTTATCTCTGGCTTTTAGCCAGTCTCCTATTTACTCACCTCATTCTCCTGGTTGACTTTATGTCCCAGTCAACTCTTAGCCTTTATCTTTCCCTCCAGGAACGTTTCTTGGGTGGGCGTGGGGATTGGTTGGAGCTCCAGGGAGAGAGAAGCCCCCCACCCGCTCTGGCCTCCCAGAGGCCCAGGCTGCTGTGATAAGAGAGGAGGAGCCCCAGGGGCAGCAGCTGCTAGGGTGTTGGTCCAAGAGAGCACCCAGGCTTTGCAGCTGCTGGTCCCAGGGGAGACTCCCCCAGCAAACAATGAGATCCTGAGTCAGGGAGAAGGCAGGCAGGGCATGGGTCAGGCCAGCCCCTCAGAGGAGCTGACTCCAGCTGAGAAAGCCCAACTTTCAGCTCATTCTTCTGCTCCTTGTGTGCAACCTAGACCTCCACCTCCCATCTCAGGCAAATTCTGGGGTGATGGAGAGGCACAGAGTCCCCTAAACCTGTTCAGCTAGCCCCTGCTAAGAGCAAACCCTCCCTACACACAAAAAAACTCCAAAACCAACAGGTCCTGGCTCTTCCTCAGTCCTCACAGGCTGGGGAGTCCCTGGCCACCTATATCCTGTTTCCAGCACCACTGAGGAGCAGGTGTCTGGGATCAGAAGTAGAATCTGGGTGTCTGTGTGGAACCAGGAAACAGAGGCCATTGTCCCTTCTTCACACACCGCCTCAGTCCCAGTGCCCACCTGCAGCCTGGCCTGCGCCCACACCAGAGGAGGCTGCCCCCCAGCTCTACAGTCCTTGAGAATTTTTTTACATCTCTGGGACGTAAAGATGCCCAGAGAGGCTGGTTTTGGTGTTCCCATTTTGCAGATGAGAAACCGCAGACGCCCCACTGGGCTGCGGTGGAGGTCTTGTGTCCCACTCCATAGCCTCAGACTCCTGCCCATCCCAGACACCTGCCCCTAGTGGTGTCTGGAAGCAGGATGTGGGTGGCTAGGGACTCCCCAGCCTGTGGGGACTGAGAAGGAACCAGGACCCGGATATGGGTCCCTCACTGTTGTTCCTGGCAGGAGCCAAAGGAAGGAACCTAGCCACTAAGCCAGCAAATATGACCACATGCCACCTCCCACCCTCACTGCCCACACCCCCACCCTACCCCACCTCCACCCAGGGACCCAGGTGCTCATCTGCCTGCTCCCCAGCTGTCTCCCTCAGGGACCCCACCCTTCCAGGACCAAACTCTCCAGAAGGCTTCCAGGGAATGGCCACCAGCTGTCCTCACTCCCTTCTTGGAACCCAGGCATCCAGAATCACTGTCCCTCCTTCCCAGGCCTTCACAGTTTCCCATTTCATCTGGCCATGAGGATGGCAGCCTCCTCCAGGAAGTTGGCATCATCTGCCTGGCACGTGGCCCAGGGTGTGGCCCAGAAACTCCACTATATAGCCCTGCCACAGGGCTGGCCCTGCAGCTCCAGGGACCTGCAGGTGAGAAGGGCTGGGGTCCCCTTTGGAAGTGGGACAGCAGGTCCCCTACTCTTGCCCCTGACTGTAGGCCTCCTCATCCTACCCCTAGACCCACAAGACAGCCAACTCTCCACCCCGTCCCTGGCTTCTGCCCTCCCCAACCCACCTCCAGACCCGCTGGACAGCCAGCCTCCCCTATACACACACACTGGTCCTTGGATCCATACCCCCTGGCCCAATCTGCCCGACTTCTTTCCCCACCTCAGCCTTCATGGTCCCAGGTGGCCCTTGTCATGAGAGTGGGCCCTTCTGCCCAGGACAGTCTCCAGCAGAGGCGGTGGATCAGCCTTCTATGATCCTTTCTCTTTTCCTACTGCAGCCATGGGTGCCCTATGGAGCTGGTGGATACTCTGGGCTGGAGCAACCCTCCTGTGGGGTAAGTCAGACCAAGACCCTCTCCATGTCCTTGTTCCAATCTGGGGAACTCTGCGTGGGTCCACGCCTTCCATGTGTGCCTCCTCCACATGTCACCCCAGGCTAGCTGAGACAGGAGAGAGGCCCTTAGGCTCTGCAGGGGGATGTGGTAGAATTCACCAATTCTCACCCTTTTCTGGATGGGAGCACAGGCAAAAACCTTAGTCCCCAAACTCAAGTGTGCAAGAACTTTCTTGGTTTTCTGCAACTCAACTAAGGTTTTGACTCTGAGCCTCATTCTGCTAAGTTGATGGAAAATTTCACGAAAGTCATTCTTGGAGGGTGTTGTCCCCACTTCTCCCAGGGATGTGTCCAGAACTAAAATTTTGGATAAAGCCAAAGTACTGGGGGGAGGATGGGATATGAGGACCCTCTCGTCACCAGTCAGCATCCATCTAGGTTACTTTTGAAATGTCCATTGTTCCTGATCCCCTGGCCCCCTGGGATATCCTTCAAAGCCCCCTTTATATGGAAGGTGGTCATTCCATAGCCCCCACACTCTCTTCAAGATTCCTTAGACCTCTCTCTCCTCAGCCCCAGGGACGCTCTTCCTAGTTGGGGGTGGTCAGAAGCCCCCACTGCCATCTATTTCTAGGAGACAATTCATTCACCCTTCCATAATCCCCTTCTTCTCTTTATCCCCTTTTCACAAACCCCCAAGTCCCATTATTATTATTATTATTATTATTATTATTATTATTATTTGAGATGGAGTTTCACTCTTGTTGCCTAGACTGGAGTGCAATGGTGTGATCTCAGCTAATTGCAACCTCCACCTCCTGGGTTCAAGCGATTCTCCTGCCTCAGCCTCCCTAGTAGCTGGGATTACAGGCGCCCCATGCCACCATGTCCGGCTAATTTTGCATTTTTAGTAGAGATGGAATTTCACCACGTTGGTCAGTCTGCTCATGAACTCCCGACCTCAAGTGATCCACCCGCGTTGGCTTCCCAAAGTGCTGGGATTACAGGCAAGAGCCACCGCGCCTGGCCCCCACAAGTCCTATTAAGACAAAAACCAGCTGGGTACAGTTGGTCACGTCTGTAATCCCAGCACTTCGGGAGGCTGATGCAGGAGGATCACTTGAGCCCAGGAGTTCAAGACCAGCTTGGGCAACAAAGTGAGACCCTGCCTCTAGAAAAAAATTAAAAAATGAGCCAGGCACACAGTGCGTGCCTGTGGTCCCAGCTATACCAGAAGCTGAGACAGGAGGATCCCTTGAGCCCAGGAGGTTGAGGCTGCAGTGTGTTGTGTTTAAGCCACTGCACTCCAGTTTGTAAAAAGATGGAAATCATACACTGGCAGCAGAGTACATCCACCTTGAGCCCCAAAGTGCTTAAAACAATTGTGGGTTGGAGATTTCACATGAAAATTCAGATAGCCACATTCTCTTTAAAAACAGAAAGAACGGCCAGGCGTGGTGGCTTACGCCTGTAATCCCAGCACTTTGGGAGACCGAGGCAGGTGGATCACCTGAGGTCAGGAATTTGAGACCAGCCTGGCCAACAGGGTGAAACCCCATCTCTACTAAAAATACAGAAATTAGCTGGGCGTGGAAACCGGGAGGCAGAGGTTGCAGTGACCCAGGATCGCGCCACTGCACTCCAGCCTGGGTAACAGAGTGAGACTCCATTTCAAAAGAAAAAAAAGAAAAAATACAAAAGTTAACTGTGCCTGGTGGCGCACACCTGTAGTCCCAGTACTCGGGAGGCTGAGGTGGTAGAATCACTCGAACCTGAGAGGCAGAGGTTGTGGTGAGCCGAGATCGTGCCACTGCACTCCAGCCTGGGTGACAGAGCGAGACTCCATCTCAGAAGAAAAAAAAAAAGAAAAACAGGAAGGTCTTACAATTTAAAAAAGCTCACATTCTTTCATTATAACAGGTGAAAGCTAGTACCAACAATCCACTTTTTTTTTTTTTACTAGTTTATATATTTTTAAAATTTTTAATTTTTATGGGTTTGCATTTATGGGGTACCTGTGATATTTTGATACAGGCATACAGTGTGTAATGATAAAATCAGGGTAACTAGGGCATCCCTCACTTCAAGCATTTGTCATTTCTTTGTGTTAGGAACATTCCAATTCCACTCTCAGTTATTTTAAAATATACCATAAATTATCGTCAACAATAGTCATCCTGTTCTGCTACCAAATACTAGATTTTATCTATTTTATCTAACTGTTTAACTGTATTTTTGTACCCATTAACCATATCTACTTATCCCCCAGTCCCCGCTACACTTTCCAGCCTGTGGTAATCATCGTAACCATCATTTTACTCTCTATTTCTATGAGTTCATCAGTTAAAAATTTTAAATTCCCATCTATGAGTGAGAACATGTGAAATTTGTCTTTCTATACTGGCTTATTTCACTTAACATCATGTCCTCCAGTTCCATCCATGTTGTTGCAAATGACAGGATCTCATTCCTTTTTTTTTTTTTTTTTTGAGACCGAGTCTCACTCTGTTGCCCAGGCTGGAGTACAGTGGCGCGATCTTGGCTCACTGCAACCTCCGCCTCCCAGGTTCAAGTGATTCTCGTGCCTCAGCCTCCCGAGTAGCTGGGATTACAGGTACATGCCACCATTCCTGGCTAATTTTTGTAGTTTTGGTAGAGACAGGGTTTCACCATGTTGGCCAGGCTCGTCTTGAACTCCTGACCTCAAGTGATCCACCTGCCTTGGCCTCCCAAAGTGCTGGGATTATAGGTGTGAGCCACTGTGCCGGGTGATCTCATTCTTTTTTATGGTGGATAATTCTCCATTGTTTGTATGTACCAAATTTCCTTTATCCACTCATCTGTTGATGGACACTTAGGTTGATTCCGTATCTTGGCTATTAGGAATAGTGCTGCAATAAACATGGGAGAGCAGATGTCTCTTACATATACTGACTTCCTGACTTGGAAGGAAAGGAATTGCTGGATCATACAGTAGTTCTAGTTTTAGTTTTCTGAGAAACCTTCATATTATTATCGATAGTGATTGTACTGATTTACATTCCCACCAACAGGGTAACAGGGTTCCCTTTTCTCCACATGCTCAGCAGCATTCATTACTGCCTTTCATTAGGATAAAAGCCATTTTAACTCGAGTGAGATGATATCTCACTGTGGTTTTAATTTGTGTTTCTCTGATGATTAGTGATGTTGAGCATTTTTTGATATACCTGCTGGCCATGTGTATGTCTTCTTTGAGAAATGTCTATTCAGATCTTTTGCCCATTTTAAAATCAGATTAATCCGGGCGTGGTGGCTCACGTCTCTAATCCCAGCACTTTGGGAGGCCGAGGCAGGCGGATCACTTGAGGTCAGGAGTTCGAGACCAACCTGGCCAGCATGGGGAAACCCTGTCTCTACTAAAAGTACAAAAATTAGCCGAGCATGGTGGCGCATGCCTGTAATCCCAGCTACTTGGAAGGCTGAGGCAAGAGAATCACTTGAACCCAGGAGGCGGAGGTTGCAGTTAGCTGAGATCGTGCCACTGCAGTCCGGCCTGGGGTGACAGAGTAAGACCCCATCTCAAACACACACACATACACACACACACACACACACACACACACACAAATCAGATTATTTGATTTTTTTCCTATTGAGTTGTTTGAGCTCCTTTTATATTCTGGTTATTAATCCCTTGTCAGTACCATCTAGAAATGCTACTGATTTTTGTATGTTGATTTTGTATCCTGCAAATTTAGTGAATTTGTTTATCAGTTCTAATAGCTTTTTGATGGCGTCTTTAGGTTTTTTTTAAATATCAGATTATATCATCTGCAAACAAGGATAATTTGACTTCTTTTTTTTTTTTTTCCAGTTTGGATGCCTTTATTTCTTTCTCTTGTCTAATTGCTTTAGCTAAGATGGGTTGTATATATTTTCTCTTATTCTGTCAGTTGTGTCTTCACTTTGTGGATTGTTTCCTTTGCTGAGCAGAAGCTTTTTAGGTTGATGTGATCCCATTTGTCCATTTTTCTTTGGTTGCCTGTGCTTTTGATGTATTACTTAATAAATTTTTGCCCAGACTAATGAACTGGAGAGTTTCCCAAATGTCTTCTTGTAGTAGTTTCGTAGTCTGAGGTCTTAGATTTAAGTCTTTAATCCATTCTGATTTGATTTTTGTATGTGGTGAGAGATAGGGGTCTAGTTTCACTCTTTGCATATGGATATCCAGTTTTCCCAGTACCATTTATCTTCAATAAATGCAATGTATGTTCTTGGGATCTTTGTCAAAAATGAATTCACTGTAGGTGGGTGGATTTGTTTCTGGGTTCTATGTTCTGTTCCACTGGTCCATGTGTTTGTTTTTATGCCAGTACCACACTGTTTTGGTTATTATAGTTTTGTAGTATAATGTGAAGTCAGGTAATGTGATTCCTCCAGTTTTGTTCTTTATGCTCAGGATGGCGTTAGCTATTCTGGGTATTTTGTGTTTCCACACAAATTTTGGGATTAGTCTTCTATTTCTGTGAAGAATGTCACTGGTATTTTTATAGAGATTGCATTGAATCGGTAGATTGCTTTGGTTAGTATGGACATTTTAACAATATTGTGTCTTCCAATCCATGAACATGGAATATCTTTCCATTTTTTTTGGTGTGTGTCCTCCTCCATTTCTTTCATTACTGTTTTATAGTTTTCATTGTAGAGATCTTTCATTTCTTTCGTTTATTCCTAGGTGTTTTATTTTATTTGTGGCTATTGTAAATGGGATTACTTTCCTTTTTTTTTTTCAGATTGTTTGCTGTAAGCATATAGAAATGCTACTGATTTTTGTATGTTGATTTTGTATCCTGCAAGTTTAGTGAATTTGTTTATCAGTTCTAATAGCTTCTTGATGAAGTCTTTAGGTTTTCTGTTTTTTTTGTTTTGTTTTTTGTTTTTTGTTTTTTGAGATGGAGTTTTGCTCTCGTTGCCCAGGCTGGAGTGCAATGGTGCCATCTCAGCTCGGTGCCATCTCAGCTCACTACCATCTCTGCCTCCCAGGTTCAAGCGATTCTCCTGCCTCAACCTCCCGAGTAGCTGGGATTACAGGTGTCTGCCACCATGCCAGGCTAATTATTTTTTTGTATTTTTAATAGAGACAGGTTTTACCACGTTGGTCAGGATGGTCTCAATCTCTTGACCTCTTCATCTGTGCAGCTCAGCCTCCCAAAGTGGTGGGATTACAGGCTTGAGCCACTGCACCCAGCCAAAGTTGTTTTTTTTTTTGAGACAGAGTCTTGCTCTGTCATCCAGGCTGGAGTGTGGTGGTGTGATCTTGGCTCACTGCAACCTCCACCTCCTGGGTTCAAGAGATTCTCTTGCCCCAGCCTCCCGAGTAGCTGGGACTACAGGCATGTGCAACTATACCCAGCTAATGTTTGGTTTTTTTTTAGTAGAGATTGGGTTTCGCCATGTTGGCCAGGCTGGTCTTGAACTCCTGACCTCAGGTGATCCACCCACCTCGGCCTCCTAAAGTGCTGGGATTATAGGCGTGAGCTACCAAGCCCAGCTGTCTTCAGGTTTTTCTAAATATAAGATTATATCATCTGCAAACAAAGATAATTTGAATGCCCTTTTTCCAGTTTGGATGCCCTTTATTTTTTTCTATTGTCTAAGTGGTTTAGCTAGGACTAACAATAATATGTTGAAGAATAGTGGTGAAAGTGGACATCCTTGCTGTGTTCCAGATCTTAGAGCAAAGGCTTTCAGTTTTTCCCCATTCAGTATGATACCAGCTGTGGGTCTGTTGTACATGGATTTCATCATGTTGGGGTGTGTTCCTTCCGTGTCTACTTTCTTGAGAGTTTTTATCACGAAAGGATGTTAAATTTTATCAAATGCTTTTCTGGCATCAATTGAAGTGATCACATAGTTTTTGTCCTTTATTCTGTTGATAAGATGTATCACACTGATGGATTTGCATAAGCAACAACCCACTTTAGATGGTATAGGAGTGCTTCAGTTCCACAGTCGCCCCTCCGGGACTGTTTCACACATTTATATTTCTTGCCTGGCCCCATCAGCATTGGAGTTTGAGGGCCCTGTCTAAGGTGTTTAGATTTTTGAAAAACAAAAGCCAGGAAGGCTTGTAGACGAAAGCTGCATGAATCAGAAGAAAGGAAAGAGAAGGGTGGTGGGGGAAAGCCCAAGTTAATACTTCAACATGTTTCTGGGTGCAGAGCAAAAGTGGGGAGGATTGGATAAGTGGACCCACAACTGTATTTTCTCAACCAGGATTGACCCAGGAGGCTTCAGTGGACCTCAAGAACACTGGCAGAGAGGAATTCCTCACAGCCTTCCTGCAGAACTATCAGCTGGCCTACAGCAAGGCCTACCCCCGCCTCCTTATCTCCAGTCTGTCAGAGAGCCCCGCTTCAGTCTCCATCCTCAGCCAGGCAGACAACACCTCAAAGAAGGTCACAGTGAGGCCCGGGGAGTCGGTCATGGTCAACATCAGTGCCAAGGCTGAGATGATAGGCAGCAAGATCTTCCAGCATGCGGTGGTGATCCATTCTGACTATGCCATCTCTGTGCAGGCACTAAATGCCAAGCCTGACACAGCGGAGCTGACACTGCTGCGGCCCATCCAGGCCCTAGGCACCGAGTATTTTGTGCTCACACCCCCCGGCACCTCAGCCAGGAATGTCAAGGAGTTTGCCGTGGTGGCCGGTGCCGCAGGTGCCTCGGTCAGTGTCACGCTGAAGGGGTCAGTGACATTCAATGGCAAGTTCTATCCAGCAGGCGATGTCCTAAGAGTGACTCTACAGCCCTACAATGTGGCCCAGCTACAGAGCTCAGTGGATCTCTCGGGGTCAAAGGTCACAGCTAGTAGCCCCGTGGCTGTCCTCTCTGGCCACAGCTGTGCGCAGAAACATACGACCTGCAACCATGTGGTTGAGCAGCTGCTACCCACGTCTGCCTGGGGCACCCACTATGTAGTACCCACGCTGGCCTCCCAATCTCGCTATGATTTGGCCTTCGTTGTGGCCAGCCAGGCCACAAAGCTGACCTACAACCATGGGGGTATCACTGGCTCCCGTGGGCTCCAGGCAGGTGATGTGGTAGAGTTTGAGGTCCGGCCATCCTGGCCACTCTACCTGTCTGCAAATGTGGGCATCCAGGTCCTGTTGTTTGGCACAGGTGCCATAAGGAATGAAGTGACTTATGACCCCTACCTGGTCCTGATCCCAGATGTGGCGGCCTACTGCCCAGCCTATGTGGTCAAGAGTGTACCAGGCTGTGAGGGCGTGGCCCTGGTAGTGGCACAGACGAAGGCTATCAGCGGGCTGACCATAGATGGGCATGCAGTGGGGGCCAAGCTCACCTGGGAGGCTGTGCCAGGCAGTGAGTTCTCGTATGCTGAAGTGGAGCTCGGCACAGCTGACATGATCCACACGGCCGAGGCCACCACCAACTTGGGACTGCTCACCTTCGGGCTGGCCAAGGCTATAGGCTACGCAACAGCTGCTGATTGCGGCCGGAGTAAGTAATGGAAATGTCCCCTGGTCCTGTCCACCTGGTGACCGCTTTTCCACCCACCTACTCCTCTGTGGCTTTCGGGATCCTGATTGTCCTCCCCTCACTTCTCTTCTCCGCGACATCCTTCCTCAAGTCTTCTCAGCCCCTCCCATCCGCCCAGAAACAATATTCTAAATATTTAGCAACCAGGGAGAGCTGGGGCACTACCAGTCAGAAGAGACAGCAGCCAAAGCACTGTGACAGGGTCCTGAAGCCCCCATCATGCTGGCATCAGCCCCTGTCTGTTGGTTTGTTCTGGAAAGGGCCCTAGGGGAGAGCCAGGGTGCTGAGAAGGAGGGATCTTTGGGGTTGTGGGGGACAGTCAGGTCAGCAGCTTCTCACCAACCAGTTTGGAAATATTTTGATATTTTAGCAACTGACATAGCCACACCAGTTGCTAAGCCACTCTCCACACCTCATGTAGGAATGTTGATACCCAAACTTAGGAGATCTAAATGTATGATAATAAGATGACTACGCGTTGGGGAGGGGAGTATCTTGCAATCTTTCTAGGTGTTTCACGTGTTTTTGACACAGTTAATGTATATGACCTGGCAGTTTGTGTGACCTCAGGCTCAGCCCATGAGACGCTGTCAGTGTAGTGCAGGGTCCCAGGGTTCAAATCCCAGCTCTGCTGTGTGATCTTGGACAAGTGACTTCATCTCTCTGGGCTTCAGTTTCCACATCTGTAAAATGGGGATAACTGTTTCTCCCTCAAAACTTTGTTTTAGAGACAGGGTGTCACTCTGTCACTCGGGCTGGAGTGCGGTGGTGTGATCACAGCTCACCGTAGCCTCGAACTCTTGGACTAAAGCAATCCTCCCTCAGCCTCCCAAGTAGCTGAGACTATAGGCATGCACCACCACACCCAGCTAATTTTTAATTTATATTTTGTAGAGATAGGGTCTTTCCATGTTGCCCAGGCTGGTCTCAAATTCCTGGGCTCAAGCGATCCTCCTGCCTCAGCCTCTCAAAGGGCTGGAATTACAGGCCTGAGCCACCACACCCAGCTGCAAAAACTTTTGAGGACTGGGAGGCAGATGGAGGAAAGCTGTTTCTTCCCATGTAGTCCCTGCCACGCTAAGACTCTGGCATTCCTGGACCTGGCAAAAATGCCCCTCCCCTCCCCTCCAAGGCATGGAAGCCACCCAACTTCAAGGAGCCACTTTGGGCTTGAGAAATAGAATGAGGGAGCGGTGGGTGATTAATTATAATGGGTAACACTCCACTTAACACGTAGGTTCAGTTCTAAAGCTTTCTCGAGTTTTAGCTTATTTAATCCTAACACCCCCCACCAAGATCCCTACGAAGGAGGTATTATTATCACCCCCATGTTACAAATGAGGAAACTGAGGCAGAGGGAGTTTAAAACCACTTGCCCAGTGTCTCAGAGCCAGTTGGTTGAGCCAGGATTCCTACCTAGGCGGCCTGACTCCATAGTCCTTTTCATCCTGCTGAAGGCTGTCTTCCATTTTCTGTCCTTAAAAAAATCCCTTAGCTCTTTTTGACCCTGGAGGGAAGGTAGGGAAGAGGGGAAAAGGGGGAGAGAAAAACACAAATTAACATTTTAATGACCGTTTCTGCCTTTTCTTATTTACTGCCTTCCCTTCTTCTAGGCTGCCCTGTGTTAAACTGGAGAATCAGAAAACATGGGGCTCTCAGAGAGGCCTGAGCAACTCTCTCCCTGTGGGGTTCCAGACCTCGGTTTCCCCACCTTTAAAATGGGCAAAAATGGGCAAAAATGGGCAGTTGTGAGCGAATTGCTCAAGCTTCCCCGGCAAGGTGGGCTCCAGGATGCCTCCCTCTGAGGCCTGAGGCGGTTTCTTCCTTCTTCCTTCTTCTTCCCTCCTCCTCCTCCTCCTCTTCCTCCTCCTCCCCCTTCCCTCTTCTTCTTCTTCTTCTTCTTCTTCTTCTTCTTCTTCTTCTTTCTTCTTTCTTCTTCTTCTTCCTCTTCTTTCTTCTTTTTTTCTTTGTGAGACAGAGTCTCACTTTGTCACCCAGGCTGGAGTGCAGTGGTGCCATCTCAGCTCACTGCAACCTTCGCCTCCTGGGGTCAAGAGACTCTCCTGCCTCAGCCTCCCAAGTAGCTGGGATTACAGGCATGTGCCACCATGCTCTGCTAATTTTTGTGTTTTTAATGGAGATGGGGTTTCACTATGTTGGGCAGGCTGGTCTCGAACTCCTGACCTCAAGTGATCCGCCCCCCTCACCTTGGCCTCCCAATGTGCTGGGATTACAACCCCGCGGACACTTCTGATTCTCTCTTTTCACCGTTCCCTTCCCTCCCCAGCTGTACTGTCCCCAGTGGAGCCCTCCTGCGAAGGCATGCAGTGCGCAGCCGGGCAGCGCTGCCAGGTGGTAGGCGGGAAGGCCGGGTGTGTGGCGGAGTCCACCGCTGTCTGCCGCGCCCAGGGCGACCCCCATTACACCACCTTCGACGGCCGTCGCTACGACATGATGGGCACCTGTTCGTACACGATGGTGGAGCTGTGCAGCGAGGACGACACCCTGCCCGCCTTCAGCGTGGAGGCCAAGAACGAGCACCGGGGCAGCCGCCGCGTCTCCTACGTGGGCCTCGTCACTGTGCGCGCCTACAGCCACTCTGTGTCGCTGACCCGCGGTGAAGTTGGCTTCGTCCTGGTGAGTACCTGGGGGCTTTGGGGGGTTAACATCCATGAGCTGCGGGTCCGAAGGCGGAGGCAAAGCCCAATGGCCGACCTCAAACCAGGGTGCAGGGAAGTGGGCCATGGAGTTGGAGGGTGGGGAGGCGGATTTGAAAATCAGTAGCAGGACCTTAGAACCCTGCCCTCCAGCCATCCCACGTCTAGAAATTTAAAGGATATTCAGAGACAGAGACTGGGGGGTAACATGCCAACATGGTTTATAATAGCATAAAACAAAAACAAACAAACAAAAAATTATCCAGCAATGGGGGATTTACGTTGACCAAATAACTAAATTTAATGAGCACCTGCTATGCACCAGATATGTTTCTTAGCACTTTTCTCATCTTAACGAATTTAATGCTCACAAACTCAGTGCAGGAGGCATTATTATTATGAACATGTTCAGATTGGGAAACTGAGGTTGAGATAGGCTAGTGACTTCCCCAGGGCTCAGAGCTAGTAAGAGGTGGAGCTAAGGGCACAGGCATGCTGGCTCTGGAGTCCTTGTTCTTAATCCCTCAGCTGTCCTGACTCTGGTAAATGCATTTCTATTCAGTTCATATGAATAACAGCAGCCTAGAGCAATTACTTCCTTTTTCTCGCCATGTTATTATGAAAATATTAAAATGTCCAAAGTTGAAATTCTTATACAGTGAATGCTCATATGCCAATCGCCTAGAGTTTTCTTTCTTTCTTTCTTTCTTTTTTTTTTTTTTTTTTGAGATAGAGTCTTGCTGTGTCACCCAGGATGGAGTGCAGCGGCAGGATCAGGTTCAAGCGATTCTCCTGCCTCAGCCTCCCGAGTAGCTGGGATGACAGGCATGTGCCGCCATGCCCAGCTAATTTTTGTATTTTTGTAGAGAGGGGTTTCACCATGTTGGCCAGGCTGGTCTGGAACTCCTGGCCTCAACTGATCGGCCTGCCTCAGCCTCCCAAAGTGCTGAGATTACAGGTGCCAATCATCTAGATTCTAAACACTGTACTCTTCTTGATTGATCACACACTGATCCATCGGTTCATCCCTCTGTCCATTCCACAATCTCTCTTATTTTTTATGCACTTCAAAGTTCCAGACATGAGTACATATCACCCAAAAGACTTCACCATGTCATTAACTAGAATATAATATTTTCACACTTCTTTTGGCTGATTTTGGAGGTGAAATTTATATATAACAAAAATCACAAATCTTAACTGTATAGTTCACCTTTGGCAAATGTGTAACCAAATTGCCCATTAAGATACAGAATATTTTTATCACCTGGGAAAATTCCCTCATGTGCCTTACCAAACAGTCCCCAACCTACTCCTGGAGATGATCACAATTCTGATTTTTTTTTTCCAGCATAGATTAGTTTTGCCTGTTCAATAACTTCAGGGCCAGGCGCAGTGGCTCATGCCTATAATCCCAGCACTTTGGGAGGCCTAGGTGGGTGGATCACTTGAGGTCAGGAGTTAGAGACCAGCCTGGTCAACATGGTGAAACCCCATCTTTAGTAAGAGTACAAAAATTAGCTGGGCGTGGTGGCGCATGCCTGTAATTCCAGCTACACGGGAGGCTGAGGCAGGAGAATCGCTTGAACCTAGGAGGCAGAGGTTGTAGTGAGCCAAGATTGCACCACTGCACTCCAGCCTGGGTGACAGAGTAAGACTCTGTCTCAAAAAAAAAAATAAATAAATAAAATATATATATATATAGAGAGAGAGAGTATATATGTGTATATATATATATATACATATATACACACACATATATACATGTATATGTGTATATATATGTTGTGTTCTCTACTTTGCTTTTTGCATTTAGCAATACATTCTGAAACAGTTTCTCTATCAACAGTTTCTCTATCAGCCTCTATTTTTTTTTAACATCTGCACAATTCTTTATATGGATATGAACACCATGGTTCATTCAACCAGTCCCCTGTGGATGGACACATTGTTCACTATTACAAACAATACTGCAATGAATATTTTTTTGATTTTTTTTTTTTTGAGACAAGGTCTTGCCCTGTTGCCCAGGCTGAAGTGCAGTGGTGTGATTATAGCTCACTTCAACCTCAAACTCCTGGGCTCAAGCAATCCTCCAGCCTTGGCCTTCCAAGTAGCTGGGACTACAGTCTCATGCCACTATACTGGGCTAAGTATTTTTATTTTTAGTAGAGATAAGGTCTTGCTATGTTGCCCAGGCTAGTCTCGAACTCCTGGTCTCAAGTGATCCTCCCACCTTGGCCTCCCAAAGTTCTGGGATTAGAGGCGTAAGCCCCTGTATCTGACCTGAAATAAATATTCTTGTACCTCCCTGATTTTGTGAGTGTGCAGGTAGATCTCTGCGATTAATAATCAGTTGGTGAAAGGAGGTGTTCTTCAGCCCTGGAGGGGTTGAGCACAAGTTCAGGCGGACTTCAGATCCCTTGAAATTATATACAGAATTTTATACCTCTCTCTGAAAACTACTTTTTATTTTTTTTGAGACGGAGTCTCGCTCTGTTGCCCAGGCTGGAGTACAGTGACGTGATCTCGGCTCACTGCAACCTCCGCCTCCTGGGTTCAAACGATTCTCCTGCCTCAGCTTCCCGAGTAGCTGGGACTACAGGCACATGCCACCACGCCCGGCTAATTTTTTGTATTTTTAGTAGAGCTGGGGTTTCATTGTGTTAGCCAGGATGGTCTTGATCTCCTGACCTTGTGATCCGCCCAACTCGGCTTCCCAAAGTGTTGGGATTACAGGCATGAGCCACCGCACCCGGCCTTTCATTTTTTTTTCCGTCAGATCCTCACAGAGGTCAGTGACTTGACAAAGGTGCAGAGCTACTGTCAGAATCATAGTAGGATACTCACAAGACATTGTTAGGAGAGGAGTTAATGAAATAGTGACTTCAGCATGGTCTTTTTTTTTTTAAGTGTAAATATATCTAAAGGTAGGAAAAAACTCAACAGGATCTATACATTTGTATGTGTCTGCCTACAGGGTGATTTTCTTTTCTCATTTTTGCTCCTGTGCATTTTCAGTTTTCTGTAATGAACGAATATTATTTGTGTCATTTAAAAATGGAGATTGGCTGGGCATGGTAGCTTACGCCTGTGATCCCAGTACTTTGGGAGGCTGAAGCTGGAAGATTACTTGAGCCCAGAAATTTGAGACCAGCCTGGGCAACATAGGGAGACCCTATCTCTACCAAAAAAAAAAAAAAAAAATAGCTGGGTGTGGTGGCGCCTGCCTATGGTCCCAGCTACTTGGGAGGCTGAGGCAGGAAGATGGCTTGAGCCCAGGAGGTCGAGGCTGCAGTGAGCTATGATGCTGCCACTACACTCCAGGCTGGGTGACAGAGCAAAACTGTCTCAAAAAAATACATAAATAAAAAAATAGAAAAATTAAAATGGAGATCACTGGACTTAGGGGAGAAACAGATTTGAGCAGCCATGCTGGACTGAGAGCTCTGAGCATGGGGCCATGGCCTGTCTCCATCACTGCAGTGTCTAAAGCACCAGCTGGCACAGAGCAGGCCACACAGTGGGACTCACAGAAGCTTTGCTGGGAGCCGGAATGAGTGAATGCTCTGTCTTCCTTCTGGGCCATTGCTCATGCTGTCCTCTCTCCTGTTGCTCCTTTTATCATATTCCATCCTCTTGGCTAAGACTTCTCCACTTCAAGTCTCAGCTCTGGCACAGCTCAGAGAATGTGTAAGGAAAGAGTAAGAAAGAGATGCCCAGGCTGGGTGCGGTGGCTCACACCTATAATCCCAGCACTTTGGGAGGCCGAGGTGGGAGGATTGCTTGAGCCATGAGCTCCAGACCAGCCTGGACAACATAGTGAGACCCCCATATCTAATTTAAAAAATTTTTTTATTAATTAAAAAAAAAAAAGGCTGGGTACGGTGGCTCATGCCTGTAATCCCAGCACTTTGGGAGGCTGAGCAGGGGTGGGCAGATCACTTGAGGTCAGGAGTTCAAGACCAGTCTGGCCAACATGGTGAAACCCTATCTCTACTAAAAATACAAAAATTAGCTGGACGTGGTAGCAGGCACCTGTAATCCCAGGTGGGAGAATCACTTGAACCTGGGAGACAGAGGTTGCAGTGAACCGAGATCGTGCCAATGCAGCCCAGCCTTGGTGACAGAGCAAGATTCCATCTCAAAAAAAAGATGCCCCAGGGCACAGAGAGACATAGTTCTTATCTCCTGGTTCTTAGTCAGACTTCAGGCTTCTCCAGAGCCTGGGAGGCTTATAAACAACACAACCTCGTCTCTGTGTTCTGGAGGCTGGAAGTCCAAGATGAGGTCACCAGCACTGCCAGGTTCAGGTGAGGGTGCTCTTCCAGGTTGCAGATGGCCTACTTCTCCTTGTATCCTCACACGGTGGAAAGCGGATCTGAGAGCTCTCTGAGGCCTCTGTCATAAGGGCACTAATCCCATTCATGAGGGTGCCACCCTCATGACCTAATCACCTCCCAAAGGCCTCCCCCCACTCTTAATACCATCATGTTGGGTGTTAAGATTTCAACATCCCTGACCAGCAAGGTTAGATCTGGCCATTTTTCTAGGTTTTCACAGCCTCCTATCTCCCCACTATCCCAGCTCTGAACCCTCAGCCTGTACCTCCCCTATCCCATCCTTGACCCCTCTGCCTGGGCCTTTCTGATCCTGGCCTTGACTTTTCTGCCTGTGCTTCTCCCATCTCTGCCCTGACCCCTCTGAGCTCTCACTGTCTGGTGATGTGTCTGTTTCTCCCAATGGACTGGGAGCCCCATGAGGGTAGGGCTTGGGGCTGTCTCCGCCACCTTCGTATTCCCAGGATCTCCCAGCTCAAGGCCAGGCACAGAGTGAGTGCCCAGTGAATGTTTATTAAATGCAGCAGTGACTTAATTCACTTAGTGAGTGCCTGGGATTCTACCAGGCCCTGTTCTATGCACTGGGGATAAAGCAGTGATCAAAGCAGACCCAAACCCTTGTCTTTGTGGAGCTGCCATTCTGATGGAGTAAGACAGATGATAAACATGGTCAATTTGTGAATTATATTTCAGAAGGCCAGATGCTATAGAAAAAAAAGGAAAGCAGGGAAGGAGGCTATGGAATAGGGAGAGGCTGCCTTTTTTTTTTTTTTAGACAGAGTCTCACTCTGTTTGGCACGATCTTGGCTCACTGCAGCCTCCACCTCCTGGGTTAAAGCAATTCTCCTGCCCCAGCCAACTGAGTAGCTGGGATTACAGGCGTGCCCCACCACACCCAGCTAATTTTTTTATTTTTAGTAGAGACAGGGTTTCACCATGTTGACCAGGCTGGTCTCAAACTCCTGACATAAAGTGATCCACCCGCCTCAGCCTTCCAAAGTGCTGGGATTACAGGTGTGAGTCACTGCGCCCGGCCCAAGGCTGCCATTTAAAAAGGGGTGTAGGCTGGGTCCCATGGGTCATGCCTGTAATTCTAGCACTTTGGGAGGCTGAGGCAGGAGGATTGCTTGAGGCCAGGAGTTGAGATCAGCCTGGGCAACATAGCAAGACCTCATCTCTATAAAACAAAACAAAACAAACAAACCATAAAATAAAATCATAAAATAGGGCAGTCAGGGAAGGCTTGAGTCAGTGACGTTTGAGCACATACTCTTTTTCTATATTCTCCTATTTAAAACTTTTAATTAAAAAGTACTTTAATGAGGGCTGGAGGCCAGATGGCACAGGGGCCTGACCACCTCCTCTTCACCCACTCTGCAGGTTGACAACCAGCGCTCGCGCCTGCCAGTCTCCCTGAGTGAGGGTCGCCTGCGTGTGTACCAGAGCGGACCACGGGCCGTGGTGGAGCTGGTCTTTGGGCTGGTGGTCACTTATGACTGGGACTGCCAGCTGGCACTCAGCCTGCCTGCACGCTTCCAAGACCAGGTGTGCGGGCTGTGTGGCAACTATAATGGTGACCCAGCAGACGACTTCCTCACGCCTGACGGGGCTCTGGCTCCTGACGCTGTGGAGTTCGCAAGTAGCTGGAAGCTGGATGATGGGGACTACCTGTGTGAGGATGGCTGCCAGAACAACTGTCCCGCCTGCACCCCAGGCCAGGCCCAACACTATGAGGGCGACCGACTCTGTGGCATGCTGACCAAGCTCGATGGCCCCTTCGCTGTCTGCCATGACACCCTGGACCCCAGGCCCTTCCTGGAGCAGTGTGTATATGACCTGTGTGTGGTCGGTGGGGAGCGGCTCAGCCTGTGCCGTGGCCTCAGCGCCTATGCCCAGGCCTGTCTGGAGCTTGGCATCTCGGTTGGGGACTGGAGATCACCAGCCAACTGCCGTGAGTGATGCCCTGGGTGGGGGCTGGGAGCATACAGTGAGGGGCAGGAGATCCCTAGCATCTGCTTAATATCTGAGAAGTTATTATGGTTCAGCCTGGTGCTGGGCAATGCCAGGGGCCTAGTGATGGCCAAGACAGCCAGCTCTGTCCACAATGAGCCTAAGGTTGGAGAGACGTTTCACTAGACATTGACAGTCTGGAGGGGTCCAGGCAGGATGGGGAGGCCCACTCGGATGGGTTGGGGCCAGGATGGGAGAGAGACAGGCAGATGAGTCAGGGCTGGGATTGCGGGGGACACAGGCAGAGGGGTTGGGGCCAGGATGGAGGAAGTCAGTGGGGCTATGGGAAACCAGAGGAGGTTCCTGGCCCAGCCTGGGGAGCAGGGGTGGTCAGGGAGGGTTTTCTAGAGAAAGATGTCCAATTTGAAACCCATAAGAGGGGCTGGAAGTTGCCAAGAGAAAGAGGAGGAAGTGAGTTGCAGGCCCAGAGAACAGCATGCTCAAAGGCTTGGCAGGACGGGAATTCTTGTCTGCAGAATCCCAACACAGAGACGTGACGTCTCTTCCTTTGCCTATAGCCCTCCCATGACTCCCATTGCCCTCTAGATAAAGTCCAGGCTCTTTAGCCAGGTGTCCGTCTGCTTAATCGTTCACTCATTCATTCCACAAGCATTCCTTGAACCCCTGCCTGCCCCCTGTGCATGCTAATGATATTGAAGACACAGTGAAGACCAGCATAAATCTATTCCTGCCCTTGTGAGTGAGGCTCCTAGAGACATGTCCCAGAGGCAGAAAGGACAGGTAGGAGGGAGGAAGAGGCATCCAGGCCCAGGCCCAGAGGGAGGGGGAGTAAGTACAGGGCAGACATAGAGGCCACTAGGTGTTTGTCTTGGCCAGTTCTGTGTCCCCACTGCCCAGTAAGCACCCCCCCAACCCCATGCCTGGCGCAAAATAGGAATCAGAGAGTTCATTTATTCTCCCTTTCACTTCTGCAGTATTTCCTGAGCACCTGCTGCGTACCAGGCCCTGTCCTTGGTGCTGGGGACTCAGCAGTGATTGAGACAGATCAGGTCCCCACTCCCGCAGAACTTCTCTCTTAGCGGCAGGGGAGGGACACAGACAGTGAGCAGATGAACTAGGAAGTATCTTCAGAGAGGCAAAGAAACAAGTTCATTCAATGACAGTGACTGTGAGGCTCGTGAAGAGGGTGATCAGGGAAGGCCTTTCTGGGCAGGTAACATTGGAGCTGAGACCAGGGTCAGGCAATGGAGTCAGCTAAGTACTAACTAACAGTGATGTCCACAGAATGTTTCCCCATAGATCAACTCATTTAATCCTCACAACAACCCTGTGAGGTCTCGACTACATTATCCCATCTTACTGATGGGGAAACTGAGGCACGGGGAGATTGGAGTCAGTGGCCGAGAAGGAGAGATCTGGGATCTGAACCCAGGCCACCTGGGCCCCAGTGGGCTTTCTGGGGAAAGGGAAGGCAGAGGGAACAGCCAATGCAAAGGCCCTGAGGTGGGAGGGTGAGGACCCGGGAGGAGGAGGCAGCTGGGGCTGGGGCAGAGTGAGCCCGAGGGAGAGGGAGAAGAGGTGAGGGCTGAGAGGTGAGAGGAACAGATGGCACAGGGCCTCCTGAGGCATGGGGAGGACTCTGGCGTTTACCCTGAGTGAGAGGAAGCCACAGTAGTGCTCTGAGATGGGGAGGGACCTGATCTGACCCAGATGTTCCCAGATTCCTCGGCCTGGTGTGAGGAACAGGCTGTGGGGGCAGGAGGGAGCCCAGGCAGGAGGCTGCTGCGGTGGATAGGATCAGAGGCAGATTCTGTAACTGGGTGGATTTTTTTTTTTTTTTTTGAGACAAAGTCTTGCTCTGCGCCCGGGCTGGAGTGCAGTAGTGTGGTCTCAGCTCACTGCAACCTCCGCCTTCCGGGTTCAAGCGATTCTCCTGCCTCAGCCTCTTGAGTAGCTCGGATTACAGGCCTGCGCCACCACTCCCGGCCAATCTGGGTAGATTTTGAATATGGAGCTCACAGGACTTGCTGACAGATTGGTTGTCCAGTGAGCGTTAGGGGGTTGGCGGGGTGGAGATTAACTGCGTCGCTGGGGTGTGGCGCAGGAGCACCCAGAAGAATGGCAGTGCCATTATCTGAGATGGCGAGCTCTGAGAGAGGAGCAGGGTTTGGGGATGGAATTCCTGGGCGCCGTCCCCGACAGGGCGCTCTTCGACGGCCCCTGCTACGCGGGCCTGATCCACCCTCTCTGATCTCCCCGCAGCCCTGTCCTGCCCTGCCAACAGCCGCTATGAGCTCTGCGGCCCTGCTTGCCCGACCTCCTGCAACGGGGCTGCGGCGCCGTCCAACTGCTCCGGGCGCCCCTGCGTGGAGGGCTGCGTGTGCCTCCCAGGCTTCGTGGCCAGCGGCGGCGCCTGCGTGCCGGCCTCGTCGTGTGGCTGCACCTTCCAGGGTCTCCAGCTCGCTCCGGGCCAGGAAGTGTGGGCGGACGAGTTGTGCCAAAGGCGCTGCACCTGCAACGGCGCCACCCATCAGGTCACCTGCCGCGACAAGCAGAGCTGCCCGGCGGGTGAGCGCTGCAGCGTCCAGAACGGCCTCCTGGGCTGCTACCCCGATCGCTTCGGGACCTGCCAGGGGTCCGGGGACCCACACTATGTGAGCTTCGACGGCCGGCGCTTCGACTTCATGGGCACCTGCACGTACCTGCTGGTCGGCTCATGCGGCCAGAACGCAGCGCTGCCTGCCTTCCGGGTGCTGGTGGAAAACGAGCATCGGGGCAGCCAGACTGTGAGCTACACGCGCGCCGTGCGGGTGGAGGCCCGCGGGGTGAAGGTGGCCGTGCGCCGGGAGTACCCCGGGCAAGTGCTGGTGAGCGACGTGGCGCCCAGGGCTGGGTGACGGAGCAGGAAATACCCTCTGAAGACTTGGAGTTCTGGATGGGCCTGAGGGTGGGGGAGGCCTGTTAGAAGATTTTATTTTTTTCGTTTTCCTTTTTCCTTTTTGTGCAGAACGGAGTCGCACTAAGTTGCCCAGGCCGGTCTCCAACTCCTGGGCTCAAGTGACCCTCCCGCCTCAGCTTCCTGAAGTGCTAGGAAGTGAGCTATGATCGTGCCACTCCATTCTGGCCTGGGTGACAGAGTGAGACCCCTGTCTCTATTTTAAAAAGGAAGCTAGTGGCTGGGCACCGTGGCTCACGCCTGTAATCCCAGCATTTTGGGAGGCTGAGGCGAGTGGATCATCTGAGGTTTGAGACCATCCTGGCCAACATGGTGAAACCCCCTCTCTACTAAAAATAGAAAAAAAAATTAGCCAGGTGCAGTGGCTCACACCTGTAATCCCAGCTACTAGGGAGGCTGAGAGAGAATCGCTTGAACCCAGGAGGCAGAGGTTGTAGTGAGCCAAGATTGTGCCACTGCACTCCAGCCTGGGCAACAGAGTGAGACCCTGTCCAAAAAAAAAAAGAAAAGAAAGCTAGTATGGTTGCAGCAGCCTGAGTGAGAGGGACAGTGAGAAGAGGTGAGGCGAGGGAGGTAATGGGGAGATAGACAGATCATGTAGGTTTTGAAGGCCATGGGTGAGGGATTTGGATTTAAGCTGGTGCTTTAGGAATGAAGAGGGGTGAATGGTGAGCCAGGCAGAGGGAACAGCAAGTGCAAAGGCCTCGAGGTGGGACTGAGCGTAATATGTCCAAGAGAATAGCAAGGAGGTCAGGGTAGCTGGAGGTGAGTGAATTGAAGGGTGGGCCACAGAACTGTGAATACCCTGACCAGGTGGCCCTCTTGCATCTCCACCCAGGTGGATGACGTCCTTCAGTATCTGCCCTTCCAAGCAGCAGATGGGCAGGTGCAGGTGTTCCGACAGGGCAGGGATGCCGTCGTGCGCACGGACTTTGGCCTGACTGTCACTTATGACTGGAATGCACGAGTGACTGCCAAGGTGCCCAGCAGCTATGCTGAGGCCCTGTGTGGACTCTGTGGGAACTTCAACGGGGACCCAGCTGATGACCTGGCTCTGCGGGGTGGGGGTCAAGCTGCCAATGCACTGGCCTTTGGGAACAGCTGGCAAGAAGAGACGAGGCCCGGCTGTGGAGCAACTGAACCGGGTGACTGTCCCAAGCTGGACTCCCTGGTGGCCCAGCAGCTGCAGAGCAAGAATGAGTGTGGAATCCTTGCCGACCCCAAGGGGCCCTTCCGGGAGTGCCATAGCAAGCTGGACCCCCAGGGTGCCGTGCGCGACTGTGTCTATGACCGCTGCCTGCTGCCAGGCCAGTCTGGGCCACTGTGTGACGCACTGGCCACCTATGCTGCTGCATGCCAGGCTGCTGGAGCCACAGTGCACCCCTGGAGGAGTGAAGAACTTTGCCGTGAGTATCGGAAGTGGCAACTGGGGGACTCAGCCTTATATATATTCATTAATGTATAAATATCATTAATTCATTTAATCCTTATAATAGCCCTATGAGGTAGGGATTGTGGTTATACCCATTTAACAGATGAAGAAATTGAAGTTCAGAAAGGTTCAGTTACACACCTGGGATCATGATAGCTAGAAAATCACAGATGGTGGGCATGCAGTTGGTATTTTTTTTTTAGATGGAGTCTTGCTCTGTCACCAGGCTGGAGTGCAGTGGCATGATCTCGGCTCACTGCAACCTCTGAGTCTGGTTCAAGCTATTCTCCTGCCTCAGCCTCCAGAGTAGCTGGGATTACAGGCATGCGCCACCAAGCCCAGCTAATTTTTGTATTTTTAGTAGAGATGGGGTTTCACCATGTTGGCCAGGATGGTCTCGATCTCCTGACCACGTGATCCGCCCACCTCAGCCTTCCAAAGTGCTGGGATTACAGGCGTGAGCCACCGTGCCCAGCGGCAGTTGGTATTTGTAAAATGACTGAGTACACCTGGTGGCCCAGGGTCTGATTCCCACATAACAGCTGTCATTGAGATATGAGCAACAGTATTGTCATTAGGAGTCTCATCCCCTCTCTGGTTCTTTTTGGTCCCCATCTATCCTACCTCGCTTATTTACATCTGCCTGACCCCTTGGGCAGTCAGTTTGAGAGCCTTGTTTCAGAGGTGGGTGCATGAATGGTTTTCCAACACCTTTGCTTGCCTATGAAAGAAGTTTGAAAAGCCATGCATCCTCTCACCTGATTTTTTTTAAGATGGGGTCTTGCTCTGTTGCCTAGGCTGGAGTGTAGTGGTGCAATCATAGCTTACTGCAGCCTGGAACTCCTGGGCTCAAGCGATTCTCCTGCCTCAGCCTCCTGAGTAGCTGAAACGGCAGGCTTGCACCACCATCCCCCGCTAATTTTTAAAATATTTTTTATAGAGACAGGGTTTTGATATTTTGCCCAGGCTGGTCTCGGGCTCTTGGGCTCAAGCAATCCTCCTGCCTCGGCCTCTCAAAATACTAGGATGACAGGTGTGAGCCATCGTACCAGTTTCCTCTCACCCGATTTTTAATTTAAAAAATTTATTATTGAAATATAATACAGATATTTAAAAATATGTACATATCATAAGCTAACAGCTTGATCAGTTTTCACCAAGAGAACAAACCTGTGTGAACTGTCCCAAATTCAAGAAAAAAAAAAAATCCAGGTTCCCAACCCCAAGAGGTAACCACTATTCTGACTTCTAAAGTTTTTGAATTTTGGAATTAATAGAAGCATACATGTCTAGTTTTTCACCTGAAATAATCATAAAACTTATAATTTCTAACAAATGGTAACTTTTGACTTTTAAGAACCTTTTTTTTTTTTTTTTTTTGAGATGGAGTCTCACTCTGTCACCCAGGCTGGAGTGCAGTGGCACGATCTCAGCTCACTGCAACCTCCGCCTCCTGGGTTCAAGCAATTCTCCTGCCTCAGCCTCCCAAGTAGCTGGGACTACAGACGCCCGCCACCATGCTTGGCTAATTTTTTTGGTATTTTTAGTAGAGAGGGGGTTTCACCATGTTGGCCAGGCTGGTTTCGAACTCCTGACCTCAAGTGATCCGCCCAACTCGGTCTCCCAAAGTGCTAGAATTACAGGCGTGAGCCACTGCTCATGGCCTTAAGAACATTTTTATTAGGGAAAAATTTAAACATATCCAAAGTAAACTAGGATAGTGAGCCAGCATATATCCATCATTTAGTTTCCACAATTATCAACATAATATTGGTATTTCAAAATGAAACCATTACTTGACTTATGCTCCTCTTTTAAATGTATTCAACAGATACATAGCACACAGTGGTACACATCATTGTCCACTGAAAAATACAGGATAAATACATCATTCCTTTTTCTCCTTCAACTTACATTCATTCATTCAACAAATATCCAAAACATTCAAAAATACCTTCTGTATTCCAGGCACTATTCTAAACACTCCGGATACAATAGGGGAGAGAATAAGAAAACAAATCCTTGCCTTTCTGAACTGATTTTCTAATGCTTTTTAGTTCTAACAGAATTTAACCTAATGTAACACATTTGAATGCATGGAAGTCTTTTGTTAAAGTCACTGTATCAGCTGGCTTTTGGTGCCTAACAAACAACCCAAGGCTTAGTGGCTGAGTGCATTAAAACAAGTGTTTATTTTTATTTATTTATTTATTTATTTATTTATTTATTGACATGGAGTCTCGCTCTGTTGCCCAGGCTGGAGTGCAATGGTGTGATCTCGGCTCATTGCAACCTCCGCCTCCTGGGTTCAAGTGATTCTTCTGTCTCAGCTTCCCAAGTAGCTGGAATTACAGGCATGTGCCACCATGCCCGGCTAATTCTTTGTATTTTTAGAAGAGATGGGGGTTTCACCATGTTAGCCAGGCTGGTCTCGATCTCCTGACTTCAGGTGATCTGCCCGCCTCAGCCTCCCAAAGTGCTGGGATTACAGGTGTGAGCCACCATGCCCGGCCAAGTATTTATTCTTTCTCATGATTCTGGGGGCTGCTGAGCTGTTCTCCCAGCCTGGGCCAGCTTGGTTGATCTCTGCAGTCTGTTGGAGGCTCAGCCAAGGCCGGGTAATCTAGGGTGATTTTACACATCTGGCAGTTGTCAAGCTGGTTGGTTTGGGGGGCCCTCAGCTGGGAATTCTTGTCTCTGCTCTACTTGGTCTCATCTTCCAGCAGGTGAGCCAAGGCTTCTTCCCAAGGTGCTCTCAAGATTCCTAAGAGCACACAAGCCCCAGTGTGCAAGCACTTTCCAAGGCTCTACTTGGTATCATGGTGGCCAATGTCCCATTGGCCAAAGCAAGTGCCATGGTCATGCCCAGAGTCAAGACGTGACCATTGGCAGCCTGTGTCACAATCGCCATCACACTTCTCTGCCACAAACATACACATCTATGACTAAGATTTCAGAATTTTTATAATCCCAGCTACTCGGGAGGCTGAGGCAGAAGAATCGCTTGAACCCAGGAGGCAGAGGTTGCAGCGAGCCGAGATCAAGCCACTGCACTCCAGCCTGGGCAACAGAGCGAGATTCTGTCTCAAAAAATAAAATAAAATAAAATAAAATAAAATAAAATAATAACAGTGCAGTCTCCACTCATCCCAAATCTCAACACGTGGCATGTTGCCCTGGGGTGTGAAACCTCCCAGGACAAAACAGCCTTCTTATAAAAGATATAAGAAGTTTTAGAAATTCCTGAGACTCTAAGACTCTAAGTGGTTTTTTTAATGGAGTAAGATATCATTGCAAGAATTGTTTGTGCACAATTGATAAAAATATTAAACAGAAGTAAATTGTAATGGCCATTGTAATGGCATCACTCAGTGAGCTTACCCCCACCCAATATTTCACATATATTGTTAGAATGAGACAGGGTTCAGCATCAATTCTAATCCTATCTTTCATTTTTGTAGATATGATATTTATTTATTTTTGAGATAAGGTATTATCCTGTCACCGAGGCTGGAGTCCAGTGGTGTGATCACAGCTTACTGTAGCCTCCATCTTTGGGCTCGAGTAGTCCTCCTGTGTCAGCCTCCTGAGTAGCTGGGACTACAGGTGCACACTACCATGCCTGGCTAATTTTTTATTTTTTGTAGACACAAGATCTCGCTATGTTGTCCAGGCTGGTCTCAAACTCCTGGGCTCAAGCCTTCCTCCCGCCTTGGCCTCCCAAAGTGCTGAGATTACAGACTTGAGCCACAGCTCCTGGCTTACATGATATTAATAAGTGGGTGGGAGTGGACAGAGTGCAGGTGGAGTAACATCACTCCGTGCTCTGAACCCCTTCTGAGTCATAGGGAAGGCACACAGTGAGACACGACAAATTTATTTTATATTATCTGTGAGCAGCCAATTCTATTAGGCCCTCCTTTTGATTTATTACTCAATAATGATTCAGCATTCGTTGTGTTCACAGCGATAGCAATATTTGAAATCGTCCGTTTATGTCCTCAGAGGTTTCACACTCCAGGGCACTGTGCCATGTGTTAAGATTCAGGATGGGGCTGGGTGTGGTGGCTCATGCCTGTAATCCCAGCACTTTGGGAGGCTGAGGCGGGCAGATCACTTGAGGTGAGGAGTTCGAGACCAGCCTGGCCAATATGGCAAAACCCTGTCTCTACAAAAAATACAAAAGTTAGCTAGGCCTGGTGGTGAGCGCCTGTAATCCCAGCTACTTGGGAGGTTGAGGCAGGAGAATCTTAGCTTAAACCTGGGAGGCAGAGATTGCAGTGAGCCGAGATCGCACCACTGCACTCCAGCCTGGCCCACAGATCGAGACCCTGTCTCAAAAAAAAAAAAAAAAAGATTCAGGATGGGTGGGGGACTGCACTGTTCTCTTCTGTAAAGTGCAGGAAGCACACTTGTGAAGGGGACAGGTGGACAATGGGAAGTGGGAATGCTCTTCTAACAGAGCATTCTTGGGCTGTCCTTTTAGGCAGGACACGTATAATTCCAGCTAGCAGTTGTGTGACACGCATCCCACTGGGCAGGTCCTGTTCTAAGGGTTTCTCATTGAATCCTCACAACCACCCCGTGAGGCAGAATTGCTCTTATTCCTATTTTACAAGACGAGGAAACTGAACCACAGAGATGTTAAGGAACTAGCCTGAGGTCACACAGCCGGTGGGGTGATTTGAACAGGCTGGCTCCTGATTTTGTGCTGTTAATTATCAGACTCTGTGGCCTGTGTGGAAATTGAGAATCTCTTGTTTCCTTAAAACTACTCCTTTCCTTGTACCACCTGGAAGTTCTAGAAGACTGGATCATGAGGTCTTAGATATGCAGACGGAGGCCTGACCCAGCTTGAACAATTATTGGTATTTTGCCATTCTTAGTTCCTCTACCTCTCACTCCACCCCCTCTTTTTTGGTAGAATATTTTAGATCAAATTCTAGGCAGATCAGTTCTCCTCTAACTACTTCAGTAAGCATCTGCTTTTCAGCAACAAAAAAGGACTTTTAAGGCACAGGAGTTTGCTTTTCATGCCTGTAATCCCAGCACTTTGGGAGGCCTAGGTGGAAGGATCGCTGGAGGCCAGGAGTTCAAGACCAGCCTGAGCAACATAGCAAAACCCAGTCTCTACAAAAATAAAAATAAAGAATAAGCCGGGCATGGTGACTAGTGCCTATCATTTCAGCTACTCAGGAGGCTAAGGTGGGAGAATATCTTCAGCCCAGGAGGTGGAGGTGGCAGTGAGGCGAGACTGTGCCACTGCACTCCAGTGAGGCCCTGTCTCTAAAAAAAAAAAAAAAAAAAGGAAGGAAGAAAGAAAGAGATATGAGGGCATGTGGTAATTACCAGTAACAACAATAACATTAATTCCCTAACATCATGTAAAGCCCAATCTGGGTTCAAATTTTCCCAATTGTCTAAAAAAAAAAAAAGGTTTTTTTCTATTTTGTTTGGCTCTAGAACCAAACCAAATACACATACTGCATTGGATTGATCTACCTCTTTGCTTTTACTCTGTCAGAATTTCCTTCCTTTGTTCCTCCCAACATAGTATTATGAAAATTGTCAAATATACAAAAAAGTTGAAAGAATTTTACAGTGAAGACCCATAAACCTACCACCTGGACTCTACACTCTAATTCTTTTTCTTTTCTTTTTTCTTTCTTTCTTTCTTTCTTTTTTTTTTTTTTTGAGATGGAGTCTCACTCTGTTGCCTAATCTGGAGTGCAGTGGTGCAATCTCAGCTCACTGCAACCTCCGCCTCCCGGGTTCAAGCGATTCTCCCACCTCAGCCTCCCACGTAGCTGGGATTACAGATGTGCGCCATCATGCCCAGCTAATTTTTGTATTTTTAGTAGAAACGGGTTTTACCATGTTGGCTAGGCTGGTCTCGAACTCCTGACCTCAAGTGATCCTCCTGCCTCGGCTTCCAAAAATGCTGGGGTTACAGGTGTGAGCCACCGCGCCCGGCCTCTTCACTCTAATTCTAATTCATTCATTTGCCTTATCACATAGCTATCCCTCCATCCAGCTCTTCCTTTTGTCTATGTCACTTATTTACTGGGAAAGATAGGTTATTTATCCTGCAGAATTTCATACTTTCAGGATCTGGCTAGTTGCTATTTTGGAGTGTTATTGAACTTGTCCCTATGTCCCCATGATTCTCCTGTAAGCTGGATGTCAGCTTCAGAACAGCACCACCCAGCAGAACTTCAATGATGACAGCTCCATATTTGAGCTGTTCAAATACATACCAGGTCACCACAGGTCACATGTGGCTGCTGAGCACTTGCAATGAGGCTGTTGTGACTGAGGAGCTAAATCTTCAATTTTGTTTCATTTTAATTAACTTACATCCAAATGGTCACAAGTGGCTAGTGGCTACTGTATTTGACAGCACAGATAGAGATTTAATGTGGTTTAGTTTTAGTCACTTAGATTTGCTTTTTATGGAGTGACTGGAGTTTGGGGAGGGGAGCAGGGAGGTTTTTCTTTTTTTCTTTATAACACTGGCTAAATATTTTAATTACTGCTATAGAAGGAAGAAGCTAAAAGTATTGCATTCACAAATATTGCATAGATTATACAAACACAGAAATATATGCATATGCATGTTTAAAATATATGCCACATATCAACACCATGTATCCAACTTGAATAAGGTCATTAAAGACATAATAGAAGGCTGGGTGTGGTGGCTCATTCCTGCAATCCCGGCACTTCGGGAGGCTGAGGCAGGTGGACTGCTTGAGCCCAGGAGTTTGAGGCCAGCCTGGGCAACATAGCGAGACCGCATCTCTATAAAAAATTTGAACAGTTAGCCAGGCATGATGGTGCACGCCTATAGTCCCAGCTACTCAGGAGGCTGAAGTGGGAGGATTGCTTGAGCCCAGGAGGTCAAAGCTGCAGTGAGCTGTGATAGCAAGCACCACCGCGCTCCAGCCTGAGTAACAGAGCGACCCCTATCTCAAAAAAAAAAAAAACCATAATAGATAACTCCAAACCATAGTTAAATTGGGAAAGAATCTTAATTATCAGGATCAGATTAACTGCGATGTAATGTGTTCCCCAAGCACCCTGCAATGGGACCGCTTGTGTGTGAGTGTCTTTGAGCATCTGTGTGTGCATACGAATGTGTTGGGGGACCGCTTGTGTGTGTGTGAGTGTGTTTGAGCGTGTGTGTGCATATGAATGTCTTGGGGGACCACTTGTGTGTGAGTGTGTTTGAGTGTTTGTGTGCATACGAATGTGTTGAGGGACCACTTGTATGTGAGTGTGTCTCGAACTCCTGACCTGGGAGCAGGAATTCTTGATCTTGATGTCTCCTCTCCCTGCAGCACTGAGCTGCCCACCCCACAGCCACTATGAGGCGTGTTCCTACGGCTGCCCGCTGTCCTGTGGAGACCTCCCAGTGCCCGAGGGCTGTGAGTCGGCCTGCCGTGAAGGCTGTGTCTGCGATGCTGGCTTCGTGCTCAGTGGTGACACGTGTGTACCTGTGGGCCAGTGTGGCTGCCTCCACGATGACCGCTACTACCCACTGGGCCAGACCTTCTACCCTGGCCCTGGGTGTGATTCCCTTTGCCGCTGCCGGGAGGGCGGTGAGGTGTCCTGTGAGCCCTCCAGCTGCGGCCCGCATGAGACCTGCCGGCCATCCGGTGGCAGCTTGGGCTGCGTGGCCGTGGGCTCTACCACCTGCCAGGCGTCGGGAGATCCCCACTACACCACCTTCGATGGCCACCGCTTCGACTTCATGGGCACCTGCGTGTATGTGCTGGCTCAGACCTGCGGCACCCGGCCTGGCCTGCATCGGTTTGCCGTCCTGCAGGAGAACGTGGCCTGGGGTAATGGGCGAGTCAGTGTGACCAGGGTGATCACGGTCCAGGTGGCAAACTTCACCCTGCGGCTGGAGCAGAGACAGTGGAAGGTCACGGTGAGAGCAGATGGGGAGCAGGGGGCGAGGGGCCTGTGGGTAGGTGGGGCACAGGCAGCGCTCAGCCCAGGAGTTGGGGGCACAAGAGATGAGAGTGCATGTGCGAGGCCTGGGGTCTCTGAGGACAGAAGATGCCAGTCAGAACCGAGTGGGAAGCCAATGAGGGAGGTGTCATCAGGGACTTGGGAGCTGCTCCCCCATCTCTGTCCCTCAGTCTCCACCCTCTCTTTACCTCCATGCATTGACTTTTCTCTCCAAATTTCTCCCACCCTCTCCTCCCTCCCACTCCATCCTCTCTCCACCTCAGTCCTGGATTCTGCCCTACTCACCTCCCTAGTCTGCCACTTATTGGCAGGACGTGGTGCCATCAGAGGTTGAGAAAGTCCGAGTTTGAGAAGCTTCATGGACAGAGGACAATCTGTGGGTGACACTCTCACCGCCTTAACAACAACAACAGCAGCTATAGTTTCTATACAGCTGACTGCACACCTTTTGGCTGCCAGGCACTTCACGTCCATGGTGTCTGTATGCTTGCAACAGGGACTGCAGGCACTATGACTTGCTTTATTTTTCAGAGTGGGATGGCCCATCACTGGCCCATAGTCCCCCAGCAAAGGTGGAGCTTGAACCCCGTGCTGCTCTGCAGTGCTTTTCTTACTGAGAAGATTTGGTCTCATGTGGAGACTGGCATCTGAGTTACAGTGGAGGGGTTTCCCCTGAGATCCCACTGAAACAGACACGCAGCTGTTTTTCTAGTGGCAGTATTGGCGAAGGTGCTGATCAATTACTGACTTAATCTGGCGAACTGGACAGGCGTGACTTTTTTTTTTTTTTTTTTGGCACAGAGTCTGGCTTTGTCACCCAGGCTGGAGTGCAGTGGCGCGATCTCGGCTCACTGCAACCTCTGCCTCCCTGGTTCAAGTGATTCTCCTGCCTCAGCCTCCAGAGTAGCTGGGATTACAGGTGTGCAACACTATGCCCAGGAAATTTTTGTATTTTTAGTGGGGACGGGTTTCACCATGTTGGCCAGTCTGGTCTCCAACTCCTGAGCTCAGTGATCTGCCGGCCTCAGCCTCCCAAAGTGCTGGGAATAGAGGCATGAGCCACTGTGCCCGGCCGACATGCAGGACTTAATTGAATATATTCCCTAATGTTTCCCAAGCTCCTAGAATAGCCCCTGACATACAGCGCCTAAATACACAGGAGTTGTTGATGTTCTTGTTAGTTGCTTCTTACTGAAACCCCCAGCTTCCCTACAGATGTGGGAGCTCTTATTACCCCGCAGTTTACAGCTGAGGAAACTGAGGCAAGGCTAAGTCAGTTGCCCTTACCCACCGCCCAGCCCTGCTTGGGAAGTGTGGCAGTTGACCATCTTTTTAGGAGACTCAGCCAGGAGCATGTCTTTCTCCTGCCTTCTCCTCTGATTCTTCACATTTCCAAAAGAATCCGGTGTGCACTGTCTGTGATAAGGAAGGGTAAGAAAGCATGTTAATCAGGGGTTGATGTATTTATTTATTTTTTAGAGACAGGGTCTTGCTCTATCACCAAGGCTGGAGTGCAGTGGTGTGATCCTAGCTCACTGCAGCCTCAAACTCCTGCTCTCAAGCAATCCTACCACTTCAGCCTCCTGAGTGGCTGGGAGTACAGGCATGCACCACCATGCCCAGTTAATTTGTTTTCTTTTTTATTTTGTAGAGACAGGATCTCGATATATTGCTCAGGCTGACCTTGAACTCCTGGGCTCAAGTGATCTTCCCGCCTTGGCCTCTCAAAGTGCTGGGATTATAGACATGAGCCACTGTGCCCTGTCCAGGGGTGGATTTACCAGGCTTTGTTGGAGCCTAGTAAATCTTTAACTGAAACCACTGGTCCTCAGCTCATAGGTTTAAGTTCATTTCCCCAAGAATTTAGCCTAACTTTCCACTCGCTGATGCTTTAAAGCAAAAACCTGTGGTTCTGTTTACTCTTCAGAAGAAAAACCTCCACTCATAGCTGCTAATAACAGCAAATGCTCCTGAAGCATGCATGCTATGCCAGCCACGTTTCTCAGCACTTTACAGATACTAATTTATGTGATCCTGACAACAGTTCCATGGGGCAAACGCCTTATTCCCACTTGATAGATGAGGAAACAGAAACAGGGAGAGGTGACTCACTTGCCCAAGGTCACAAAGAGGGTAAGGGGGAAACTGTTTGAACTCGGGCAAGTGGCTCCGGGGGCGATCATTGCTTATTAATGGCTGCAGCAAGCGGTAAACAAAGGATAGCTGGAGGCTTGTTACTTCATCGAGACCTGTATTCGTTTCCCATGGCTGCCATAACAAATTACCACGAGCTTGGTGGCTTAAAACACTAGAAATGTATGTTCCACAGTCCTGGGTGCCAGAAGTTCAACATCAAGGTGTGGGCAGGGCTGCACCCCCTCCAAAGACACTGGTTGGGGGATCTTCCTTTCCCTTTCCAGCTCTGCAGACTCCAGGTTCTCTGGGCTTGTGACAACACCATTCTAATCCCTGCCTTCATCTTCATGTGGCTTTTTCTGTGTGTCTCTTTGCCTTTTTCTTTCTGGCTCTTATAAGGATACTAGTCATTGGATTTAAGGCCCAATTTAATCCAGGATAATCTCATGTTGAGATTATTACCCTGATTACATCTGCAAAGAACTTTATTCCGAGTAAGCTCACGCTATGGGATTCTGGGTGAATATGTCTTTTGGGGACCACCATTCAATCTACTATCAGGCCCTGTTATTATATCCATTTAATAAATAGGAAACTGAGGGCCTAAGAGGTGAGGTCACAAAGATCAGCATCAGGCATGGGCTTGAACTAGGGTCCCACCCTCACTCAAAGTATACTTTCTGAAGCGTGGCCTGCCTCTCTTCCCCTCCCAGGTGAACGGTGTGGACATGAAGCTGCCCGTGGTGCTGGCCAACGGCCAGATCCGTGCCTCCCAGCATGGTTCAGATGTTGTGATTGAGACCGACTTCGGCCTGCGTGTGGCCTACGACCTTGTGTACTATGTGCGGGTCACCGTCCCTGGAAACTACTACCAGCTGATGTGTGGCCTGTGTGGGAACTACAATGGCGACCCCAAGGATGACTTCCAGAAGCCCAATGGCTCGCAGGCAGGCAACGCCAATGAGTTCGGCAACTCCTGGGAGGAGGTGGTGTCCGACTCTCCCTGCCTGCCGCCGCCCACCTGCCCGCCGGGGAGCGAGGGCTGTATCCCCAGCGAGGAGTGTCCTCCCGAGCTGGAGAAGAAGTATCAGAAGGAGGAGTTCTGTGGGCTCCTCTCCAGCCCCACAGGGCCACTGTCCTCCTGCCACAAGCTGGTGGATCCCCAGGGTCCCTTGAAAGATTGCATCTTTGATCTCTGCCTGGGTGGTGGGAACCTGAGCATTCTCTGCAGCAACATCCATGCCTACGTGAGTGCTTGCCAGGTGGCTGGAGGCCACGTGGAGCCCTGGAGGAATGAAACTTTCTGTCGTGAGTGAGGGAGAGCCGGAGGGGCAGGGAGGGGAGAGCTTGAGGCACAGAAGGGGTAGACCCTGGGCCTTGCAGCCCCTCCCTCCCCAGGGCTCTGATCGGCACCCCCTCCTTGCAGCCATGGAATGCCCTCAGAACAGTCACTACGAGCTCTGTGCGGACACCTGCTCCCTGGGCTGCTCGGCTCTCAGTGCCCCTCTGCAGTGCCCAGATGGGTGTGCTGAGGGCTGCCAGTGTGACTCCGGCTTCCTCTACAACGGCCAAGCCTGCGTGCCCATCCAGCAATGTGGCTGCTACCACAATGGTGCCTACTATGAGGTAGGAACCTAGTCATCTGGGGCAGAATATGGGGTCTCACCCCTCCCACTGCTCATCAGCCCCACGGCCTGTCTACTTAGCCTCTTATTTATTTCTTTTAGAGTCAGGGTCTCACTCTTGTCACCCAGGCTGGAGTGCAGTGGTACCATCATAGTTCACTGCAGCCCCAAATTCCTTGGCTCAAGCAATCCTTCACCTCACCTCCCACGTACCTGGGACTATAGGTGCGCACCACCAAGCCCAGCGAATTTTTAATTTTCCTGTGGACACATAGAGATGGGGGCGTCTCACTATGTTGCTCAGGCTGGTCGTGAACTCCAGGCCTCAAGCCATCGTCCCGCCTTGGCCACCCAAAGTGCTGGGATTAATGGCATGAGCCACCATGCCCGACCCACTGAGCCTCTTTTTTTTTTTTTTTTTAAAGATATAGTCTTGCTCTGTTGCCCAGGCTGGAGTGCAACCTCCGCCTCTCGGGTTCAAGCTCACTGCAACCTCAGCATCCCAGGTTGAAGCAATTCTCTTGTCTCGGCCTCCCGAGTAGCTAGGAGTACAGGCACGTGCCACCACACACGGTTAATTTTTTTGTATTTTGGTAGAGGTGGAGTTTTGCCATATTGGCCAGGCTGCTCTCGAACTCCTGACTTCAAGTGATCCTCCTGCCTTGGCCTCCCAAAGTGCGAGCATTACAGGCGGGAGCCACCACAGCTAGTCCACTCAGTCTCTTCAGTGTCTCTTGTACCCACTCCTTTCCCTGTCCCCATGGCCCTCCCTTGGTCCAGCTGGTCCTCTCCTACCTGGGTCCCTCCCAGCTCCTACCTCTGCTCCCTCTGGTCCACCCTCCACGTGGCAGTGGTAAAGATCTTTCTAAATATGACCACGGGCTCTGAAGCTTTAAACCCTCCCCTGACTCCCCAGGTCAAGTTGTGGCTTTGCCTTCCAGGTCTGGACGAAGGGAGCCTTTCTGACCACAAAGACAAGATTTCCATGTGTTATACCAGCTGCTAACACCCTCTACTTCCCTCTCCCACTCTGTCCCCGTAGGTCCTTTTTCTTTGACTGGAGCATGTGTTTGTCTAATGTCCATCTCCCTTGGGGACTGTGAGCTCTCCTAGGGGTGGAACCCTCTCTCTGTTGTTCTCCTCACATAAATAATATTAATAATAACAGAAAATGTGTAGATAGTGCTTACTATGTATCTGGTACCGTTTTAAGTGCTATGTGTGCATATTTTTATATATGCATTACATATCTAAAAACTTTTTATTCTGAAAACGTTCAAACATGCAAAAATTAAGAGAATAGTGGAATGACTGTCCATGTACTTACCCATCACTTAGCTTCAAAAATAAGCCATATTCTCCCGATCTTGTTTGATGTCTACCCCACGTATCTCTCCTATCTGAATGTTTTAAAGGAAACCCTTTTCTGTTTTTGTTTTTTTTTTTCCTTGAGATGGGGTCTCGCTCTGTCACTCAGGCTGGAGTGCAGTGGCGCAGTTTTGCCTCACTGCAAGCTCCGCCTCCCGAGTTCACACCATTCTCCTGCCTCAGCCTCCCGAGTAGCTGGGACTATAGGCGCCCGCCACCACGCCCGACTAATTTTTTGTATTTTTAGTAGAGACGGGGTTTCACCGTGTTAGCCAGGATGGTCTCAATCTTCTGACCTCGTGATCCACCCGCCTCGGCTTCCCAAAGTGCTGGGATTACAAGCATGTGCCACCGCGCCCGGCCTACCCTTTTCATTTTATCTGAATTTTACATGTCTGAATATAACTTGGTTATTATCTGAATATAACTTGGTTATTATCTGAATATAACTCAGTTATATTTCCAAAGGCAGGCGCTACTATCATCTGCAATCTGCAGATCATGAAACTGAGCCATAAAGAGGTGAAGTAACTGCCCAGAGTCACACACTTTGGAAACAGCAGAAACGGGCTTCAAGCCCAGGCGATCTGCCCTTAGTTACTGTGTCACACCATTTCTCCTACAGCAGACGTTGAGTGGATATTTTGGAATGAATGAGTAAATGAAGAAAAGTGAATGAACCAATGAATGATGGCCCCAAAGCCATGCTGTGCCTCAGCTTCACAGACAAGGGGCCATCCTGCTGAGAGATGTCCCTTGTCTGTGATGTCTGCCAAACCCCTCTGTGCCAGAACGCCAGAGATGTGAGAGTCGGCTCCCACCCGTGGTGTCCCTGATGGCCGTTCCCTCTCTCCCCACAGCCGGAGCAGACAGTCCTCATTGACAACTGTCGGCAGCAGTGCACGTGCCATGCGGGTAAAGTCGTGGTGTGCCAGGAACACAGCTGCAAGCCGGGGCAGGTGTGCCAGCCCTCCGGAGGCATCCTGAGCTGCGTCACCAAAGGTGCTGGGCTGGGCTGGGCTGGGACTGGGGCTGATGGGACTAGGGATGGAGGATGGGGACTCTGGGGCTGAGGGTAGTGTAACTGGGGTGTCCATGGCGGGAGGTGTACAGGACTAATGATTGAGGTTGCAGACCTGGGGAACCCTAGACCAGGTTTCACAGGGCCAGGGCCACCTACTTTGGGAGGTAGGGACCCTTAGGGAAAATCCAGGCTGTGGGGACCCTCAGAGATAGTTTTCTCAGGGTGGATGTCAGAGACCCTCGGTATAAGGCAGGGACAGGCGCGCCTTTGCTCTAATGTGCTACATGGTAAATGTTTAAGCTCGCAGGCTGTAGGTTCTCGTTCCAGCTACTCACTCTGCCACTGTGGCATGAAAGCAGCCGTAGACTATGTAAGTGAAGAGGTCAGGCTCCTATAAGACTTTAGAATACAAGAGCAGCAGCCTAGGGGGCCATCATGAGCGGAACACTGATGTGTGGGATTGGACTTGGGGTTCAGACACTAGCACCAAAGGGCAGGGGAGAGACTGGGATCCCAGGGGCAGGGACAGAGAGCAGAGTTCTGAGTCTCACGCACGGAGACCTCACCAAGGCAGGACATTGGATATGGGGACCCCTCTTAACTGGAAGATCAGGATTTCTGGGGGTATAGTCTCTGATGTGGGAATCCCCCAGACTAAATCTGGGACACAGCCACCCCCAGGGCTCATTTCTTAGGGTGAAGAGCAGAGAACTCTCCTCCCCCTAAGGATAAGAGAATGGGAGCTCCAGCACCAAGGAGTGGGGGCTAAGACTCTCAGGGCTGATGAGCAGGATAATGGGGACTCCCAGAAATGGGGGGTATATCACTCAGCATCTAGTCGAGAGACAGAAAGCGTATGGCCATTTGAATGAGGAAAGTTTAATTAAAGAATCACTTACTTATTAATAGGAGATTAACTATTAAGGGTAAAGAGGGTCTGGTGCCGTGGCTCACACACCCAGAACTTTGGGAGGATCACTTGAGGCCAGGAGTTTGAGACCAGCCTGGGCAACATAGCGAGACCCCTGTCTCCACAAAAAATTGAAAATTAGCCAGGTGTGGTGATGCGTGCCCGTGGTCCCAGCTATTTAGGATGCTGAGGTAGGAGGATCAGTTGACCCCAGGATTTCGAGGCTGCAGTGAGCTATATGATTGCACCACTGCTCTCTAGCGTGGGCAAGACAGCAAGACCTTGTCTCTTTACAAACAAACAAATAAACAGAAATAAGAAACGGTAAAGAGAGCACTAAAGAATACCACCAAAGCACACACAGGAAGTAGCCGCCACTCTAGGGCTAAGGTAAAAGCCTCATGGAAGGGAGAAATTGGCCCCTACTCTTCAAGGAGGGGAGAATCAGCCCCAAGGCTGAGTCCAGTCTCACTGCAGCTGTAGCCCACTGGGTGGCACAGAGGTTTCTGCAGGCTGGACTTGGCAAGAAGGGAACCCCTCACTGGGAAGCCAGCTGCGGCCAGTGGCACTCGCTGAATGTGGCCCCGCACCCTGGCCAGAGCTGGAAGGACCAAACTGGCTAGAAGCCAGACCAGGAGACCGTCCCTCCTGCAGTGACTCTCCGGCGCCCTCTGTTGACAAAGCTTAACTCCGTGGGTGTATTTGAAGCTGAGAGGCGGTACATAGATAATGGACACAGGAGGAAGGAGACGTTTGAAGGCTGGCCTCTCCCACACAGGGGTTCCGCAAGCTGGGGTCACAGATGTAGTAACTGTACGAACAGGGTCTCGGACACAGAAACCCCCCAGGACAGGGCCTCAGCAGTGAGACACGATCAAGGCTACTGTCTTGAATACAGCAACCCTCAGGGATGGAGTCTTGCACTGAGGGAGCCCAGCCCATGAGACTTAGCTAGTTAGGGTCTCAAACATTTCAAATCCTGCTGAGACCCTGGCACTGGGCTCTTGCCAGAAGATCACCCCAGGGCCCTAGTCTTGGGCACAGAGGCCTCCAGGACCTAGAGAAATTGGAGACCAATTTCTATCAAATGTGGAGATGTCCAGGGGGCTGAGGTCTCAGGCATGGGGGACCCTGAGACCTAGATCTTTTTTTTTTTTTTGAGCTAAGGTCTCACTCTGTGGCCCAGGCTAGAGTGTAGTGTAGCTTACTGCAGCCTCGATTTCCTGGGCTCAAACAATCCTCCCGCCTCAGCCTCCCGAGTAGTGGGGGACTACAGGCACACACCACCACGCCTGGCTAATTTATTAATCTTTCTGTAGAAATGGGGTCTTACTATGTTGCCCAGGCTAGTCTCAAACTCCAGGGCTCAAGCTATCCTCCCACCTCAGCCTCTTAAAGTGCTGGGATTACAGGCCTGAGCCACCACACCTGGCCTGGGGCCCAGGTCTTGAACACAGAGAACCCTGGGGCTGGGATCTCAGACATGGATGCTCTCAGGGCTGGCATCGCAGACACAAGGACCCCTGGGGCACAGATCTCAACTGGGGTCAAGTGCACCTTTTCTCTAAAGGGCTAGATGGTAAGTGTTTAAGCTTGCAGGCTATACCTTCTGGATCACAACTACTCACTCTGCCACTGTGGTGTGAAAGCAGCCGTAGCCTATGTAAGTGAAGACGGTGAGGTTCCTATAAAACTTAAAATACAAGAACAGGGTGAAATCTCAAGCAAGGGCACCATGGAAAGTGCACCTTAAACACAGACCCAGAGCCTTGGTCTTTACCTTGGTCTTAGGTGCGTGGACTCCAGGATCTCAGTCTCACACAGCAAATGGCAGGGCCTCAGTCTCAGAAGTAGGGGAACTCTAGGTACTGGGTCTTGGCTGTACAGACCTCTGGGGCCCAGGTCTCAGGTATGGGACCTTTGACAGCCGAGACTTAGACACAGTCCCCCATGGGGCCTCAGTGTCAGCTGTGTGGGACTCCCAGGGGCTGGTCTTGAAAATAGCAGGCTGGGCATGATGGCTCATGCCTGTAATCCCAACACTCTGGGAGGCCAAGGTTGGCTGATCACTTGATGTCAGGAGCCCGAGACCAGCCTGGCCAACATGGTGAAACCCTGTCTCTACTAAAAATACAAAAATCAGCCAAGCATGCTGGTGGGCACCTATAATCCCAGCCACTCAGGAGGCTGAGTCAGGAGAATCACTGGAGCCCAGGAGGCAGAGGTTGCAGTGAGCCGAGATTGTACCATTGCTCTCCAGCCTGGGTGACAGAGAAAGACTCCATCTCAAAAAAACAACAAAACAAAAGAAAATGTAAAAGCAAACTATAGGAAGTGGGTCCTAGACATGAGGACTCTGTAATGTGGTCTTGCCTGCAGTAACCCTCAGATCCCTGGCACAGACTGGGTAGATGTGGAGGGAGCGGCCATGCTTTACAATGGGCAGCCCCTCAAGGTCCTCCTCCCTCTTCTGTCCCCAGACCCGTGCCACGGCGTGACATGCCGGCCACAGGAGACATGCAAGGAGCAGGGTGGCCAGGGCGTGTGCCTGCCCAACTATGAGGCCACGTGCTGGCTGTGGGGCGACCCACACTACCACTCCTTCGATGGCCGGAAGTTTGACTTCCAGGGCACCTGTAACTATGTGCTGGCAACAACTGGCTGCCCGGGGGTCAGCACCCAGGGCCTGACACCCTTCACCGTCACCACCAAGAACCAGAACCGGGGCAACCCTGCTGTGTCCTACGTGAGAGTCGTCACCGTGGCTGCCCTCGGCACCAACATCTCCATCCACAAGGACGAGATCGGCAAAGTCCGGGTATGTGTGGCAGGATGGTCCCCTGAGGTCCCCGGGAGGGCAGGAGGGATCCTGACGACCACAGTTAGCAGCTCAAGGCTCTTTGTCTTCACCTGGGCCTGAAACAAACTGTCAACAAAGAGAATAATTGCAACAAAAATATCACCCTGTTACTGGGAATTAAATGAGCCTAGCCCCTGGCAAAGGGCTTTAACATAGGACCTCAGCATTTGCCTTTTTTATAGACCTGGGTTTCAATCCAGCCTCTCCTCCTTATGAGCTATGTGATGCTGGGCAGTTCACTTGGTAGGCCTCAGTTTCCTCATCTGTGAAGTGGGCATCGTATCAGGGCCTCCCCCACAGCAAGGCCGTGCATGTCACATGCTGAGCTCAGAGTCTAGTCCAGGTGAACAGTCGTTTGAGTGTCGGTGAGGGAAAAGTGAGAGGCCCAGAGACCAGGACATGGAGAGAAATACAGGGAGACTGGGCTGGGCCCGGTGGCTCACGCCTGTAATCCCAGCACTCTGGGAGACCGAGGCCGATGGATCATCTGAGGTCAGGAGTTCGAGACAAGCCTGGCTAACATGGTGAAATTCCGTCTCTACTAAAAATACAAAAATTAGCTGGGTGTGGTGATGCTCCTGAATTCTCAGCTACTCAGGACACTGAGGCAGGAGAATTGCTTGAACCTGGGAGGCAGAGGTTACAAGAGCCGAGACTGCAACACTGCACACAAGCCTCGGTGACATAGTGAGACTCCGTCTGAAAAATAAAAAAAGTAATCAAGAAAAAGAAATATAGGGAGATGGGGGAGAGGAATGGGCTATCCTTTCTGCCCAAGGAAATGGAGATGTAGCTTGATGGCAGCTCACATGGAGAGACTGAGGGATGCAGCAGAGTAGGCACTGAATAAATGATGGTGAGTGAGTGGAAGAGATGCACAAAGAATGAGGGAGGTAGGGAGGAAGGGAAAAGGGTGAGACAGAGACAGAGAGACAGAAAGAGAGAGAGAGAGACAGAGACAGAGAGAGAGAAGACCCAGAGGCATAGCCTTAGGTGAAGACAGAGGGAGAGAGACACAGAGAGAGAGACAGAGACAGGGGAGGGAGATAGAGATGAAGGGAGAAGATCTAGAAAAAGTAAAGTGAGGTTTCGTTCCCCAAGACCTGGGCTAGAACAACTGTCCACAGTGTGTCAGATGACAATCCAACTCTCGGGGGAAGGCCCTGGCCTCTCCCAGCCCCCGGTGGGATGAGAGAGAGGGAGGCAGAGGGCCAGAGCTGGGGCCGTAAAACCTCCAGTGACCCGTTTGCCTTCCCTCCTTCCCCCAGGTGAACGGTGTGCTCACAGCCTTGCCTGTCTCTGTGGCCGACGGGCGGATTTCAGTGACCCAGGGTGCATCGAAGGCACTGCTGGTGGCTGACTTTGGACTGCAAGTCAGCTATGACTGGAACTGGCGGGTAGACGTGACGCTGCCCAGCAGCTATCATGGCGCAGTGTGCGGGCTCTGCGGTAACATGGACCGCAACCCCAACAATGACCAGGTCTTCCCTAATGGCACACTGGCTCCCTCCATACCCATCTGGGGCGGCAGCTGGCGAGCCCCAGGCTGGGACCCACTGTGTTGGGACGAATGTCGGGGGTCCTGCCCAACGTGCCCTGAGGACCGGTTGGAGCAGTACGAGGGCCCTGGCTTCTGCGGACCCCTGGCCCCCGGCACAGGGGGCCCTTTCACCACCTGCCATGCTCATGTGCCACCTGAGAGCTTCTTCAAGGGCTGTGTTCTGGACGTCTGCATGGGTGGTGGGGACCGTGACATTCTTTGCAAGGCTCTGGCTTCCTATGTGGCCGCCTGCCAGGCTGCTGGGGTTGTCATCGAAGACTGGCGGGCACAGGTTGGCTGTGGTGAGTGTTGGGGGAGCAGAGGCGGGGCTGGGGGCGGGGTCCCATCTCTTCGGGGCTGGTTTGGTTTCACTCTGGTCCTTCTGGGTCTCTTTGTTTTCTTTTTTCTCTGTTTGTCTCTCTGTTTCTTGGTGCTCGTCTCTGGGCCTCGCTTTGCTTGTCTCTATCTGTCTGTTTCTCATTCTCTAGCTCCCTCAGTTTCTGCTTGGGTCTCCTGGTGTCTCGCCCTCTCCCATTTCTTTCTCTGTGTCCTCTCTCTGTGTCTTGTTTTCTGTCTCCCCCTTTCTCTGTCTGCTCCCTAGTGTCTCTCTCTGTCTCCTCCCACCCTGTTCTGGGACCCCACCCCTAACACCCTTCTTTCTGTTTCTCTCCTTCCTGCTCCTTCATCTGCCCACAGAGATCACCTGCCCAGAAAACAGCCACTATGAGGTCTGTGGCCCACCCTGCCCGGCCAGCTGTCCGTCCCCTGCACCCCTTACGACGCCAGCCGTATGTGAGGGCCCCTGTGTGGAGGGCTGCCAGTGCGACGCGGGTTTCGTGTTAAGTGCTGACCGCTGTGTTCCCCTCAACAACGGCTGCGGCTGCTGGGCCAATGGCACCTACCACGAGGCGGGCAGTGAGTTTTGGGCTGATGGCACCTGCTCCCAGTGGTGTCGCTGCGGGCCTGGGGGTGGCTCGCTGGTCTGCACACCTGCCAGCTGTGGGCTGGGTGAAGTGTGTGGCCTCCTGCCATCCGGCCAGCACGGCTGCCAGCCCGTCAGCACAGCTGAGTGCCAGGCGTGGGGTGACCCCCATTACGTCACTCTGGATGGGCACCGATTCGATTTCCAAGGCACCTGCGAGTACCTGCTGAGTGCACCCTGCCACGGACCACCCTTGGGGGCTGAGAACTTCACTGTCACTGTAGCCAATGAGCACCGGGGCAGCCAGGCTGTCAGCTACACCCGCAGTGTCACCCTGCAAATCTACAACCACAGCCTGACACTGAGTGCCCGCTGGCCCCGGAAGCTACAGGTGAGGAGGGCTGTGGGCCAGACAGGAGCAAGTGCCAGCTCTGGGGTTGCCTGAGATGGTAAGGGCTTCACCATTCCCCTGGGCCCCTTTCACAGCTTAGCTGGGGCATGATGGAAGGGTCAGAGTGTACGCCTAGGAGCCTGATGGCTTGGCACAGCAGCTTCTTCCTCTGTGAGCCTAGTGTATTCCTCTGTAAACTGGTCTAGGAAAAGTACCTGTTTTCGAGAAGGATAAGGAGTCAGTGACATGAGCCAGTAGAGGCTCTTTGTTTTTCTTTTCTTTTTTTCTTTCTTGCTTTTCTTTCTTTCTTTCTTTCTTTTCTTAGCCTGACTCTGTTGCCCAGGCTGGAGCGCAGTGACAGGATTAGGGCTCACTGCAGCCTGGAACTCGTGGGCTGAATCGATCCTCCCGCCTTGGCCTCCACCTCCCAAGTATCTGTGACTAAAGGCACACGCCACCACGCTGGCTAATTTTTCATTTTTTTGTAGAGATGGGGGTCTCACTATGTTGCCCAGGCTGATCTGAACTTCTGGCGTCAAGCGATCCTCCCATCTCGGCCTTCCAAAGTCCTGGGATTGCAGGCTTTGCCACCAGGCCCGGCCTATAGATGCTCATTATTATTTTCAGCGGGAGGTGACATGCTCTGGGTCCCACAGCTAGTAGGTAGTGGGGCCAGGATTCAAACCCGTGTTTGCTCCGTTCACCGCTCCCCCACTGCCCACAGGTGGACGGCGTGTTCGTCACTCTGCCCTTCCAGCTGGACTCGCTCCTGCACGCACACCTGAGCGGCGCCGACGTGGTGGTGACCACAACCTCAGGGCTCTCGCTGGCTTTCGATGGGGACAGCTTCGTGCGCCTGCGCGTGCCGGCGGCGTACGCGGGCTCTCTCTGTGGCTTATGCGGGAACTACAACCAGGACCCCGCAGACGACCTGAAGGCGGTGGGCGGGAAGCCCGCCGGATGGCAGGTGGGCGGCGCCCAGGGCTGCGGGGAATGTGTGTCCAAGCCATGCCCGTCGCCGTGCACCCCAGAGCAGCAAGAGTCCTTCGGCGGCCCGGACGCCTGCGGCGTGATCTCCGCCACCGACGGCCCGCTGGCGCCCTGCCACGGCCTTGTGCCGCCCGCGCAGTACTTCCAGGGCTGCTTGCTGGACGCCTGCCAAGTTCAGGGCCATCCTGGAGGCCTCTGTCCTGCAGTGGCCACCTACGTGGCAGCCTGTCAGGCCGCTGGGGCCCAGCTCCGCGAGTGGAGGCGGCCGGACTTCTGTCGTGAGTACTGCTCCATGCATGGTCCACATGGTTGGGTCTCTCCCTGCCCTTCCCAGGACTGTAGGACAGCAGCCCCTTCCTCCTCCATGGGGCTCAGGGGCCACTTTCCTTCCCGAGCTCGGTATCTACTGTCAGGAAACACCTTGGCACTGACACACTGAAATGCCCCAAGTCAGGTACTGCAGTGAGAGAGAGTCAGTTAGAAACACCTAGTCAGAGTGTGGGCGCGGTGGCTCACGCCTGTAATCCCAGCAATTTGGGAGGCCGAGGCGGGCGGATCACCTGAGGTCAGGAGGTCGAGACTAGCCCGGCCAACATGGTGAAACCCCACCTCTACTAAAACTACAAAAATTATCCGGGCGTGGTGGCGGGCACCTGTAATCTCAGCTACTCAGGAGGCTGAGGCAGGAGAATCACTTGAACCCAGGAGGCAGAGGTTGCAGTGAGCCGAGATCGTGCCACTGCCCTTCAGCCTGGGTGACAGAGATTCCATCTCCAAAACAAAAAACAAACAAACAACAAACAACAGAAAAAAAAAAAGAAAGAAAAGAAACCTGGGGTCCAGGACACTCTTAGGGATTGGTGATCCATGCTTTCAGGTATCCAAGGCATGTAGATTGGGATGGCTGACCCTGCCTCTGTCACATAGCAAAGTACCCCTTGTTAGGAAGACCTAGTGAGTTTCAGCTGGTCAGAGGGCCCAGGTCTGTTGCACACACTGAAATACACCTAGTCACATGGAATTAGTCGCATACCTTCAGTGATATCTGCTTAAATTTTATACTGACTGGTCAGATACACTCAGAAAGAAACAGGATCCTGGCATAGCCTTGGGCAGATCCACACAGATGCATAGTTAGATAGTCCTAGGCGGTTCCCTTCAGGCAGGTCTCCTGGTCACAGGTATCCTGCCAACTTCACCCAGGCACAGCCTTAGGCAGACCATGTCAGAAGGACTCTGGGAGATGCTGCATGTCAGACACCCACAGCTGGGTGCCCTCAGGCAGAGCCATACCCTGAGATACATGTGGCCCCACACCCCAGTCACATTCACACGCTGAGATGCCCATAGTCAGTTCTGATCCTGCATACCCCGAATAGATATAAGTGATCCATTTCACCCAGGTAAGCCTGGCTTACATAGTGAGACCCCATCTCTACAGAAAATAATAATAAATCAGCCAGATGTGGTGGCTTACTCCTGTAGTCCCAGCTAATCGGGAGGCTGAGGCCAGAGGATTGCTTGAGGTTTAGGTGGAGGCTGCAGCGAGCTGTGATTGCGCCTCTGCACTCCAGCCTGGGTGAGATAGAGTGAGAGCCTGTCTCAAAAAAAAAAAAAAAAAAAATATCAGCCAAGCAGAGTCATTTGATCTTCAGAAATATTTGGTCAGAGAGACCTGGGCATGTCCCCTCCCATTCCAGGTCCCACGCTGAGTCCCCCAGTTAGATGTCCTGGATCACATGTGCATGCCCAGAGACGCCCAAGTTGGCCTGAGCAGTTTTCCCACTCAGGGCCTCCCAAGACTGCGACTCAAACACCTACCTGGCTGATGCCCACCTTGTCCCCACAGCCTTCCAGTGCCCTGCCCACAGCCACTACGAGCTCTGCGGTGACTCCTGTCCTGGGAGCTGCCCGAGCCTGTCGGCACCCGAGGGCTGTGAGTCGGCCTGCCGTGAAGGCTGTGTCTGCGATGCTGGCTTCGTGCTCAGTGGTGACACGTGTGTACCTGTGGGCCAGTGTGGCTGCCTCCACGATGACCGCTACTACCCACTGGGCCAGACCTTCTACCCTGGCCCTGGGTGTGATTCCCTTTGCCGCTGCCGGGAGGGCGGTGAGGTGTCCTGTGAGCCCTCCAGCTGCGGCCCGCATGAGACCTGCCGGCCATCCGGTGGCAGCTTGGGCTGCGTGGCCGTGGGCTCTACCACCTGCCAGGCGTCGGGAGATCCCCACTACACCACCTTCGATGGCCACCGCTTCGACTTCATGGGCACCTGCGTGTATGTGCTGGCTCAGACCTGCGGCACCCGGCCTGGCCTGCATCGGTTTGCCGTCCTGCAGGAGAACGTGGCCTGGGGTAATGGGCGAGTCAGTGTGACCAGGGTGATCACGGTCCAGGTGGCAAACTTCACCCTGCGGCTGGAGCAGAGACAGTGGAAGGTCACGGTGAGAGCAGATGGGGAGCAGGGGGCGAGGGGCCTGTGGGTAGGTGGGGCACAGGCAGCGCTCAGCCCAGGAGTTGGGGGCACAAGAGATGAGAGTGCATGTGCGAGGCCTGGGGTCTCTGAGGACAGAAGATGCCAGTCAGAACCGAGTGGGAAGCCAATGAGGGAGGTGTCATCAGGGACTTGGGAGCTGCTCCCCCATCTCTGTCCCTCAGTCTCCACCCTCTCTTTACCTCCATGCATTGACTTTTCTCTCCAAATTTCTCCCACCCTCTCCTCCCTCCCACTCCATCCTCTCTCCACCTCAGTCCTGGATTCTGCCCTACTCACCTCCCTAGTCTGCCACTTATTGGCAGGACGTGGTGCCATCAGAGGTTGAGAAAGTCCGAGTTTGAGAAGCTTCATGGACAGAGGACAATCTGTGGGTGACACTCTCACCGCCTTAACAACAACAACAGCAGCTATAGTTTCTATACAGCTGACTGCACACCTTTTGGCTGCCAGGCACTTCACGTCCATGGTGTCTGTATGCTTGCAACAGGGACTGCAGGCACTATGACTTGCTTTATTTTTCAGAGTGGGATGGCCCATCACTGGCCCATAGTCCCCCAGCAAAGGTGGAGCTTGAACCCCGTGCTGCTCTGCAGTGCTTTTCTTACTGAGAAGATTTGGTCTCATGTGGAGACTGGCATCTGAGTTACAGTGGAGGGGTTTCCCCTGAGATCCCACTGAAACAGACACGCAGCTGTTTTTCTAGTGGCAGTATTGGCGAAGGTGCTGATCAATTACTGACTTAATCTGGCGAACTGGACAGGCGTGACTTTTTTTTTTTTTTTTTTGGCACAGAGTCTGGCTTTGTCACCCAGGCTGGAGTGCAGTGGCGCGATCTCGGCTCACTGCAACCTCTGCCTCCCTGGTTCAAGTGATTCTCCTGCCTCAGCCTCCAGAGTAGCTGGGATTACAGGTGTGCAACACTATGCCCAGGAAATTTTTGTATTTTTAGTGGGGACGGGTTTCACCATGTTGGCCAGTCTGGTCTCCAACTCCTGAGCTCAGTGATCTGCCGGCCTCAGCCTCCCAAAGTGCTGGGAATAGAGGCATGAGCCACTGTGCCCGGCCGACATGCAGGACTTAATTGAATATATTCCCTAATGTTTCCCAAGCTCCTAGAATAGCCCCTGACATACAGCGCCTAAATACACAGGAGTTGTTGATGTTCTTGTTAGTTGCTTCTTACTGAAACCCCCAGCTTCCCTACAGATGTGGGAGCTCTTATTACCCCGCAGTTTACAGCTGAGGAAACTGAGGCAAGGCTAAGTCAGTTGCCCTTACCCACCGCCCAGCCCTGCTTGGGAAGTGTGGCAGTTGACCATCTTTTTAGGAGACTCAGCCAGGAGCATGTCTTTCTCCTGCCTTCTCCTCTGATTCTTCACATTTCCAAAAGAATCCGGTGTGCACTGTCTGTGATAAGGAAGGGTAAGAAAGCATGTTAATCAGGGGTTGATGTATTTATTTATTTTTTAGAGACAGGGTCTTGCTCTATCACCAAGGCTGGAGTGCAGTGGTGTGATCCTAGCTCACTGCAGCCTCAAACTCCTGCTCTCAAGCAATCCTACCACTTCAGCCTCCTGAGTGGCTGGGAGTACAGGCATGCACCACCATGCCCAGTTAATTTGTTTTCTTTTTTATTTTGTAGAGACAGGATCTCGATATATTGCTTAGGCTGACCTTGAACTCCTGGGCTCAAGTGATCTTCCCGCCTTGGCCTCTCAAAGTGCTGGGATTATAGACATGAGCCACTGTGCCCTGTCCAGGGGTGGATTTACCAGGCTTTGTTGGAGCCTAGTAAATCTTTAACTGAAACCACTGGTCCTCAGCTCATAGGTTTAAGTTCATTTCCCCAAGAATTTAGCCTAACTTTCCACTCGCTGATGCTTTAAAGCAAAAACCTGTGGTTCTGTTTACTCTTCAGAAGAAAAACTTCCACTCATAGCTGCTAATAACAGCAAATGCTCCTGAAGCATGCATGCTATGCCAGCCACGTTTCTCAGCACTTTACAGATACTAATTTATGTGATCCTGACAACAGTTCCATGGGGCAAACGCCTTATTCCCACTTGATAGATGAGGAAACAGAAACAGGGAGAGGTGACTCACTTGCCCAAGGTCACAAAGAGGGTAAGGGGGAAACTGTTTGAACTCGGGCAAGTGGCTCCGGGGGCGATCATTGCTTATTAATGGCTGCAGCAAGCGGTAAACAAAGGATAGCTGGAGGCTTGTTACTTCATCGAGACCTGTATTCGTTTCCCATGGCTGCCATAACAAATTACCACGAGCTTGGTGGCTTAAAACACTAGAAATGTATGTTCCACAGTCCTGGGTGCCAGAAGTTCAACATCAAGGTGTGGGCAGGGCTGCACCCCCTCCAAAGACACTGGTTGGGGGATCTTCCTTTCCCTTTCCAGCTCTGCAGACTCCAGGTTCTCTGGGCTTGTGACAACACCATTCTAATCCCTGCCTTCATCTTCATGTGGCCTTTTCTGTGTGTCTCTTTGCCTTTTTCTTTCTGGCTCTTATAAGGATACTAGTCATTGGATTTAAGGCCCAATTTAATCCAGGATAATCTCATGTTGAGATTATTACCCTGATTACATCTGCAAAGAACTTTATTCCGAGTAAGCTCACGCTATGGGATTCTGTGTGAATATGTCTTTTGGGGACCACCATTCAATCTACTATCAGGCCCTGTTATTATATCCATTTAATAAATAGGAAACTGAGGGCCTAAGAGGTGAGGTCACAAAGATCAGCATCAGGCATGGGCTTGAACTAGGGTCCCACCCTCACTCAAAGTATACTTTCTGAAGCGTGGCCTGCCTCTCTTCCCCTCCCAGGTGAACGGTGTGGACATGAAGCTGCCCGTGGTGCTGGCCAACGGCCAGATCCGTGCCTCCCAGCATGGTTCAGATGTTGTGATTGAGACCGACTTCGGCCTGCGTGTGGCCTACGACCTTGTGTACTATGTGCGGGTCACCGTCCCTGGAAACTACTACCAGCTGATGTGTGGCCTGTGTGGGAACTACAACGGCGACCCCAAGGATGACTTCCAGAAGCCCAATGGCTCGCAGGCAGGCAACGCCAATGAGTTCGGCAACTCCTGGGAGGAGGTGGTGCCCGACTCTCCCTGCCTGCCGCCGCCCACCTGCCCGCCGGGGAGCGCGGGCTGTATCCCCAGCGACAAGTGTCCTCCCGAGCTGGAGAAGAAGTATCAGAAGGAGGAGTTCTGTGGGCTCCTCTCCAGCCCCACAGGGCCACTGTCCTCCTGCCACAAGCTGGTGGATCCCCAGGGTCCCTTGAAAGATTGCATCTTTGATCTCTGCCTGGGTGGTGGGAACCTGAGCATTCTCTGCAGCAACATCCATGCCTACGTGAGTGCTTGCCAGGCGGCTGGAGGCCACGTGGAGCCCTGGAGGAATGAAACTTTCTGTCGTGAGTGAGGGAGAGCCGGAGGGGCAGGGAGGGGAGAGCTTGAGGCACAGAAGGGGTAGACCCTGGGCTTTGCAGCCCCTCCCTCCCCAGGGCTCTGATCGGCACCCCCTCCTTGCAGCCATGGAATGCCCTCAGAACAGTCACTACGAGCTCTGTGCGGACACCTGCTCCCTGGGCTGCTCGGCTCTCAGTGCCCCTCTGCAGTGCCCAGATGGGTGTGCTGAGGGCTGCCAGTGTGACTCCGGCTTCCTCTACAACGGCCAAGCCTGCGTGCCCATCCAGCAATGTGGCTGCTACCACAATGGTGTCTACTATGAGGTAGGAACCTAGTCATCTGGGGCAGAATATGGGGTCTCACCCCTCCCACTGTTCATCAGCCCCACGGCCTGTCTACTTAGCCTCTTATTTATTTCTTTTAGAGTCAGGGTCTCACTCTTGTCACCCAGGCTGGAGTGCAGTGGTACCATCATAGTTCACTGCAGCCCCAAATTCCTTGGCTCAAGCAATCCTTCACCTCACCTCCCAAGTACCTGGGACTATAGGTGCGCACCACCAAGCCCAGCGAATTTTTAATTTTCCTGTGGACACATAGAGATGGGGGCGTCTCACTATGTTGCTCAGGCTGGTCGTGAACTCCAGGCCTCAAGCCATCGTCCCGCCTTGGCCACCCAAAGTGCTGGGATTAATGGCATGAGCCACCATGCCCGACCCACTGAGCCTCTTTTTTTTTTTTTTTTAAAGATATAGTCTTGCTCTGTTGCCCAGGCTGGAGTGCAACCTCCGCCTCTCGGGTTCAAGCTCACTGCAACCTCAGCATCCCAGGTTGAAGCAATTCTCTTGTCTCGGCCTCCCGAGTAGCTAGGAGTACAGGCACGTGCCACCACACACGGTTAATTTTTTTGTATTTTGGTAGAGGTGGAGTTTTGCCATATTGGCCAGGCTGCTCTCGAACTCCTGACTTCAAGTGATCCTCCTGCCTTGGCCTCCCAAAGTGCGAGCATTACAGGCGGGAGCCACCACAGCTAGTCCACTCAGTCTCTTCAGTGTCTCTTGTACCCACTCCTTTCCCCGTCCCCATGGCCCTCCCTTGGTCCAGCTGGTCCTCTCCTACCTGGGTCCCTCCCAGCTCCTACCTCTGCTCCCTCTGGTCCACCCTCCACGTGGCAGTGGTAAAGATCTTTCTAAATATGACCACGGGCTCTGAAGCTTTAAACCCTCCCCTGACTCCCCAGGTCAAGTTGTGGCTTTGCCTTCCAGGTCTGGACGAAGGGAGCCTTTCTGACCACAAAGACAAGATTTCCATGTGTTATACCAGCTGCTAACACCCTCTACTTCCCTCTCCCACTCTGTCCCCGTAGGTCCTTTTTCTTTGACTGGAGCATGTGTTTGTCTAATGTCCATCTCCCTTGGGGACTGTGAGCTCTCCTAGGGGTGGAACCCTCTCTCTGTTGTTCTCCTCACATAAATAATATTAATAATAACAGAAAATGTGTAGATAGTGCTTACTATGTATCTGGTACCGTTTTAAGTGCTATGTGTGCATATTTTTATATATGCATTACATATCTAAAAACTTTTTATTCTGAAAACGTTCAAACATGCAAAAATTAAGAGAATAGTGGAATGACTGTCCATGTACTTACCCATCACTTAGCTTCAAAAATAAGCCATATTCTCCCGATCTTGTTTGATGTCTACCCCACGTATCTCTCCTATCTGAATGTTTTAAAGGAAACCCTTTTCTGTTTTTGTTTTTGTTTTTCCTTGAGATGGGGTCTCGCTCTGTCACTCAGGCTGGAGTGCAGTGGCGCAGTTTTGCCTCACTGCAAGCTCCGCCTCCCGAGTTCACACCATTCTCCTGCCTCAGCCTCCCGAGTAGCTGGGACTATAGGCGCCCGCCACCACGCCCGACTAATTTTTTGTATTTTTAGTAGAGACGGGGTTTCACCGTGTTAGCCAGGATGGTCTCAATCTTCTGACCTCGTGATCCACCCGCCTCGGCTTCCCAAAGTGCTGGGATTACAAGCATGTGCCACCGCGCCCGGCCTACCCTTTTCATTTTATCTAAATTTTACATGTCTGAATATAACTTGGTTATTATCTGAATATAACTTGGTTATTATCTGAATATAACTCAGTTATATTTCCAAAGGCAGGCGCTACTATCATCTGCAATCTGCAGATCATGAAACTGAGCCATAAAGAGGTGAAGTAACTGCCCAGAGTCACACACTTTGGAAACAGCAGAAACGGGCTTCAAGCCCAGGCGATCTGCCCTTAGTTACTGTGTCACACCATTTCTCCTACAGCAGACGTTGAGTGGATATTTTGGAATGAATGAGTAAATGAAGAAAAGTGAATGAACCAATGAATGATGGCCCCAAAGCCATGCTGTGCCTCAGCTTCACAGACAAGGGGCCATCCTGCTGAGAGATGTCCCTTGTCTGTGATGTCTGCCAAACCCCTCTGTGCCAGAACGCCAGAGATGTGAGAGTCGGCTCCCACCCGTGGTGTCCCTGATGGCCGTTCCCTCTCTCCCCACAGCCGGAGCAGACAGTCCTCATTGACAACTGTCGGCAGCAGTGCACGTGCCATGTGGGTAAAGTCGTGGTGTGCCAGGAACACAGCTGCAAGCCGGGGCAGGTGTGCCAGCCCTCCGGAGGCATCCTGAGCTGCGTCACCAAAGGTGCTGGGCTGGGCTGGGCTGGGACTGGGGCTGATGGGACTAGGGATGGAGGATGGGGACTCTGGGGCTGAGGGTAGTGTAACTGGGGTGTCCATGGCGGGAGGTGTACAGGACTAATGATTGAGGTTGCAGACCTGGGGAACCCTAGACCAGGTTTCACAGGGCCAGGGCCACCTACTTTGGGAGGTAGGGACCCTTAGGGAAAATCCAGGCTGTGGGGACCCTCAGAGATAGTTTTCTCAGGGTGGATGTCAGAGACCCTCGGTATAAGGCAGGGACAGGCGCGCCTTTGCTCTAATGTGCTACATGGTAAATGTTTAAGCTCGCAGGCTGTAGGTTCTCGTTCCAGCTACTCACTCTGCCACTGTGGCATGAAAGCAGCCGTAGACTATGTAAGTGAAGAGGTCAGGTTCCTATAAGACTTTAGAATACAAGAGCAGCAGCCTAGGGTTCCATCATGAGCGGAACACTGATGTGTGGGATCGGGCTTGGGGTTCAGACACTAGCACCAAAGGGCAGGGGAGAGATTGGGATCCCAGGGGCAGGGACAGAGAGCAGAGTTCTGAGTCTCACGCACGGAGACCTCACCAAGGCAGGACATTGGATATGGGGACCCCTCTTAACTGGAAGATCAGGATTTCTAGGGGTATAGTCTCTGATGTGGGAATCCCCCAGACTAAATCTGGGACACAGCCACCCCCAGGGCTCATTTCTTAGGGTGAAGAGCAGAGAACTCTCCTCCCCCTAAGGATAAGAGAATGGGAGCTCCAGCACCAAGGAGTGGGGGCTAAGACTCTCAGGGCTGATGAGCAGGATAATGGGGACTCCCAGGAATGGGGGGTATATCACTCAGCATCTAGTCGAGAGACAGAAAGCGTATGGCCATTTGAATGAGGAAAGTTTAATTAAAGAATCACTTACTTATTAATAGGAGATTAACTATTAAGGGTAAAGAGGGTCTGGTGCCGTGGCTCACACACCCAGAACTTTGGGAGGATCACTTGAGGCCAGGAGTTCGAGACCAGCCTGGGCAACATAGCGAGACCCCTGTCTCCACAAAAAATTGAAAATTAGCCAGGTGTGGTGATGCGTGCCTGTGGTCCCAGCTATTTAGGATGCTGAGGTAGGAGGATCAGTTGACCCCAGGATTTCGAGGCTGCAGTGAGCTATATGATTGCACCACTGCTCTCTAGCGTGGGCAAGACAGCAAGACCTTGTCTCTTTACAAACAAACAAATAAACAGAAATAAGAAACGGTAAAGAGAGCACTAAAGAATACCACCAAAGCACACACAGGAAGTAGCCGCCACTCTAGGGCTAAGTTAAAAGCCTCATGGAAGGGAGAAATTGGTCCCTCCTCTTCAAGGAGGGGAGAATCAGCCCCAAGGCTGAGTCCAGTCTCACTGCAGCTGTAGCCCACTGGGTGGCACAGAGGTTTCTGCAGGCTGGACTTGGCAAGAAGGGAACCCCTCACTGGGAAGCCAGCTGCGGCCAGTGGCACTCGCTGAATGTGGCCCCGCACCCTGGCCAGAGCTGAAAGGACCAAACTGGCTAGAAGCCAGACCCGGAGACCCTCCCTCCTGCAGTGACTCTCCGGCGCCCTCTGTTGACAAAGCTTAACTCCGTGGGTGTATTTGAAGCTGAGAGGCGGTACATTGATAATGGACACAGGAGGAAGGAGACGTTTGAAGGCTGGCCTCTCCCACACAGGGGTTCCGCAAGCTGGGGTCACAGATGTAGTAACTGTACGAACAGGGTCTCGGACACAGAAACCCCCCAGGACAGGGCCTCAGCAGTGAGACACGATGAAGGCTACTGTCTTGAATACAGCAACCCTCAGGGATGGAGTCTTGCACTGAGGGAGCCCAGCCCATGAGACTTAGCTAGTTAGGGTCTCAAACATTTCAAATCCTGCTGAGACCCTGGCACTGGGCTCTTGCCAGAAGATCACCCCAGGGCCCTAGTCTTGGGCATAGAGGCCTCCAGGACCTAGAGAAATTGGAGACCAATTTCTATCAAATGTGGAGATGTCCAGGGGGCTGAGGTCTCAGGCATGGGGGACCCTGAGACCTAGATCTTTTTTTTTTTTTTGAGCTAAGGTCTCACTCTGTGGCCCAGGCTAGAGTGTAGTGTAGCTTACTGCAGCCTCGATTTCCTGGGCTCAAACAATCCTCCCGCCTCAGCCTCCCGAGTAGTGGGGGACTACAGGCACACACCACCACGCCTGGCTAATTTATTAATCTTTCTGTAGAAATGGGGTCTTACTATGTTGCCCAGGCTAGTCTCAAACTCCAGGGCTCAAGCTATCCTCCCACCTCAGCCTCTTAAAGTGCTGGGATTACAGGCCTGAGCCACCACACCTGGCCTGGGGCCCAGGTCTTGAACACAGAGAACCCTGGGGCTGGGATCTCAGACATGGATGCTCTCAGGGCTGGCATCGCAGACACAAGGACCCCTGGGGCACAGATCTCAACTGGGGTCAAGTGCACCTTTTCTCTAAAGGGCTAGATGGTAAGTGTTTAAGCTTGCAGGCTATACCTTCTGGATCACAACTACTCACTCTGCCACTGTGGTGTGAAAGCAGCCGTAGCCTATGTAAGTGAAGACGGTGAGGTTCCTATAAAACTTAAAATACAAGAACAGGGTGAAATCTCAAGCAAGGGCACCATGGAAAGTGCACCTTAAACACAGACCCAGAGCCTTGGTCTTTGCCTTGGTCTTAGGTGCGTGGACTCCAGGATCTCAGTCTCACACAGCAAATGGCAGGGCCTCAGTCTCAGAGGTAGGGGAACTCTAGGTACTGGGTCTTGGCTGTACAGACCTCTGGGGCCCAGGTCTCCGGTATGGGACCTTTGACAGCCGAGACTTAGACACAGTCCCCCATGGGGCCTCAGTGTCAGCTGTGTGCGACTCCCAGGGGCTGGTCTTGAAAATAGCAGGCTGGGCATGATGGCTCATGCCTGTAATCCCAACACTCTGGGAGGCCAAGGTTGGCTGATCACTTGATGTCAGGAGCCCGAGACCAGCCTGGCCAACATGGTGAAACCCTGTCTCTACTAAAAATACAAAAATCAGCCAAGCATGCTGGTGGGCACCTATAATCCCAGCCACTCAGGAGGCTGAGTCAGGAGAATCACTGGAGCCCAGGAGGCAGAGGTTGCAGTGAGCCGAGATTGTACCATTGCTCTCCAGCCTGGGTGACAGAGAAAGACTCCATCTCAAAAAAACAACAAAACAAAAGAAAATATAAAAGCAAACTATAGGAAGTGGGTCCTAGACATGAGGACTCTGGAATGTGGTCTTGCCTGCAGTAACCCTCAGATCCCTGGCACAGACTGGGTAGATATGGAGGGAGCGGCCATGCTTTACAATGGGCAGCCCCTCAAGGTCCTCCTCCCTCTTCTGTCCCCAGACCCGTGCCACGGCGTGACATGCCGGCCACAGGAGACATGCAAGGAGCAGGGTGGCCAGGGCGTGTGCCTGCCCAACTATGAGGCCACGTGCTGGCTGTGGGGCGACCCACACTACCACTCCTTCGATGGCCGGAAGTTTGACTTCCAGGGCACCTGTAACTATGTGCTGGCAACAACTGGCTGCCCGGGGGTCAGCACCCAGGGCCTGACACCCTTCACCGTCACCACCAAGAACCAGAACCGGGGCAACCCTGCTGTGTCCTACGTGAGAGTCGTCACCGTGGCTGCCCTCGGCACCAACATCTCCATCCACAAGGACGAGATCGGCAAAGTCCGGGTATGTGTGGCAGGATGGTCCCCTGAGGTCCCCGGGAGGGCAGGAGGGATCCTGACGACCACAGTTAGCAGCTCAAGGCTCTTTGTCTTCACCTGGGCCTGAAACAAACTGTCAACAAAAAGAATAATTGCAGCAAAAATGTCACCCTGTTACTGGGAATTAAATGAGCCTAGCCCCTGGCAAAGGGCTTTAACATAGGACCTCAGCATTTGCCTTTTTTATAGACCTGGGTTTCAATCCAGCCTCTCCTCCTTATGAGCTATGTGATGCTGGGCAGTTCACTTGGTAGGCCTCAGTTTCCTCATCTGTGAAGTGGGCATCGTATCAGGGCCTCCCCCACAGCAAGGCCGTGCATGTCACATGCTGAGCTCAGAGTCTAGTCCAGGTGAACAGTCGTTTGAGTGTTTGTGAGGGAACAAGTGAGAGACCCAGAGACCAGGACACAGAGAGAAATACAGGGAGATCGGGCTAGGTGCGGTGGCTCACGCCTGTAATCCCAGCACTCTGGGAGGCCGAGGCGGGTGGATCACCTGAGGTTAGTAGTTCGAGACCAGCCTCGCCGATATGGTGAAACCCCCATCTCTACTAAAAATACAAAAATTAGCTGGGTGTGGTGGTGCTACTGTAATCCCAGCTACTCTGGAAACTGAGGCAGGAGAATCACTTGAACCTGGGAGGTGGAGGTTACAAGAGCCAAGATTTCGACACTGTACTGCAGCCTGGGTGACAGAGTGAGGATCTGTCTCAAAAAAAAAAAAAAAAAAAAAGAAAGAAAGAAAGAAATATAGGGAGATATGTAGGGAGATCAGAGGAGACAGATGGGCTATCCTTTCTGCCCAGGGAAATGGAGATAGAGCTTAATGGTAGCTCACAGAGAGAAAATGAGGGATGGAACAGAGTAGGCACTGGATAAATGATGGTGAGTGAGTGGAAGAGACACACAGAGAATGAGGGTAGGAGGGAGGAAGGGAAGAGGAGGGAGAGATAGACAGAGAGACAGAAAGAGAGAGAGAGAAGACCAAGTGATATAGACTTAGGTGAAGACAGAGGGAGAGAGACACAGAAAGACAGAGAGACAGAGAGACAGAAGAGGGAGATAGAGATGAAGGGAGAAGATCTAGAAAAAGTAAAGTGAGGTTTCGTTCCCCAAGACCTGGGCTAGAACAACTGTCCACAGTGTGTCAGATGACAATCCAACTCTCGGGGGAAGGCCCTGGCCTCTCCCAGCCCCCGGTGGGATGAGAGAGAGGGAGGCAGAGGGCCAGAGCTGGGGCCGTAAAACCTCCAGTGACCCGTTTGCCTTCCCTCCTTCCCCCAGGTGAACGGTGTGCTCACAGCCTTGCCTGTCTCCGTGGCCGACGGGCGGATTTCAGTGGCCCAGGGTGCATCGAAGGCACTGCTGGTGGCTGACTTTGGACTGCAAGTCAGCTATGACTGGAACTGGCGGGTAGACGTGACGCTCCCCAGCAGCTATCATGGCGCAGTGTGCGGGCTCTGCGGTAACATGGACCGCAACCCCAACAATGACCAGGTCTTCCCTAATGGCACACTGGCTCCCTCCATACCCATCTGGGGCGGCAGCTGGCGAGCCCCAGGCTGGGACCCACTGTGTTGGGACGAATGTCGGGGGTCCTGCCCAACGTGCCCTGAGGACCGGTTGGAGCAGTACGAGGGCCCTGGCTTCTGCGGACCCCTTTCATCTGGCACAGGGGGCCCCTTCACCACCTGCCATGCTCATGTGCCACCTGAGAGCTTCTTCAAGGGCTGTGTTCTGGACGTCTGCATGGGTGGTGGGGACCGTGACATTCTTTGCAAGGCTCTGGCTTCCTACGTGGCCGCCTGCCAGGCCGCTGGGGTTGTCATCGAAGACTGGCGGGCACAGGTTGGCTGTGGTGAGTGTTGGGGGAGCAGAGGTGGGGCGGGGGGCGGGGTCCCGTCTCTTCGGGGCTGGTTTGGTTTCACTCTGGTCCTTCTGGGTCTCTTTGTTTTCTTTTTTCTCTGTTTGTCTCTCTGTCTCTTGGTGCTCATCTCTGGGCCTCGCTTTGCTTGTGTCTATCTGTCTGTTTCTCATTCTCTAGCTCCCTCAGTTTCTGCTTGGGTCTCCTGGTGTCTCGCCCTCTCCCATTTCTTTCTCTGTGTCCTCTCTGTGTCTTGTTTTCTGTCTCTCCCTTTTTCTGTCTGCTCCCTAGTATCTCTGTCTCCTCCCACCCTGTCCTGGGACCCCACCCCTGACACCCTTCTCTCTATTTCTCTCCTTCCTGCTCCTTCGTCTGCCCACAGAGATCACCTGCCCAGAAAACAGCCACTATGAGGTCTGTGGCCCACCCTGCCCAGCCAGCTGTCCGTCCCCTGCACCCCTTACGACGCCAGCCGTATGTGAGGGCCCCTGTGTGGAGGGCTGCCAGTGCGACGCGGGTTTCGTGTTAAGTGCTGACCGCTGTGTTCCCCTCAACAACGGCTGCGGCTGCTGGGCCAATGGCACCTACCACGAGGCGGGCAGTGAGTTTTGGGCTGATGGCACCTGCTCCCAGTGGTGTCGCTGCGGGCCTGGGGGTGGCTCGCTGGTCTGCACACCTGCCAGCTGTGGGCTGGGTGAAGTGTGTGGCCTCCTGCCATCCGGCCAGCACGGCTGCCAGCCCGTCAGCACAGCTGAGTGCCAGGCGTGGGGTGACCCCCATTACGTCACTCTGGATGGGCACCGATTCGATTTCCAAGGCACCTGCGAGTACCTGCTGAGTGCACCCTGCCACGGACCACCCTTGGGGGCTGAGAACTTCACTGTCACTGTAGCCAATGAGCACCGGGGCAGCCAGGCTGTCAGCTACACCCGCAGTGTCACCCTGCAAATCTACAACCACAGCCTGACACTGAGTGCCCGCTGGCCCCGGAAGCTACAGGTGAGGAGGGCTGTGGGCCAGACAGGAGCAAGTGCCAGCTCTGGGGTTGCCTGAGATGGTAAGGGCTTCACCATTCCCCTGGGCCCCTTTCACAGCTTAGCTGGGGCATGATGGAAGGGTCAGAGTGTACGCCTAGGAGCCTGGTGGCTTGGCACAGCGGCTTCTTCCTCTCTGAGCCTAGTGTATTCCTCTGTAAACTGGTCTAAGAAAGTACCTGTTTTTGAGAAGGATGAGGAGTCAGTGACATGAGCCTATAGAGGCTCTTTGTTTTTTCTTTTCTGTTTTTCTTTCTTTCTTTCTTTTCTTAGCCTGACTCTGTTGCCCAGGCTGGAGTGCAGTGACAGGATTAGGGCTCACTGTAGCCTGGAACTGCTGGGCTCAATCCATCCTCCCGCCTTGGCCTCCGCCTCCCAAGTGGCTGGGACTAAAGGCGCAGGCCACCATGCTGGCTAATTTTTCATTTTTTTTGTAGAGATGGGGGTCTCACTATGTTGCCCAGGCGGGTCTGAACTTCTGACCTCAAGTGATCCTCCCATCTCGTCCTTCCAAAGTACTGGGATTGCAGGCTTTGCCACCAGGCCCGGCCTATAGATGCTCATTATTATTTTCAGAGGGGAGGTGACATGCTCTGGGTCCCACAGCTAGTAGGTGGTGGGGCCAGGATTCAAACCCGTGTTCTCTCCACTCACCGCGCCCCATCCCCCCGCCGCCATCCCCCGCCCGCAGGTCGACGGCGTGTTCGTGGCTCTGCCTTTCCAGCTGGACTCGCTCCTGCACGCACACCTGAGCGGCGCCGACGTGGTGGTGACCACAACCTCAGGGCTCTCGCTGGCTTTCGATGGGGACAGCTTCGTGCGCCTGCGCGTGCCGGCGGCGTACGCGGCCTCTCTCTGTGGCTTATGCGGGAACTACAACCAGGACCCCGCAGACGACCTCAAGGCTGTGGGCGGGAAGCCCGCTGGATGGCAGGTGGGCGGGGCCCAGGGCTGCGGGGAATGTGTGTCCAAGCCATGCCCGTCGCCGTGCACCCCAGAGCAGCAGGAGTCCTTCGGCGGCCCGGACGCCTGCGGCGTGATCTCCGCCACCGACGGCCCGCTGGCACCCTGCCACGGCCTTGTGCCGCCCGCGCAGTACTTCCAGGGCTGCTTGCTGGACGCCTGCCAAGTTCAGGGCCATCCTGGAGGCCTCTGTCCTGCAGTGGCTACCTACGTGGCAGCCTGTCAGGCCGCTGGGGCCCAGCTCGGCGAGTGGAGGCGGCCGGACTTCTGTCGTGAGTACTGCTCCATGCATGGTCCACATGGTTGGGTCTCTCCCTGCCCTTCCCAGGACTGTAGGACAGCAGCCCCTTCCTCCTCCATGGGGCTCAGGGGCCACTTTCCTTCCTCTGAGCTTGGTATCTCCTGTCACCAAACACCTTGGCACTCACACACTGAAATGCCCCAAGAAAGGTACTGCAGTGAGAGAGAGTTAGAAACACCTAGTCAGAGTGTGGGCGTGGTGGCTCACGCCTGTAATCCCAGCACTTTGGGAGGCCGAGGCAGGTGGATCACCTGAGGTCAGGAAGTTGAGACTAGCCCGGCCAACATGGTGAAATCCCTGTCCCTACTAAAAATACAAGATTTATCTGGGCGTGGTGGTGGGCACCTGTAATCCCAGCTAATCAGGAGGCTGAGGCACTTGAACCCAGGAGGCAGAGGTTGCAGTGAGCCATGATGTGACACTGCATTCCAGCCTGGGCAACAGAGTGAGACACCATCTCAAAAAAAAAAAAAGAAAGAAAGAAAAGAAACACCTAGTCAGAAACCTGGGGTCCAGGACACTGTTGAGGATTGGTGATCCATGCTCTCAGATATCCAAGGCATGTAGATTGGGATGGCTGACTCTGCCTCAGTCACACAGCAAGGTACCCCTGGTTAGGAAGACCTAGTGAGTTACAGCTGGTCAGAGGCCCTTGGTCTGTTGCACACACTGAAATACACCTAGTCACATAGAATAAGTCACATACCTTCAGTGGTATCTGCTCAGATTTTGTACTGAGACTAACTGGTTAGATACACTCAGATAGAATCAGGACTCTTACATAGCCCTGGGCAGATCCACACAGATGCATGGTTAGATAGTCCTAGGCGGTTCCCTTCAGGCAGGTCTCCTGGTCACAGGTATCCTGCCAACTTCACCCAGGCACACCCTTAGGCAGACCATGTCAGAAGGACTCTGGGAGATGCTGCATGTCAGACACCCACAGCTGGGTGCCCTCAGGCAGAGCCATACCCTGAGATACATGTGGCCCCACACCCCAGTCACATTCACACGCTGAGGTACCCATAGTCAGTTCTGATCTTGCATACCCCGAATAGATATAAGTGATCCATTTCACCCAGGTAAGCCTGGCTTACATAGTGAGACCCCATCTCTACAGAAAACTACTAATAAATTAGCCAGATGTGGTGGCTCATACCTGTAGTCCCAGATACTCGGGGGGCTGAGGCAGGATGATCGCTTGAGCCCAGGAGGTGGAGGCTGCAGTAAGCGCGCCTCTGCACTCCAGCCTGGGTGAGATAGAGTGAGACCCTGTCTCAAAAAAATAAAAAATAAATAAATAAATAAATAAATAAAAATCAGGCAAGCAGAGTCATTTGATCTTCAGAAATATTTGGTCAGGCTAACACATAACCTGGTCAGAGAGACCAGGGCATGTCCCCTCCCATTCCAGGTCCCACACTGAGTCCCCCAGTTAGATGTCCTGGATCACATGTGCATACACAGAGACACTCAAGTTGGCCTGAGCAGTTTTCCCACTCAGGGCCTCCCAAGACCCCGACTCGAACACCTACCTGGCTCATGCCCACCTTGTCCCCACAGCCTTGCAGTGCCCTGCCCACAGCCACTATGAGCTCTGCGGTGACTCCTGCCCTGTGAGCTGCCCGAGCCTCTCAGCACCCGAGGGCTGTGAGTCGGCCTGCCGTGAAGGCTGTGTCTGCGATGCTGGCTTCGTACTCAGTGGTGACACCTGCGTACCCGTGGGCCAGTGTGGCTGCCTCCATGATGGCCGCTACTACCCACTGGGCGAGGTCTTCTACCCGGGCCCTGAGTGTGAGCGGCGCTGTGAGTGTGGGCCAGGTGGCCATGTCACCTGCCAGGAGGGCGCAGCCTGTGGGCCCCATGAGGAGTGCCGGTTAGAGGATGGTGTCCAGGCCTGTCATGCCACAGGCTGTGGCCGCTGCCTGGCCAACGGGGGCATCCACTACATCACCCTTGATGGCCGTGTCTACGACCTGCATGGCTCCTGCTCCTATGTCTTGGCCCAAGTCTGCCACCCAAAGCCTGGGGACGAGGACTTTTCCATCGTGCTTGAGAAGAATGCAGCTGGAGATCTCCAACGCCTCCTGGTTACTGTGGCTGGCCAGGTTGTGAGCCTAGCTCAGGGGCAGCAGGTGAGTCCATGTGAGCCTGCCCTGGGGGTCTGAAGGCAACACAGCCCCATCTAGGGGGTTCTGAGGGAGACACGACCCCACCCTGTAGGTATGAGAGGGACATTCCTCTAACATGGGAACTCTGGTACCTACCCTGGAAGGTTTGGTGAATGGTCCCACCGTGGGAGATTTTTGTGTTGTTTTGTGACAGGGTCTTGTTCTGTCACCCAGGCTGGAGTATATTGGCGTGATCACAGCTCACTGCAGGCTCAACCTGCTGGGCTCAAGCAATCCTCCCACCTCAGCCCCCCATGCCTAGCTAATTTTTTATTTTTGGTAGAGATGAGGTCTTGCTGTCACGGCCAGGCTGGTCTCGAACTCCTGGGCTCAAGTGATCCACCTGTCTGGGCCTCCCAAAGTGCTGGGATTATAGGTGTGAGTCACCACGCCAGGCCTGGGGCCCAAGAAGTTTAAGGGAAACATGACCTGACGTTAATGGGACTGAGGGAGATGCAGCTCTGGCCTGGGAGTGGGACAGGACAGCCTTGCCTGTGGTTCTGTGAGTTCCTGACCTACCCGACCCTTCCACCCAGGTCACCGTGGACGGCGAGGCTGTGGCCCTGCCTGTGGCTGTGGGCCGCGTGCGGGTGACCGCCGAGGGCCGAAACATGGTTCTGCAGACGACCAAGGGGCTGCGGCTTCTCTTTGATGGCGATGCCCACCTCCTCATGTCCATCCCCAGCCCCTTCCGTGGACGGCTCTGTGGCCTCTGTGGGAACTTCAATGGCAACTGGAGTGACGACTTTGTCCTGCCCAATGGCTCAGCAGCGTCCAGTGTGGAGACCTTCGGGGCTGCATGGCGGGCGCCCGGCTCCTCCAAGGGCTGTGGCGAGGGCTGCGGGCCCCAAGGCTGCCCAGTGTGCTTGGCAGAGGAGACTGCACCCTATGAGAGCAACGAGGCCTGCGGGCAGCTCCGGAACCCCCAGGGCCCCTTCGCGACCTGCCAGGCGGTGCTGAGTCCCTCTGAGTACTTCCGCCAATGCGTATACGACCTGTGCGCGCAAAAGGGTGACAAAGCCTTCCTGTGCCGCAGCCTGGCAGCCTACACGGCGGCCTGTCAGGCAGCTGGCGTGGCCGTGAAGCCCTGGAGGACAGACAGCTTCTGCCGTGAGTGTCCGTGGGTCCCTCGCAGGACTCTAGACCAGGTGTAGGGGCCCCTCCTGGCCCATTCCTTCTATTTGCATGTCGGAGTGGTTTCTCCCTGTAAAAGCGCTCCCTCCCCACCCCCTCCCACCCCACACCCACACAACTTCTTCTCCCACGGCATAGTCCACTGGCTTCCCTGCTATCCCTCTGACTGTTCCTTCTCAGCCTCCTGTCTGGGCCCACTCTGCTCAAACCTCAAATTCTCTTCTTCCCTAGTGTTCTATTCTGGACTCTTTCTGCAGTGACCTGAAAGGGAGAGTTGGATGGGTTGGGAGATCTGTGGCTCACACAGACCCTCCTTCTACCCCCGACAAGACCATATCCCCTCAGATCCCCCCAAGACAAGGCTGCAGGCTATTAAACACCCCGCTAAACTAGGACTGTACCTCTCATTCAATTCCCCATGGGAGGGACATCACCAGAGACTCTCAGGAAAAAGCAATGGCCCCTTCGGCTCCAGGTCAGAGCCAGGTCTCCCCTGGGCAGGACCTATACCCAGGGCGGTCATCCACACCCGCGGCCTTAGATTTGTTCTCATTGTTGACCATGGACCTGGTCTGTCTGTCTCAAGCCCTGAACTCTCTCCTGACTGTCAGCCCAGTGATCCTGATTTCTGACTTCTGGCCTTCAGAACTGTGGGAGAATGAATTTCCCCTGTTTAAGCTACAAAGTCTGTGGTAATTGTTAGGGTGTCCAAGACACCTTCCCCTGGGTGTCCTTACCGTCCCTCTTACCTGCTGTGTTCCCAAATAAAATCAGCATTTCACCCCCAGCCTGATGCTCCTTCCCCAAACCTGGTGGGCATTGCAGAACAGCCACACCTCCACCAATTGCTTAGCCAGAGACCAGGGACTTACCACAGATAATTCCCTTGGGTCCATATAGCCCCTGTCCCAACTCTGACCCCTCTGCCTGTGCCCCCCTATCCCAGCCCTGACCCCTTTGCCTGTGCCCCCCACACCCTGGCCCTGACCCCTCTGCCTGTGCCCCCTACCCAGCCCTGACCCCTCTGCCTGTGCCCCCTACCCCGGCCCTCAACCCTCTGTGTGTACCCTCCCCATCCCGGCCCTGACCCCTCTGCCTTTGCCCCCCCACCCCAGCCCTGACCCCTTTGCTTGTGCCCCCAACCCCAGCCCTCAACCCTCTGTTTGTGCCCTCCCCATCCTGGCGCTGACCCCTCTGCCTGTGTGCCCCCACTCTGGCCCCGACCTCTTTGCCTGTGCCCCCGACCCTGGTCCTGACCCCTCTGCCTGTGCCCCCTACCCTGGCCCTCAACCCTCTGTCTGTGCCCTCCCCATCCCAGCCCTGACCCTTCTGTCTGTAGCCCCCTACCCTGGCCCTGACCCCTCTGCCTTTGCCCCCTCATGCCTGCCCTGACCCCTCTGCCTGTGCCTCCCCACCCTGACCCTGACCTCTCTGTCTACACTCCCTGATGCAGCATGTTCACTTTGGGCTCTTCCTGTCTGTCCCACTGGAAGTGAGCTCTGTAGGACTGGGGTTGAGACTTTTCTCAGTATTTGTGTCCTCAGCACCGCCTAAAACAGGGCTGGGTGTGCAGTAGGCCCCCTTGGTTATCCAGGACCCTTTGGAGGTGTGACTCAGCCCTGCCTCCTCTCTCTGCAGCGCTCCATTGCCCCGCCCACAGCCACTACTCCATCTGCACTCGCACCTGCCAGGGATCCTGTGCGGCTCTCTCCGGCCTCACGGGCTGCACCACCCGCTGTTTTGAGGGCTGTGAGTGCGACGACCGCTTCCTGCTTTCCCAGGGTGTCTGCATCCCTGTCCAAGATTGTGGCTGCACCCATAATGGCCGATACTTGCCGGTGAGTAGGGGCTTGGGGTGGGCAGAGAGGGTAGAAGAGCTTGAGAGAGACCCAGAGATTCTGTGCTGACCTCTTCAAGGCTGGGGACAGAGGAGGTACCGCCATATCCCAGCTATGTGACTTGATGCAGGCAACCTCCCCCTATTAGTCTCCTGCAGCTTCTGTAACCAATTACCGCAGACATGGTAGCTTAAACAGGAGAAATTCATTCTCCCACAGTTCTGAAGGCCAAAAGTCAGAAATCAGGAATACTGGGCTGACATCAAGGTGTTGGCAAGGTGGCACTCCCTCCAGAGAAATCTAGGGGAGGCCATGCCCAGTGGCTCATACTTGCAGTCCCAGCCCTTTGGGAGGCCAAGGCGGGAGGATCACTTGAGCCCAGGAATTCAAAACCAGCTTGGGCAACATACAATTGTTTTTTTAATTAGCTGGGCATGGTGGTGCACACCTATAGTCCCAGCTACTCAAGAGGCTGAGGTGGGACAATGGCGTGACCCCAGGAGTTGGAGGCTGCAGTGAGCTATGATCACGCTGCCGCACTCCAGCCTGGGTGACAGAGCAAGACCTTACCTCTAAAGAAAAAAGGAAAAGAGCCAGGCACGGTGGCTCACACCTGTAATCCCAGCACTTTGGGAGACTGAGGCGGGCGGATCACGAGGTCAGAAGTTCAAGACCAGCCTGACCAACATGGTGAAACCCTGTCTCTACTAAAAATACAAAAATTAGCCGGGCATGGTGGTGCGTGCATGTAATCCCAGCTACTCAGGAGGCTGAGGCAGGAGAATCACTTGAACCCAGGAGGCGGAGGTGGCAGTGAGCCGAGATTGCGCCACTACACTCCAGCCTGGGTGACAGACCGAGACTCCATGTCAAAAAAAAAAAAAAAAGAAAAGAAAAGAAAAGAAAAAAGAAATCTAGGGGAAAATCTGTTTGTTGCCTCTTCCAGTTGCTGGTTGCTGCAGGTTTTCCTTGGTTGTGGCCACATCACACCAACCTCTGCCTCCTCTTCTGAGTGTGTCATAACACCTCCCTCTGCTTCTCTCTTATAAGGATACACGTGATTGCATCTAAGGCTCACTCAGATAATCCAGGAGAAATTTTCCATCTTCAGATCCTTAATTCAATCACATCTGCAAACACACTTTTCCCATATAAGGTGACATTTACTCATTACAGGGATTAGGACCTGATATCTTGGGGCGGGGGCATCATTTGGCCCCTCCTTGAACTGCATTTTCTTCACCTGTAAAATGGGACTAATCACCATCTTTGTACCATAGGTATCTGAGGATCAGGCCCGATTATACAGGAAAGATACCCACTGAGCACTGGGCCTTGCCCTGCATGTTCATCACACTCAGTAAAAAGAAAGAGCAGTTTACAGCGGGGCGCAGTGGCTCACACCTGTAATCCCAGCACTTTAGGAGGCCAAGGCGGGCGGATCAAAAGGTCAGGAGTTCGAGACCAGCCTGGCCAATATGGTGAAACCCCGTCTCTACTAAAAATACAAAAATTAGCTGGGTGTGGTGGTGGACACCTGTAGTCCTAGCTACTCGGGAGGCTGAGGAAGGAGAATCCCGTGAACCCGGGAAGTGGAAGTTGCAGCGAGCCGAGATTGTGCCACAGCACTGTAGCATGAGCAACAGACCGAGACTCCATGTCAAAAAGAAAAAAAAAGAAATAGCAGTTTACAACAGTGCAAATAGGTAGCCCAGCTAATAATTGTTTAATAATATGAATTAAATTGAAGAATTGATTTATTCTTGTTAATAATTTTTTTGAGCTCTTACTATGCACCATGTTTGTTATGGGTGTTATTATTTATTTATTTATTTATTGAGATAGGATTGCACTCTGTCTTTCAGGCAGGAGTGCGGTGGCATGATCACGGCTTACTACAGCCTCAAACTCCTGGGCTCAAGCGATCTTTCTGTCTCAGCTTCCTGAGTAGCTGGGACCACAGGCTCACACTGCCATCCCTGGCTGACTATTTAATTTTTATGTAGAAATGGGATCTCGCTATGTTGTCCAGGCTGGTCTCAAACTCCTGGGCTCAAGCAATCCTCCTGCCTTGGCCTCCTAAAGTGCTGGGATTACAGGGATGAGCCACCTCTCCCGGCCATGTTCTGGATGTTAATTCATTTAATAATCACAACAATCCTATGCAATAGATACTATGACTATTTTCCCCATTTTACAGATGAAGAAATTGTGACATAGAGAAGTCAGCCCGAGGCTAGCCATTAACATGCAGCACTAACTTGCATTGCTTGCAAATGGAGCCAAATTTTGCTCTTTCCTTGAGGTCTCACTGCCTACTGGAAGCCATCCTTGATCCCCTAGGCTGGGTTAGGTGCCTCCTCTGAACCCCTCAGCTCCCTATGCTTCCCCATCTCTGCCCTGACCCCTCTGCCTATGCCCGAAGTCTTGGATTTGTGAGTCTGGCCTTCATGGGAGAGGTCTGGCCTAGAGATGTGGAAATCATCATTGTAGAGATGGCATTTATTTTGTTAATTACATTTCTTCATTTCTTACCTGTATCAGTTAGCTTTTGCTGGGTTACAGATCACTCCAAAACGTTGTGGCTTAAAACAATTATTCATTTAGTTTGCAATTTTGTGACTGCAGTTTAGGCTGGACTTGGCTGGGTGGTTCTTCTGCTATCCTCTGGGCTTACTCATGTATAATATCTGTAGTCAGCTGGTGGGTCAGCTGAAGGCTGCCTGGTCTAGGGTGGCCTGAGCTGGAAGAGTTATCTATGTTCCATGGGGTCACTCATCTTCTAGGGAGCTAGCCCAGGCTTGTTCTCATGGTGGCTGGGCAGGATTCTGTGTATGTGAGAGAGAGAGAAGGAAAGAGAAGCTGTGAGGTCTCTTGAGGTCTAGGCTTAAACCTGTTACAACATTGCTTCTTCTGTGTTTCATTGACCTAAATATAGTCTTACGGCCAACCCAGATTCATAGGGAGGGGGAAATAAACTCTATTTCTTAATGGGAGTCTGTAAAGTCACTCTGCATGGATACAGAGGGTTCAAGCAGTGTGGCCATTTTTGCGATCCATCCCACCACCATAACCTGGCCCCTTTCTGTGCACAGGTAAACTCCTCCCTGCTGACCTCAGACTGCAGCGAGCGCTGTTCCTGTTCCTCAAGCTCTGGCCTGACATGCCAGGCAGCTGGCTGCCCACCAGGCCGTGTATGTGAGGTCAAGGCTGAAGCCCGGAACTGCTGGGCCACCCGTGGTCTCTGTGTCCTGTCTGTGGGTGCCAACCTCACCACCTTTGATGGGGCCCGTGGTGCCACCACCTCTCCTGGTGTCTATGAGCTCTCTTCCCGCTGCCCAGGACTACAGAATACCATCCCCTGGTACCGTGTAGTTGCCGAAGTCCAGATCTGCCATGGCAAAACGGAGGCTGTGGGCCAGGTCCACATCTTCTTCCAGGATGGGATGGTGACGTTGACTCCAAACAAGGGTGTGTGGGTAAGTTTGTGAGTAGGGGGTAGGGAATGTCTCCCTGGGCTTTTGCTCTTCTGATTACAGTGTCCCCACATTCCTGGCTTCCTTTCTGTCTTGCGATCTGTTTTCTTTATCCAGGTCTCTGCGGTTTAGTCTCTGGATTTGTATTTATCTCAATATTTCAAACTTGGTCCCTCTGTTCTGGCTGAGTTCTAGAGGAGCAAAAACATACTCAAGCAACTTAATAGTTTTGACATTAGTATGAATCGAGACTCTATGGGTTGCAAGTGACTTAAAACCAAATTCAAACTGCCTTAAGCAAAATTGAATTTATTAGTCCATGTAGCTAGAAAATCCCAGGATAGAGCCTCAGGAATGGCTGGATCTAGGTGCCCTGGCAATATTATCAGAAATTTGTACTTCCGTCTTTGAGACTTGCTATTTGCCAAATCAGCTTTGTTCTCAAACAGGCTTTCCACTTACAGGTGTAAAGACGACCCCCGCCCAGCTGCCCAGGCCTACACCCCACCAGCTTATCTACCTTAACAGAAAATGGTTCAATAAAAGACCCAGGATTATATCTCACTGAGCCAGTTTGGGTCACATGCCCACCCCTGGAGCCAATCACTGTGACTTTAGGGAGGAAGTTCCGTGATTGGTCAAGGCTGGGGGTGGGGGGTCACATAATGTGTCAGGGTTTCCCATAACCTGGTTCAGTGATTCACTAGGACTCACAGGACTCAGCATATAGTTGTACTTAGGGCTAAGATGTATCATAGGGAAAAGATACGAAGTGAAATTGACACAGGGAAAAGGTGCATCGCACAAAGTCCAGGGGAAATCATGTGCAAGCTTCCGAGAGTCCTTTCTCGGTAGAGTCACACAGGATGTGCTTAATTCCTCCAGCAACAAAGTTGTGATGAAACATGAAATGTCATCTGCCAGGGAAATTCATAGAGTCTCAGTGCCTGGGGTTTTGGTATCCACCTACCAAAATTCCAGACTCCTAGAAGGAAACTCCCAGAAGATGCTCAGCATCTTTGTTCATCACTGGACTATAAGCCGCAGGTAGGCAGGGATCCTGTCCATCTTGGTCACCAGTTTGTTCCCAGTACCCAGATCAGGGCATGGCACCTAGAGGGTACTCAGTAAAAGGCTGGTTTTGTGAATAAACTCAGCCCTGCTCCTTTTGTGCCAGGCCATGTGCTGGGTAACAGAGATGACTCGGACTCAGTCGTTATACTTGGAAAGCTTGCACCCTACTGAGACTTTCCATCCACTAGTCTTCATCTGTCCTTCACTACACCCATCCTCCCTTTTCCCCTCCTTCCTTCCAGCATCTATTCTACCCCCTTCTCTTTTTCCTATTTCCTTCCTTCTAGTCTTTTTCCCTTCCTTCTTTCTTCCATCCACCCACCCATCTGTCCATCCATCCATCCACCCACCAATCCACCCATCCACCCATCCATCCCTCCATCCATCCACCCACCCACCCACCCACCCATCTGTCTTTTCAGATCTATCTACCTATCTCTCCAATCATCTGGCAGAGGAAAACTCAGATACAAAAGCATTTAGAGGGCTGGGCATGGTGGCTCATGCCTGTAATCCCAGCGCTTTGGGAGGCCGAGGCGGGCAGATCACTTGAAGTCAGGAGTTAGAGACCAGCCTGGCCAACACGGCAAAACCCTGTCACTACTAAAAATACAAAAATTAGCCGAGCATGGTGGCACATGCCTGTAGTCCCAGCTAAGGCAGGAGAATCACTTGGACCCGGGAGGCGGAGGTTGCAGTGAACTGAGATCGCGCTATTGCACTCCAGCCTGGGCGACAGAGCAAGACTCTATCTCAAAAAAAAAACTAAAACCAAAACCAAAAAACAAAACAACAACAACAACAACAAAAAACAAACAAACAAAAGAAGGATTTACAAAAAAAAAAAAAAAAAAGACAAGTCTTTTAAGGAAGTTTCTCTAGGGAATCTAACTTTAGAAGGGTTAATTCACCAACTAACATAGACAACAGTTATGTAAAGGAAAAACTCACAAAGTTACTGGATCTGCAGCCTATGATGAAGAAAAAGTAATTTTCTCACATGATTATTATATTTGCTAAAGTCATTACTTATCTTCAGACATCAGCATTGCAAAAATAAAGGATAACGTTGTTTTGGTTAGGGAACCAATAACTTACAGGATGTGCTCAAAGTTTGTTTTATTTTGCAAACTAGAACCAGGCTGAGGGAGGCAGATCACCTGAATCCAGGAGTTCAAGACCAGCCTAGACAACACAGTGAGACCCTATCTTTAGAAAAAAATACAAAAATTAGCCTGGTGTGGTGGCACACATCTGTAGTCCTGTAGTCTCAGCTACTCAGAAGGCTGAGGTGGGAGGATTGATTGAGTCTAGGAGGTCAGGGCTGCAGTGAGCTGTGATTGCACCACTGCACTCCAGCTGGGATGACAAAGCAAAACCCTATCTTAAAAAAAAAAAAAAGAAAAGAAAAAGAAAACTAGAACCATAAGGATGACCCTGGGGTTTGATTGTTTGTCTGTCTGTTTGCTTATCTGTCTGGTACAAAATGCTTCCCCCACCGACTTTGGGGTGTTGTGTAGATCCATGGGTACGTCTCTCCATCCCTCCACTCTCCATCCTTTTATCCGTCTATCCAGATCTCTAGCTATCTTCTCATGTATCCATTGCTCCAAATAGTGCAAACATCCAGGTCTTCATCTCTTTCAGCACCTGCCTCTTTGATTTAGCTCCATGAACTTATCTTGTTTGGGGTCTCCATCCTCCATCCTGGTAACACCCAGCTATTCTGGGGCTGTGGCCTCACCTCTGTGTTTGCTGGGCATCCCCCACCAGGTGAATGGTCTCCGAGTGGATCTCCCAGCTGAGAAGTTAGCATCTGTGTCCGTGAGTCGTACACCTGATGGCTCCCTGCTAGTCCGCCAGAAGGCAGGGGTCCAGGTGTGGCTTGGAGCCAATGGGAAGGTGGCTGTGATTGTCAGCAATGACCATGCTGGGAAACTGTGTGGGGCCTGTGGAAACTTTGACGGGGACCAGACCAATGATTGGCATGACTCCCAGGAGAAGCCAGCGATGGAGAAATGGAGAGCGCAGGACTTCTCCCCATGGTGAGGGATGTAGTATGGAAACCAGGCTTCTTGGGGCAAAGGCACCTGGATCCTCATGGGATGAGGGCAGTCAGGGTGGGTGTTTAGTCTGCAAGCGGAGGTGCTAAATGTCTGTGTCTTGCAGTTATGGCTGATCAGTCATCCACCAGGAACGAAGATTTCCTGAAGAAGACCTGGTCCCTCTGGAGGTTGCAGTGGCTGAAGGATGCATCATGTGCTCCTACCCTGCTCTACCGCTTTTCTGGGTCACAGAGGCCAAATGTGAGAGCATTGAATAAATATCTTAAGCTAAGCTGCATGTCATTGTGTCTGTCTCATGCCTTCTCATCCCTGACTTTCCTCCTGCACAGCAGGTATCAGGTGCCTGGGGAATCTGGCACGTGATGAATATTTATTGGGGGCTGGGAGGATGGATGGATGATTGCATGGATGGATGAAGAGATGGATGGGTGAATTGAGAAAATGGTGTGTGGGGAACTAGGAAGATGAGGCAATAGGTGATTAGAAGAGTGGATGGATGAGAAGATAAATGGCCAGGCACGGTGGCTCACGCTTGTAATCCCAGCACTTTGGGAGGCTGGGGCAAGAGGATTGCTTGAGCCTAGGGGTTTGAGATCAGCCTGGGCAACATAGTGAGACCCCATCACTACAAAAAATATAAAAATTAGCTGGGCGTGGTGGCACTTGCCTGTATTCCCAGCTACTTGGGAGGCTAAGGTGGGAGGATGACTGGAGCCTGAGAGGTCGAGGCTGCAGTGAGCCATGATCATTCCACTGCACTTCAGCCTGGTCAACAGAGTGAGACCCTGTCTCAATAAAAAGAGAAGATAAATGATTGGATGGAGGGAAGGAGTGGAAAATGGAGAAAGATCAATAGATTCTGGCTTTATCATTTATAACCCTAGCAAGTTACTTAATTTCTCTCTGGATTAGTTTTCTCATCTTTAAAGTAGAGTTAATGATAGTACTTATAGAGCTGGAGTGAAGATTTAATGTGTTAATGCAACCAACAAGTAAAACACTGAAGTCTTTGTTTCCTTTCAAATCTGTCCCCTTCCCATGAGGGTCTTCCCTACCTCCTTAAATAGCACAATTACCACCCAGTAAGTTCAGCAGCAAGAAAATAGGGGAATTATTATTATTATTATTATTATTGTTATTATTTTTGAGATGGAGTCTCGCTCTGTCACCAGGCTGGAGTGCAGCAGCACAATCCTGGCTCACTGCAACCTCTGCCTCCCGGGTTCAAGCGATTCTCCTGCCTCAGCCTCCCAAGTAGCTGGGATTACAGGCGTGCGCCACTACGCCCAGCTAATTTTTGTACTTTTAATAGAGACGGGGTTTCACCATGTTGGCCAGGATGGTCTTGATCTCTTGACCTTGTGATCCACCCGCCTCGGCCTCCCAAAGTGCTGGGATTACAGGCGTGAGGCACCGTGCCCGGCCAGGGGAATTATTTTTTATTTCTTCCTCTCCTTTGTCCTCCACTCAGTTCCTTAACAAATCATGTTGAACTGTTTCAAAACATACCCAAGGCCCCATGGTGGCTCACGCCTGTAATCCCAGCATTTTGGGAAGCTCAGGTGGTCAGATCATGAGGTCAGGAGTTCGAGACCAGCCTGGCCAACATGGTGAAACCCTGTCTCTACTAAAAATACAAAAATTAGCCGGGCATGGTGACGGGTGCCTGTAATCACAGTTAGGAGGCCGAGGCAGGAGAATTGCTTGAGCCTGGGAGGCGGAGGTTGCAGTGAGCCAAGATTGTGCCACTGCACTCCAGCCTGGGCAACAGAGCAAGATTCTATCTCGACAAAAAAAACAAAAAACATACCTGAAATCTACCTTTCTTATTATGCCCACTGTCACCATCTGGTACAAGCCATTATCCTAACTTCTGTCAACAACATGGTAGCCTACTGTCCGCTCTTTCTCTTCTGTAATCCATTGTCACAGCTGCCATGAGAATCTTCCTTAAAATAGAAACAGGTCACTTGGGGCCAGGAGTTCAAGACCAGCCGGGCAACATAACAAGACCTTGTCTCTACAAAAAATTTAAAAATTAGCCAAGCGTGGTGGTGCAGGCCTGTAGTCCCAGCTACTGAGGAGGCTGAGGTGGGAGGATTGCTTAAGCCCAGGAGTTTGAGGTTACAGTGAGCTATGATTGTGCCATGCATTCCAGCTTGGGTGACAGAGCAAGATCCTGTCCTTTAAAAAAATAATAATAATGATTATATACATAAATATATATTATATAATATATAATAATTATATACATAAATATATATTATATAATATATAATAATTATATACATAAATATATATTATATAATATATAATAATTATATACATAAATATATATATTATATAATATATATAATAATTATATACATTTATAATAAAGTCAAATTTCTTCACCTTGTCCTGTGAGGCCCCTGCCAACCTCTTGACTCATCTCCTATCACTATTCTCCCTGCCAATTATGATTTGGGAATGTGATCTTTCAATTTATTGAATGTGCCACATTTTGCCACTTCAGTCCTTTATAATATGCTTGTCCCTCCATTCATGACATGACTGGCTTTTTCTCATCCTTCAATGTCATCTTCAATGTTAATAACTTAGGCCTTTCATGACCACCCCACCAAAAGTGGATCCCCTTCTGTCCCACCCTTTTGCTAAATTCCTTCTTAGCCTTTGTCACACTTTATAATTAATTTTGTTTGATTTTCTCTCCAATTAGAAATAACTTAAGGGCAGAGACAGTATCTGCTTCTTTCACTACTTTATTTGCAGCTCCTAGCACAGTCTCTGTCACATAGTAGGTGCTCAGTACACCTACTGATGAATGAATAAATAAGTAAAAACAAACTTGCAGGAAAGCTTTGCAACAAACCTAACAAAGGATTAATATCCACAATATGCAAAGAGATCCTTCAATAAGAAAGACAAGAACCCAGTTAGAAAAAACTGGGTTGGCCAGGTGCGGTGGCTCACACCTGTAATCCCAGCACTTTGGGTGGCCGAGGCAGGCAGATTACCTGAGGTCAGGAGTTCGAGACCAGCCTTGCCAGCATGGTGACACCCCCATTTCTACTAAAAAATACAAAAATTAGCTGGGCGTGGTGGTATGTGCCTGTAATTCCAGCTACTCTGGAGGCTGAGGCAGGAGAATCCCTTGAACTTCGGGAGGCAGAGGTTGCAGTGAGCCAAGATCACACCACTGCACTCCAGCCTGGGCAGCAGAGCAAGACTCTGTCTCAAAAAAAAAAAAAAAAAAGAAAAAAGAAAAGAAAAACATGGGTTGAGGATATAAACAGGCAATTGGGAGGAATCTAAACATGTTGAATGCATACAATGTGTCATGTTCTTTGTGTACAGTATTTCTGAACTTCATAATTACTCTGTGAAACGGGAATAGACAAAGAAATAGGCTCAGTGAAGTTAAATAACTTGCCCAAGGGCAAACGGTTTGTAAATAATGGAGGCCAGATTTGAATCCAGATGTGTCCTCTACCATAGCCAGTGCTTTCTATTTAATTTTGCTGTCAACCATTGCTGGGGATCAATTTCCCTTCGAGAGAAAGAATTAAGAGGTCCTAAAAATAAAGAATAAAAAGCAACATTTCAGTAGAAAAATATGCAAACGATTGGAATAGTTCATAGAAAAGGAAATACAAATTGCCTTAAAACCTAAGGAGGTGGCTGGGCACTGTGACTCATGCCTGTAATCCCAGCGCTTTGGAAGGCTGAGGTGGGCGGATTACCTGAGGTCACGAGTTCGAGACCAGCCTGCCCAACATGGTGAAAATACAAAAATTAGCCAAGCTTGCTGGCACACGCCTGTAATCTCAGCTACTCGGGAGGCTGAGGCAGGAGAATTGCTTGAGTCGGGGAGACAGAGGTTGCAGTGAGCCAAGATCGTGCCACTGCATTCCAGCCTGGGCAACAGAGCAAGACTCTGTCTCAACAACAAAAAACAAACAAACAAAACCTAAGAAATGTCCAATTCTGCTCATATAAAGAGAAATGCAAATTAAACTACCCTGCGATACTACTTCTCACCCATTAGCAAAGTCACAAAAATTAGACAATATAATTTATTGACAAGACTATGAGAAAAAGAACACTCTTCTGTGTTACCAGTGGGAATGCACAACGTGTAAGTCCAAGGTGTAAGGGACATTTGGCAGTGTCTAACAAGATTGCAGGTGCATTTAAAAAAAAATTTTTTTTTTTTTGAGATGGAGTCCATTTTGTTAGCCAGGCTGGAGTGTGGTAGCGGGATCTCGACTCACTGCAACCTCCACCTCCCGGGTTCAAGCGATTCTCCTGCCTCAGCCTCCCAAGTACCTGGGATTACAGACATGCGCCACCATGCCCAGCTAATTTTGTATTTTTAGTAGAGACGGGGTTTCACCATGTTGGCCAGGCTGGTCTTGAACTTCTGACCTCAAGTGATCCACCCGCCTCAGCCTCCCAAAGTGCCGGGATTACAGGCGTGAGCAGTCCCCCCCGCTCGGCTGCATTTATCTTTTGATCTGATCTCACTGCTAGGAATCCAACTTAAAGATACATTGGCAATAAAAGGATGTAAGCTGAGGCAGGAGAATAGTCTAGAGGCAGGAAACCTAAGGCTGATTTGCACTGACTTCCTAGAACGGAATCAAAAGGAAAATCCCAACTTTCCACACCCAAGTAACAAAAGGATCAGAGGCTACTCCCTTCGCAACCCCCGACCCCGGCGGGCTTCCCCTCCCCTCCCCTCCCCGCGTGGCCGATGAAAGATGGAAAGTGCCTCTGATTGGTAGTCTCCCACAACCAATCAGACTGGTCATGGGCCTAGTCTTCATTTGCATAGGGGTGTAACTCTGTAACTTCACTTCAGCCTCTGATTGGTCCCCTCCCGCGACCCATCAGACGTTTGCATAGGGTGTAACTTTGTACCTTCACTTCAGCCTCTGATTGGTTGCTTCCTGGTCTGTGGAGTGTGTCTGTTCAGCCTGCTCCCACCCTGTGGAGTGTACTTTTCATTTCAATAAATGTATGCTTTCTTTGCTTCATTCTTTTGTTGGTTGTTTCGTTGGTGCGTTTTGTCCAGTTCTTTGTTCAAAACGCCCAGAACCTGGACACCTTCCACCGGCAACGAGCCCAGGTTGCTCACTGCAACACTCTTTGTAAGGAAAAAAGACTGGAAACAACTAAGTCAATTTTCTATTGGTAGACTGGTTGACTAAACGACGTTTCATCTACACACCAGACTACTATCCAGATAAATGAAATATAAGAAAGATCTCTATAAGCTGTTCTGGGGGTGATCTTCATAATATATTATGGAGTGAAGGAAGCAAGGTTAGAACAGTGTACACATGAAAAGACCCCTAAGAGTAGAGCCAAAAGGGGAATTTGGGGGTACTGGTCATGTTCTCTTTATTGACCTGAGTGGCGGTTATGTGGTTTCTTCCCTTTGTGATACTTCATAAAACCATAGTTACATGTACTTTTCTCTTAGCATGTTGTACTCCCCCCAAATAAGATCTAAAGTAAATAAATTATAGCCTGGCATTTCTCATGCCTGTCTGTATTCCCAGTGCTTTGGGAAGCCAGGTTGCATTGCTTGAGGCCAGGAGTTCAAGACCAGCCTAGGCAACATAGTGAGACCCTGTCTCTATGTAACAAATAAATAAATTATAATCTCTGAAGACTCTTGGCTAAAAAGCTTATATGTATGTGTGCGTGCAAGAGAGAGAACACACACCAAATGAAGGGACTTTGTTTTGATCCTGATTTAAACAAGCAGTAATTTTTTATTTATTTTTTAATTTTTGAGATGGAGTCTCACTCTGTCGCCCAGGCTAGAGTGCAATGGTGTGATCTCGGCTCACTGCAACCTCTGCCTCCCGGGTTAAAGTGATTCTCATGCGCCAACCTCCAGAGTAGCAGGGACTATAGGTGTGCGCCACCACACCTGGCTAATTTTTGTATTTTTAGTAGAGATGGGGTTTCACCATGTTGGCCAGCCTGGTCTCGAACTCCTGATCTCAAGTGATCTATCTGCCTTGGCCTCCCAAAGTGCTGGGATTATAGGCATGAGAGCCACCATGCCTAGCCAGCAGTACTGTTTAAATCATTTTTTCTTTTTTTTTTTTTTTGAGATGGAAGTTTGCTCTTTTCGCACAGGCTGGAGTGCAATAGTGCGATCTTGGCTCACTGCAACCTCTGCCTCCCAGGTTCAAGTGATTCTGCTGCCTCAGCCTCCCGAGTAGCTGGGATTACAGATGCCCACCACCATGCCCAGCTTATTTTTGTATTTTTAGTAGAGATGGGATTTAACCACGTTAGCCCGGCTGGTCTCGAACTCCTGACCTCAGGTGATCCATTCCCCCCTCAGCCTCCCAAAGTACTGGGATTACAGGTGTAAGCCACCGTGCCCAGCCTAAATCACATACTTTAAACCATTGAGGGAATATGGATATAGACTGGCTACTAGATTATAAAAAGGACTTCTTGTTAATTTTGTTAGGTGTGATAATGGAAGAAAATGTTCTCTTCTTTTTCTTAAGAGATGCATACTTAAGTACCTGGAAGTGAAATGGCATATTATCGAGGTTTGCTCTAAAATACTCCAGAAAAAAATAAAAAGATGGAGGGGCAATAGATAAAACAAGGCTGTTTTACATGTTAATAGTTGTTGAGGCCAGGTGGCGAATAAATGGGGACTTCTCATATTCTCTACTTTTTGTGAAAAGTTTAAAATTTTGTTACATAAGTTAAAAAGAAAATTCATCAAGTCATCAAGGTCCTAGTCATAACAGCCTCCGCAAAGTTTTGCACACTTGGTTCTAATTTGAGTTTTCGCTGACAGGTGTACTCAATGCTAGCTCTTATGACCCTGCTGTGGACATTCCTTCATTCATTCAATACATGTGTTTTTGCCAGGCACGATGGCCCACACCATAATCCCAGCACTTTGGGAGGATGAGGTGGGAGGATCCCTTGAGTCCGGGAGTTTGAGACCAGCCCGGAAAACATCTCTACAAAATAAAAAATAAAATAAATCAATGAATAAATAAATGTGTTTGAGCACCTACTATTAAGTTTGAGATGTTTTGTGGTAGGTTGAAAAATGCCCCCACCCCCGCAAAGATATCAGATCCTAATCTCTTGAACCTGCAAATATTGCCTTATGTGGGTAGGTGGTCTTTGCAGGTGTGATTAAGCTAAGGCTCTTGAGACAGGGAGATTATCCTGGATTGGATTATCTGGGTGAGCCCTAAATGTAATTACTTGTATCCTTTTTCTTTTTTCTTTTTTTTTTTTTTTGGAGATGGAGTTTAGCTCTTGTCACCCAGGCTGGAGTGCAATGGTGCGATCTCGGCTCACTGCAACCTCCACCTCCCAGGTTCAAGCAATTCTCCTGCCTCAGCCTTCCGAGTAGCTGGGATCACTTTAGGTGATCCACCCGCCTTGGCCTCCCAAAATGCTGGGATTACAGGCGTGAGCCACGTGCCTGGCCAATTTCGCGTATCCTTGTAAGAGGGAAGCAAGCACAGAGAAGGCAAAGTGAAGATGGAGACAGAGATTGCAGTGATGCCGCCACAAACCAAGGAATGTCAGCAGTCCCTAAGAGGTGGAAAAGGAAAGAAATGGATTTTCCCATCGAGCTTTTGAAGGCAGTGAGGCAGGGCCTCGCTGCCTTGACCTTGACTTTGGACTTCTTGCTTCCACAACTTTGAGAGAATAAATTTCTGTTGGTTTAAGACAGCAAATTTGTGGTTTAAACCACCAAGTGCATGCAAATTACATGCATTTGTTTTTTGTTTTGTTTTGTTTTTTTGAGATGGAGTCTTGCTCTGTCGCCTAGGCTGGAGTGCAATGGCGTGATCTTGGCTCACTGCAACCTTTGCCTCCCAGGTTCAAGTGATTCTCCCGCCTCAGCCTTCTGAGTAGCTGGGATTACAGGCACCCGCCATCGTGTCTGGCTAATTTTTGTATTTTTGTAGAGATGGGTTTTCACCATGCTGGTCAGCCTGGTCTCGAACTCCTGATCTCAGGGGATCCACCCGCCTCGGCCTCCCAAAGTGCTGGGATTACAGGCATGAGCCACCGCACCCGGCCTACATGCATTTGTTAATGCATGTCTACATCAGAGTAGAAATGTCAATTAGGCAGTTGGACATGTGAGTCTGGAGTTCAAGGAAGAAGTTTAGGCTTGAGAGATAAATGTGGGAGTTGCCAGTTTTTAATACAATGAAAAGAATGGTTGGATCATCAGAGGAGCAGCATGGATAGAAAAGAGAAGGAGGCTGAAGCATGAGCCCTGGGGCACCCTAAGGAAACAAGACCGGGAAGATGAGGGGAGCTAGTGAAGAAATAGAGAGGGTGGCTAGTGAGGTGGGAGGGCTCTAGGAAAAGGTGGCAGTCCTGAAAGCTAAGTGGAAAAAGCATATTAAGCAGGAGGCAGTGTCAAATGCCACTGATGGTCAAAGAAGATGAGGATAGGAAATTGATCACCAGCTTTAGCAATATGGAGGACCTTGGTGACCTTGAGAAAAGCTATTTTGGTGGAGTGATGGAGAGGAAAGCCTGACTGGAATGGGTCCAAGAGAAAAGATGAGGAGAAGTGAGGACAGTAAGTACAGAAAATTCTTTCAAGGAGTTTAGTTATAGAGAACCCAGAGAGGCCAGGTCGGGGGGCTCATGCCTGTAATCCCAGCACTTTGGGAGGCCAAGGCGGGTGGATCGCCTAAGGCCAGGACTTCGAGACCAGCCTGGCCAACATGGTGAAACCCCATCTCAACTAAAAATACAAAAATTAGTCGGGTGTGGTGTGTGGTGGCGGGCGCCTGTAATCCTAGCTACTCAGGAGGCTGAGGCAGGAGAATTGCTTGAATCCGGGAGGTGGAGGTTGCAGTGAGCCAAGATCGTGCTACTGCACTCCAGCCTGGGCAACAGAGTGAGACTCTGTCTCAAAAAAAAAAAAAAAAAAAAAGAACCCAGAGAGATGGAGGTGATGGCTAGAGGAGAATGTGAAGCCAAGAGAAGTTGTTCATGTTGTTTTCCAGTGGATTTTAATGTATTGTTTTTTTCCTAAGACAAGGTCTCATTCTGTTGTCCAGGCTGGAGTGCAGTGGTGCTATCACAGGTCACTGCAGCCTCAAACTCCTGAGCTCAAGCAATCCTCCCGCCTTGGTCATTGGTCATCCAAAGTGCTGGGATTACAGGTAGGAGTCACCATCCCTGGCCTTGAAGGTAAATTTTTATTTTAAAAATTTTTATTTATTTATATTTTTGAGACATGATCTCACTCTGTTGCCCAGTCTGGAGTGCTGTGGTGCCATCTCGGCTCACTGCAGCCTCAACTTCCTAGGCTCAATCAATCCTCCCACCTCAGCCTCCCGAGTTGCTGGGACTACAGGTGTGTGCTACAATGCCAGCTAATTTTTGTATTTTTGTAGAGACAGGGAGATTATTCCTGTCTTGCTATGTTGCCCAGGCTGGTCTTGGACTCCTGGGCTTAAGCAATCCTCCTCTCCTGGCCTCCCAAAGTGCTGGGATTACAGGCATGAGCTGTCACACCTGGCCAATTTTTAAAATAGACTTTTTTAAAGAGCAATTTTGTGTTCACAACAATAGTGAGTGGAACATATGGAGAGTTCCCCTAGATCTCCTGCCCCATACTATACACCCATGTACAGCCTCCCCTGCTATCAATATCAAGCACCAGAGTGTCACCTTTGTTATCATCAATGAACCCACATTGACAGTCTTCATCACCCAAAGTCCATAGCTTACATTAGGGTTCACTCTTGGTGGTGCATGTTCTGTGTCATGATATGCATGCTTTATTAGAGTGACATCCAGAATGGCTTCAATGCCCTAAAAGTTCTCTGTGTTGCATCTATTTAAATCCCTCTCTTCCCTTTTCTTTTCTTTTCTTTCTTTTTTTTTTTTTTTTGAGATGGAGTCTCGCTCTGTTGCCCAGGCTGGAGTGTAGTGGCGCAATGTTGGCTCACTGCAACCTCCGTCTCCCGGGTTCAAGCGATTCTTCTGCCTCAGCCTCCTGAGTAACTGGGATTATAGGCATGATCTCTGCTCACTGCAACCTCCGCCTCCCGGGTTCAAGTGATTCTCTTGCCTCAGCCTCCTGAGTAGCTGGGACTACAGGCACATGCCACCACGCCCGGCTAATTTTCTGCATTTTTAGTAGAGACAGGGTTTCACCGTGTTAGCCAGGATGGTCTCAATCTCCTGACCTCGTGATCCGCCCGCCTCAGACTCCCAAAGGGCTGGGATTACAGGTGTGAGCCACCATGCCCGGCCCTCTCCTCCCTTTTCAAACATGCAGAAAGTTTGAAGAAATATACAGTCAGCACTCCTGGTATGGTCTGAAAGTGTCCCTCAAAATTCATGTGTTGGAAACTTAACCCCCAGTGCAACCGTCTTGGGAGGTGGGGCCTAACAGGAGGTGTTTAAGTCCTGAGGGCTCAGGCCGCATCCTTATGAGTGGATTAACACTGCTGTAATCCTTGGGATTGGATTTGCTCTCTTCTGATCTTCTGCCATGAGGTGACACAGTGTTCGTCCCTGCTTGCCCTTCTGCCTGCCGCCATGTAAGGACACAGCAAGAAGGGCCTCACCCAACACCAGATGCTGGTGCCTTCGTCTTAGGCTTCCCCGTCTCCAGAACTGTGAGAAATAAATTTCTCTTCCTTATAAATCACCCGGTCTCAGGAATTCTATTATGGCAGCACAAAACAAATGGAGACAACCCATCTACCCACCATGTAGAGTCTGTAATTAACATTTTGCTATACTGGTTTTATTATGTATCCATCCGTTGATCCATCCCTTCATGCAGCCTTTGATCCCTCTTTTAAAATACACTTTTCAGGCCAGGTGTGGTGACTCACGCCTGTAATCACAGCACGTTGGGAGGCCGAGGCAGGCGGATCACCTGAGGCCAGGTTTTCGAGACCAGCCTGGCCAACATGGTGAAACACCATCTCTACTAAAAATACAAACGTTAGCTGGGTGTGGTGGCGGGCGCCTGTAATCCCAGCTACTCAGGAGGCTGAGGCAGGAGGATTGCTTGAACCTGGGAGGCAGAGGTTGCAGTGAGCTGAGATCTCAGCATTGCACTCCTGCCTGGGCAACAAAAGCGAAACTTCATCTCAAAAAAAAAAAAAATATATATATATGTATATGTATATTTATACATGTATATATATTTATATATGTGTTCATATATTTGTATATATATATACACACACACACTTCAAAATAAGTCGCAGACATCATTATGCTTCCTTCTAAATACTTCAGCACACGTAGCATTAACTGGAGCTCAAGTTTGTGTACAGTTCCTTTTTGGGGGTAAAATTCACACACAGTGAAATGTACACATCTAAAGAATAAATTTGTTGTTTTGAAATGAACCCAAACCTCTGTCAAAATACAGAACGTTATGGCTGGGAGTGGTGGCTCATGCCTATAATGTGGCACTTTGGGAGGCTGAGGCCAGGAGTTAGAGACCAGCCTGGGCAACATAGTGAGTCTCCATTGCTACAAAAAAATTTTAAAAATTAGGCAGGCGTGGTGGCATGTGCCTGTGGTCCTAGCTACTCGGGAGGCTGAGGTAGGAGAATCACTTGAACCCAGGAGGCAGAGGTTGCAGTGAGCCGAGATCACGCCGCTGCATTCCAGCCTGGGCAACAGAGTAAGACTCCGTCTCAAAAAAAGAAAAAAGAAAAGAAAAGAAAACCGATCTATCAGGTACTATGCCTATTGCCTGGGTGACAAAATAGTCTGTATATCAAACCCGTGACACACAATTTACCTATATAAGGGGTACATGTGCAGATTTACCTATATAACAAACCTGCACACAGCTAGGCACTGCGATGGGTAACAGAGAGTCATCCACAGTCACACATGGGAAGCCAGCATACATGGTAACAGGTGCGGGGCGGCTGATAGGTATTGGGATAGAAGGATGTTGGGGTTCTCTTGTCATTGCTTCTATCTCCTTGGAAGCAAGACGAACAACAAAGAGTAAGAAGGGAGGAGAAAGTTTTAAGGTTTGAAGAAAGAGGAGAAAGTGTAAAATAATTCTTAAAAAAAAATGGGTCTGGGCTGGGTGCAGTGGTGCACGTCTGTAATTCCAGCACTTTGGGAGGCCAAGGCAGACAGATTGCTTAAGCTCAGGGGTTTGAGACCAGCTGGACAACATAGTGAGACACCTGTCTCTAGAAAGAACACAAAAATTAGCCAGGCCTGGTGGCGGGCACCTATAGTCCTAGCTACTCGGGAAGCTGAGGCAGGAGGATTGCTTGAGCCTTGGATATCAAGGCTGCAGTGAGCTATGATCACGCCGCTGCACTCCAGCCTGGGTGACAGAGCAAGACTCTGTCTCAAAAAAATAAAAAAAAGAAACTAAAAGAAATAAAATAGGCCCAATCACTTTGGAAAAAAGTGTTCCCATTTCTTCAAAAGGTAAACATGCTCAGCATATGACTCAGCCATTTTACTCCTAGGGCTTGTCCCAAGAAAAATTAGAGTAAATCTGCACAAATATTTGTACATGAATGTTCATGGCAGCATTATTCATAATAACCCAAACTGGAAACAACTCAAAAGCCCATCAACAGGTGAACAGACCAGTGAAATTCCAGAGAATGAAATACTCAGCCATAAAAAAGAAATTTGCAACAATGTGGAACATTATGCTAAGTCAAAAAAAAAAAAAAAGGCTACATATTGTATGATTCCATTTGTATGAAATGGGGTGTTGGCAGTTTTCTGAAATTGGATTGTGGTGATGGGTGCCCAACTGTAAATTTACCAGAATTAAACGAACAATAGAATTAAAATGGGTGAATTTTTTTTTTTTTTTGAGACAGAGTCTCACTCTGTCGCCAGGCTGGAGTGCAGTGACATGATCTTGGCTCACTGCAACCTCTGCCTCCCGGGTTCAAACGAGTCTTCTGCCTCAGCCTCTGAGTAGCTGGGACTACAGACATGCACCATCACACCCAGATAATTTTTGTATTTTCAGTAGAGATGGGGTTTCACCATGTTGGCCAGGATGGTCTCAAACTGCTGACCTCGTGATCCGCCTGCTTTGGCCTCCCAAAGTGTTGGGATTACAGGCATGAGCCACCGCGCCAAGCCAAAATGGGTGAATTTTATGGTATGTAAATTATACCTTAATAAAGTTTTAAAAATTAATACATGTGTGTTTGTTTGTGTGGGCTGTCTTAAAATACCATAGACTGAATGGTTCCAATAACAGAGATTTATTTCTTACAGCTCTGGAGGCTGGAAAGTCCAAGATCAAGGTGCTGATTGATGTGATTCTCTGTGAGGGCCCTCTTCCTGGGTTGCATCTCTCCCTCTCTCCCTCTTAAAAAGTCACTAATCCTGGCCGGGCACGGTGGCTCACACCTGTAATCCCAGCACTTTGGGAGGCCAAGGTGGGTGGATCACCTGAGGTCAGGAGTTCGAGACCAGCCTGACCAACATGGAGAAACCCCGTCTCTACTAAAAATACAAAATTAGCCGGGCGTGGTGGCTCATGCCTGTAATGCCAGCTACTCTGGAGGCTGAGGCAGGAGAATCGCTTGAACCTGGGAGGTGGAGGTTGCCGTGAGACGAGATCATGTCATTGCACTCCAGCCTGGGCAATAAGAGCAAAACTCTGTCTCAAAAATAATAATAATAATAATAAAGTCACTAATCCCATAATGAGGGTTTACACTCATGACCTCCTCCAACCCTAATCCCTCCCAATGCTGTCACTTCCAAATACCATAACAATGGGGGTGAGAACTTCAACAAGTGAATGTGTGGGGAGACAATTCAGCCCATGGCCATGTGTTATCTATACCATCAACAGGGTGGGAAAAAATGGAGAATGAATAGACTGGGGGCAAGTGATAGGATTGCTGGTCAGCATTAAGCATTTGGGTTTGTAGTCATGAATCAAAACCGAGACCAGCCAGGGTGATTCTGTATTTTTCTCCATCCACATTCAGCTGCCAGGGGTGCAGGTGCAGAATAAATGGAGGGTTGAATTCAGTTCATAGTTTGGAGGTATGCAAAGGTGTGGTAATAATGATGGTGGGGAATCTGGCTAGGTAGTTGAGAGTGGTGTGGCCATGATTGGGGGAGGGATAGCAACAAGTCAGACAGCTTAATGGATGGTTAGGGCTGAAGGCTCACTGGTGCAATCTTTAGAAGGAGTGAGCTGGAGAGACAGGAGGTGACGGGCAGAGCGTGAGATGCATGGAGCTGAGATTCTGTAGGGGCTGTGGTTATGCGGCTGTTGCCATCTAGAATGGGTCCTTCTCCCCCACCAGGCTGGGACCTCTGGGGCTGTCACAGTTATGTGTTGTTGTGTGTTCCCAGCACAAGGTCTAGGTGTGATCATGGGAAAGAAGGGTTGGGTGGAGGACAAGTGCAGTGGGGGAGAGGAGGTCAAGGCACCAAGAGGCCAGAGTGGTAAAAGGATCATTTACCTGAATTTGAAAATCACCAAGAATAATGACAGGAGTGGTGTGGGTGACAGTGAGCCTGAAGCTAAATGACGAGGTGAGCAGAGGTGACTTGGGAGTCAATGGGTCTAGCAGCACAAAGGGGAGCAGGTGCTACAGTGTGACTGTGTAAGCTTCAGACCTAGGGTTCAGGGAGGAGGCAGAGACAATGGTTTAGAAGTGCCAGTGAGGAGCAAGGACGCTCTTCTCCCATCTACAGATCCAGTGGACATGAAGGCCGAGAAGGAGAAAACAGCCCCGCTTGGAAAGGGAGGTCTTCAGGGCAGAGTCCTCCTTAGAGCAAGAAGGTCACAGGAAGGTTCAGAGGGAGTTGAGGAAATGGGGAATATTGGGAAAAGTCCTCAAGGGCTTCGCTATCCCTGCCCTGCCCTGCCTGCCAGTGTCTCCTCCATCCCCCTCCCACCTCTCTGCCTGGGCCTCCCCTATCCTGGCCCTGAGCCCCCTGCCTGGGGCTCCCCAGTCCCATTTCTGCCGGTGCTTCCCCCATTGCCCTCCTACCCCTCTGCCTGTCCCAGCCCTGACCCCTCTGGGCCAACACTGTTTGGGAACCTGTCTGTCTCTCCTATTGGACTGGCAGCTCCAGGAGGACAGGACCCGGGGCTGTTTTAGCCACCATTGTGTCCCCAGCACAAGACCAACAGGCACCTCCACCACTAATTACTTACCGATAGAGCCAATTTCAGGTCTTCAGAGCAAGCTAGCAGGCAAAGTATCTCAGAAGCAGGAGATGGTGCCAGGATTCCAAGAAATAGGGCTGGAATCCCCTAAATCTGCACTGCACTCTGAGTACTTTTGTCCTTTAGAAGAAAAATATTAATTAGAAGGCAAATAGTAAAATCCATGTGAAATAGGTAACATTATCCGGAATTGGACCCACTGGAATCATTGCACATCTAGAAATCCAGAATAGACTCAACTATTTCATCTCATAGTTTTTAAAAAGTTTTTTTTGTTTGGTTTTTGTTTTTGTTTTGGGACAGGGGTGTCGCTCTGTGACCCAGGCTGGAGTGTAGTGGTGCAGTCATGGCTCATTTCAGCCTAGACCTACTGGGCTCAAAGGATCCTCCTGCCTCAGCCTCTTGAGTAGCTGGGACTACAGGTGCAAGCAACCATACCCAGCTAATTTTTTATTTTTTGTAAAGATAAGGTCTCACTCTGTAGCCCAGGCTGGCCTTAAGCTCCTGGGCTCAAGCGATCCTCCTGCCTCGGCCTCCCAAAGTGCCTGGATTACAGGTGTGAGCCACTGCCCCGACCGGTTCTGAAAAGTTTAAGCAGATTTTCCATCATAATATCTAAACAATCTTTCAGGAATGTTTCTGTGCAAATTGGTGGCATTCCACAGCTGGAACACTGTACACAGAGAACTCACAACGGTATGAGGCCATCCATTCATTCAACAAACATTTACTGGGCACCCAGAGGGCTGTCCTAGGCCTAGAGTGATAGAGCAGTGAATGGAACAGAGTCAACATCTAGGCTCTGGACTGGTAGGTTCTTCTGGAGTTTTTCGGTAACTTCTCATAACAGCAGTTGTCTTGCTTTGCAGAATGAATATAGGGATGGATACTGATATTACACAATTACAAAGCCCAAAATTCTTAATACTTAAGCAGAATCTGTTGACCCCTGACGCCGCTCTCTGCCCCCACTCTGATCTGTCCATCCTTTTCTTCTGATTCACGGCAGCAGCCAGTCCTTGGTTTTCCTGCTTTCACCCTCACTCCTGCAGTCTGCTTCCCACATGCAGCCAGAGGGACCTGTGTCAGATCACATTCCTTCTCTGCTTGGAACCCTTCCATGGTTCCATCTTACTGCCTAAGTCCTCACTATGTCCCACAAAGCTCCGCACAATCTGCCCTTGTTAGCTACCCGCCCTTATCTCCTCTTACTCTCCACCTTGCTCACTTTGCCCCACCCACCCTCCTCATTGTCTCTCCAACTTCCCATATCTTTCCTTCCTCAGGGCCTCTGCATCTGCAGATCTTTTCCCTGCCTGGAACTCTCTTCCCCTAGATAGGTGCATGCCTCACTCCTCACTTCCTTCAGCCCTTTAGCTCAAAAGTCTCCTGATGCATTCCTTGACCACCGTGCCAAAAAAACAAAAATCATTTGCCCTCCAAAATCTCTATCCCCTTTCCCTGCTGTTATTTTCTCCAAAGCACTTATCGCTTTCAAACATTCAACATGTTTGGTGTCTATTTCCTCCATTAAAAAGATGAACTCCAGGAGAGTGGAGATTTTTATGTCTCGTACACCGCTGTATTCCCAGCTCCTAGAACAGCACCTGGTACACACGAGGTGCACTGTAAATGTTTTTCGGATGTTTGAATGGAAGCCCAGAGTCGGTCACTGTTCTTGGGGCTGGAAATGTATTGGGGAAGCCTTTTTGGGTGTACAGGGGCCAGAGGGATTTAGCTAGGAATACAAAAGAGGGCACAGCCCGTGCGAAGGCTATGAGCCCTGATTATTGGGGTGCTCGCATTGGGGAAGAGGAAACCGGAAGCGAGTTTAGGGCGACCGCTGCACAGGCAAAGGCTGGGAAGGCAGAGAGCGAGGGCAGCGGGTTGCGTGTCGACAGGCTCGAGAATCCAGGCTCACTGCGCGTGCGCCGAGCTCCGGGCGGGGAAGGGGCCCGGGGGCGGGACTACGGGGTGGCGTCACGCAGCGCACGTCGCCGCGCGCCTGCGCTCTTTTCCACGTGCGAAAGCCCCGGACTCGTGGAGTTGTGAACGCCGCGGACTCCGGAGCCGCACAAACCAGGGCTCGCCATGAAGCCAGGTCAGGCTGGGGTGAGGGTCCGGGGTCAGGGACGGAGGCCGGGCGGGAATCCGGGTGCCAGGCCAGAATCGGAGGGGTGGGGCCTTGGCCTGGGGGCAGGGGTTCTGAGCACGGGTTCCAGTCTCCTGTGGGAAGGGGGATTCTGATTCCAGCAGGTCTAGGGGTTTGTGACTGGCTTCAGAGGTCACGGTCGTGAGTCGAAGAAGGCCGTGGGCCTGGCATTGGGGGTGTTGACGTGGGGTTCGTCTCATTGAGGCCGTCTAATAGGGATTTTGGATATTGGGCAGGAGGCGGCACTCAAGGGTCTTGGGCTAGAGTTTGGATTCAGGCATCTGGAGTCTTGGATCGCTGGGCGTGTTTTGGGAATCAGGCTTGGGTCGGAGATGGAGAGTTCCTGACCTTGGGTCCTGGAGCTGTGTGTGGGAAGCCCCCATTTGCCTTCCCTGTCGCTGCCACCACCACCATCCCCTTATCCCGCATCCCAGCTTTTCCGAGTGGGCCGGAGTGGATGAGGACTCCCCGGTTGGCCGTGTGCGGCGCTCTTCGGCTCACTTTCCCGCCTTCTGCACTTACAGTGGGGCGGATCCCCGGGGATGGAGTGGAGATTTGGGGATTAAGATTTCCACCTCCGGGACGAGACTTAACAAGCTCGGCATTAGTCTGGGGTGGTGGGGCGGGTGGTTGTCACAGGAGGTAAGTAGTTTTATTCTTAAGATTTTCCACTAGATTCTGCTGAAACCACTCCCTTCATGGTGGAATGATGAGGGGGTCCTGGCTTTGACAGCAGAAGGGCCTCAGTTCAGTGTGTCAGCTCTTGCTCAGCTTCTTAGCCTGCTGTGTGAACTTGGGCAAGTGGCTTTACCTCTCTGAGCCTCTGTTTTCTCATCAATAAAATGGCGCCAGTTAGGATTAAGCGACGTTAAAAAAAATAGCACAGTGCTTGACATATAATAGTATTAGCTCTAATTGTTACCTTTATCTTTCTCAAAGAGAACAACATTAGAATCCTTCTCGGTGGTGCCTGAGCACTTCCTCCATCTGGCCTGCCCAACCCGCACTCATCTGTGTGAGAACTTGCTTCATTGAGTTTGGAGAATTTCCACCATGGCCCAAAGGGTCTGTTTTCCTAGTACAGGCTTTCTTTTTCTTTTGTGTGTGTGTTTGTGTGGAGAGATGGGGGTCACCTGGCAGGAGATTTGTGGATCTGTGCCCTTCTCCCAAGTTCCCTTTCTCTTCCGTGTTTGGGGATCTCTTGATGAAGTGGGGTGGGGGATTGTAGGCCAGGTATGCTGAGATCCTGGCTTGCCTGCAGGCATTCTGGTCTGTGATTCCCTCATAAATGGAGGATACCCGTTCTTCCAACCTTCCTCCATGTGTGGTAGAATGTGAAGTTGTAAAAGTTGTCAGGTGTTAGCTCTTTAGTAAGGATTTTAGCCTGAGTGAGAAAAGAACCCTTTGGGAGATTTTTGAGCAGGGGCGTGGTGCAGTCTGACATTTTTAAAAGGGATTCTTTTTGCTTCGATGTGTGAAAGACCTCAGGGTGGCAAAAGTGGAAGCAGGCACATTGGTGGGAAGCTTGTTGCTGTAATCTAGGAGATGGTGTGGTGGACCAGGATGGGAGCAGTGGACATGCTGACAGTTTTACATGCTTTTGAAGACAGAACCAACAGATTGTATGTGGGTGTGTGATCGGAGTCAAGGATAACCAAGGGTTTGGGGGTGTGTAACTGGAAGGATGGAATTGCCATTTTTGAGATGGAGAAGGCTGTGGAAGGAGAGCAGATTTTAAATCAGGGGGTTTATGGACCCCCCTCCCCCCAAAAAAAGAACTTACTGGAAAAGTTTGTGTGAACATGTGTTTTTTCTGAGGACTGGGTACTTTTGGTACATTTTCCCCCAAAAGCTCCAGGACCTGAAACGGATTGAGATGTTTTGAGTATCTGGGATTGAAAGTTTACACTCATGCCCACTCCGCCCCAAGCACATGCCAGTACTTCCTTTCTGTTAGGCCTGGGTTGAGACTTTCATAAGCCTAGCTGTGGCATCTCCCCTAAATGAAGGTCTTGGCTTTGGAAAACTGTTGGAGGGCTTGGGCAAGAAAATTGAGATCTGAGTTGCTGTTTCAAAAACAGCACTTATTAGTTGCTGTGTGGAAAGTGGACTGTAGGGGGAGTAGAACATTAAAAAGTGAACAACTCTTAGTTATGTTCTAGAGTTTTGAAAAGGAAACTTCATTTTAAAAGATCAAATTAGGAGTAGCTATTAAAAGTTACATTTTCATCTTTAATAGAAAGATGAAAAAAGAACTAACTGGAAAAGTTTGTGTGAACATGTGTTTTTTCTGAGGAATGGGTACTTTTGGTACATGAGGAGGGAAGAGGAGACGCGTACCCCTGAGTTTGAATGATGATGTTCAAAGTAGGTGCCAGATAGTATATATGTGATGTGCTCTGTGGGTACAAGTCATTTAATCTTTACAACCCTATAGGATGAGCACTGCATTTTTTTTATTTTTATTTTTTTGATACAGAATCTCTCTCTGTCACCCAGGCTGGAGTGCAGTGGCACCATCTCAGCTCACTGCAACCTCCGCCTGTGTTCAATTGATGCTTGTGCCTCAGCCTTTTGAGTAGCTGGGATTACAGGCATGCGCCACCACGCCCAGCTAATTTTTTGTATTTTTAGTAGAGACAGGGTTTCACTATGTTGGCCAGGCTGGTCTTGAACTCCTGGCCTCAAACTGTCCGCCTGCCTGGGTCTCCCAAAGTGCTGGGATTACAGGCATGAGCTATGGCGCGTGGCCTGGCACTGTATTGTCTCCATGTCTTACAGATGAAGTTTTCAAGACCCCTATGAACCTTCCTTACTAGGGTCGAGAGTGGCAGCAACATTGCCTATCTCTCCATATGCGATACTTGAGGGGAGTGACCGGCACTTCCCTGGTCACCATCTGATGGATTGTGTGCTTTCTGAACAAATAGAGGGTGCTTTCTCCTTGAGGCAGGGCCCAGGGTTTAAGAGTCATCAGCTCAGTGCTCATTTAACATTTATTGAGCCCATACTTTGTGCCAGATGTTGTGCAGGGTTTTGGGGATGCGGTGGTGACCAAAACAGTTAAAAATCCCTGCCCATTTGGAGCTTGATCTTAGTGGGGGAGGCAGGTGGTAATAATATTAAAAATGCCATGTGTGATAATTGATTTGAAGGGAAATAAAGCAGGGTAAGGGTACTGTGGCCAAAGTAGGCCCTTCTGGGGAACTAACATTTTATCAGAGACCAGAATGCAGTGAAGGAGCGAGTGAGCCATGCACATGTCTGCAGGAGCCAGGCAGTGGGAACAGCACGTGGTAAAGATTTAGAAGCTGGACTGTGTATGCTTGGTGGGGAAGAGCATGGGGCCCAGCATAAAGAGAATGAAGTCAGGGAAGTCAGCACAGGCCAGATCCTTAGGATGATGATACTCAATGTGGGCTGCACCTTGGAGTCACCTGGAGAGCTTTAGGGGAAGACCTTGCGCCCAGAACAATGAAATCAGAATTTAAAGCCTAAAGATTTTAGGCTTTGATTTCAGGCTTTGTAAGCCAGGGAAAGGACTTTTTATTTCATTTTGGATGTGGTGGAAAACCATTGGAGGGATTTGGGCAAGGGCATGATGAGATCTTACTTGCTGTTTTAAAAATAGCATGTATTAGCTGCTGTGTGAAAAGTGGACTGTAGAGGGAGTAGAAGATTAAAAGTAAACAACTTTTGGTTGTTTGGGAGTTTTGAAAATGAAACCGTTCATTTTTAAAGATTAAATTAGGAATGGCTGTTAAAAGACACATTTTTTATCTTTAATACCATTAAGGTGCATGAAGGGTTCGTAGGACAAGATCATAATGTATCTTTACAAAAAACATGAGCAAGGCTGGGCGCGCTGGCTCACGCCTGTAATCCCAGCACTTTGGGAGGCTGAGGCGGGCGGATCAAGAGGTCAGGAGATTGAGACCATCCTGGCTAACACGGTGAAACCCCTTCTCTACTAAAAATACAAAAAAATTAGCCGGGCATGGTGGTGGGCGCCTGTAGTCCCAGCTACTGGGGAGGCTGAGGCAGGAGAAAGGCGTGAACCTGGGAGGTGGAGCTTGCAGTGAGCCGAGATCGTGTCACTGCACTCCAGCCTGGGTGACAGAGTGAGACTCCGTCTCAAAAAAAAAAAAAAGCAAGCTTATGATTGAATAGATTACATCATGTGAGAATGTGAGATAATTTTAAACCACTAGTTTTCCAACTATTTTTTTTAACTTGTGTGATTTAGTACTTCTGAGTTTTTGAAACCAAATCAGAGAAAATATTGAATCTGTTAGCACCAGAGTTCTGTTTTAAACGTTGTTTTGTGCTAATGGTGTTTGTTGTCCTGAACTGGTAAGAATAAAGCCTGTCTGAGTCTGTTATTTCTTAAACATTTCGATCTTACTGACAAGTCGCAAACTACTTGTAAAGTGCAGCCTATCCTTAAATGACAGTTTGTTCTGCTTTTTCTTGTTTTTCCCCTGAGCTGAGAGGGACTTCTTTAAGCTTGGAAGCAGGGAGATGAGTTAGGGCTGACATCATCCTGTATTCCCCTCTGTTTTGGGGCTGGGGTTGACACTTTTCTTCCAGCTCCAAGGTCAGGAGTGGGAGAGTATGAAGACGTTTGCAGAGTCTAGGGGGCCCTGTTGTCACAGCATGTGCTCGTATGCAGGGCTCACTCTTCACAGTAATTAATATTGACATGGAATGAATTCTGTGAATCTGCTATGCAACCAAGGAAACCAGGATATTAACAGTAACCTACATCTATTCATGTACTCCTCCCCTATCCCAACCCCATATTAATATCTCCTTCCCATTCACCAATATCATGAGTTTTACATTTCTCATTCCCTTGCTCCTTTTCTTGGGCAGTATGATTGTGGCTGGGTGTGGTGCCTGACACCTGTAATCCCAGCACTTCAGGAGGCCAAGGCAGGAGGATCACTTGAGCCAGGAGCTGGAGACTAGCCTGGGCAACATAGTGAGACCCCCATCTCTACACTATGGGAGTAGTGGCACACACCTGTAATCTAGCTACTTCAGAGACCGAGGCAGGAGAATTGCTTGAGCCCAGGAGTTCGAGGCTGCGGTGAGCTGTGATTGTGCCATTGCTCTCCAACCTGGGCGGCACAGCAAGACCCTGTCTCAAAAAAAAAGCACTAAGCAAAAAAAATTATTATGATTTTAACATTTATTAGTCTGTTGTGTATAACTGAAGGTCATTTTCATGATCTTGATTGTGAATGTCTTCTATTTTATTTGCCCATTCTATTGATGGACATTTGGGTTAGTCTTCACTTTTCTTTTGCTGTGGACATTCTTGGAAATGTGTCCTGCTGTACACGGGCACATGTATTTCAGGTTTCTCACCTGAGAGGTATTGCTGGGTACAAGGTGGTTTAACCTTTTAAGCTTCATTGCCCTGACTCCTGTTTTGTTTCCCCCACAGGATTCAGTCCCCGTGGGGGTGGCTTTGGCGGCCGAGGGGGCTTTGGTGACCGTGGTGGTCGTGGAGGCCGAGGGGGCTTTGGCGGGGGCCGAGGTCGAGGCGGAGGCTTTAGAGGTCGTGGACGAGGAGGAGGTGGAGGCGGCGGCGGCGGTGGAGGAGGAGGAAGAGGTGGTAAGATTGGCTAGGGGTTACAGAGGAGGCCTTCCTGAGGTGGGGAGTGGGGAGGGCGGAGATTCAGGATCTTTCTCTCCTGTTGTACCTCTCCTTTATAGGTGGAGGCTTCCATTCTGGTGGCAACCGGGGTCGTGGTCGGGGAGGAAAAAGAGGAAACCAGTCGGGGAAGAATGTGATGGTGGAGCCGCATCGGCATGAGGGTGAGTGAGGAAGGCAGGGAGCCGGCTGAGCTTCGGGGCAGGGAGAGGCTGGGGGTCCTCACCCCTGCTCTGATCCCCTCACCCAGGTGTCTTCATTTGTCGAGGAAAGGAAGATGCACTGGTCACCAAGAACCTGGTCCCTGGGGAATCAGTTTATGGAGAGAAGAGAGTCTCGATTTCGGTGAGAACTGGGCCCCTGTCCAAGCCACCAGGGTCGCAGCTGAGGGTGTAGCCAGTAGTCTGTGTCTGCCCTCACCATGTGTCCTGCACGTGACAGCTGGAGGATTGTCATAATATGTAAACCACACTGTCTGCTCCCTCATCCGCCTTCTGTGACTCCCCACGGCCTTCCAGTTAGACTCCTGAGTCTTCACTCAGGCCTCCAAGACCCTGTGCATTCCAGTTCCCCCTCCCTGCCCCCTGGCTTTGTCTCCTTCACTAACTCTCTGACCAAGTGTCCTCCAGCCACCCTGGCCTTGCTGTTCCCACTCCCAGCTCTGTGGGAGGCTGCGTCCTTATCATCTGCTTCTCCAGGCTGCGTCACACCACTCTGCGGGTCAAGGCATCCCTCACCGCCCTCCCCTGTCCTGTTATCCTGTGTCATTTTCTTTGAGGCCAGGGTGTGCCTGCCTTGGGGCCTTCCTAATCGCTCTCCCTCTCGTGGGAATGTCCTTCCTCAGATAACTTGAATGGCCCCTTGCCTCCTTCAGGTCTGATTTGGAATCTGCCTTTCAGCCCCTCCCTGGCCCCTTTTCCCATTTTCACCTGCTCCTTGCCCTGCTTCCCAAACTCCGTATCTTCTCTCCTGGCTTTGTCTTCTCTCCTTAACACCTGTCACCATCTCATATGCCATGTTGTATTTAGTTAGTTCGGTGAATACTTACACCTTCTGGGCAGGGATCCTTGTTTTGTATCCCCAGCGCCTAGAGCAGGGTCTGGCACACAGTAGGTGCTGGCACAGTGCATGTTTGTTGAACAAGTGCTGGTTTTACTGTTACTGTTTGTGTTTATTCTCTTTTGCTGCCCTTTGGGTCAGTCACCTCCATGAGAGGGCAGCGACTGCATGTGCATGGTCACTGCTCTTTACTCATGTTGAGTTCTTGTGCAGTGATAGGACAGCCCAGTTCCTTTCAAGGCTCCTAGGGTTAAAGGCAGTGAGGTCCTGCAGAAGAGCCTAGCACTGACTTCTGTCCCCATCTCTCATCTAGGAAGGAGATGACAAAATTGAGTACCGAGCCTGGAACCCCTTCCGCTCCAAGCTAGCAGCAGCAATCCTGGGTGGTGTGGACCAGATCCACATCAAACCGGGGGCTAAGGTTCTCTACCTCGGGGCTGCCTCGGGCACCACGGTCTCCCATGTCTCTGACATCGTTGGTCCGGTGAGTGAGTAGATGGAGAGTCAGGCAGGAGGTAAAGGCTGCCTCCCTTCTGCCAACCTGGAATATCAGGGTTTGACTGCTTGCCTGCGCTGTGTGACTTAGGGCCAGGCCCTTTTCTGTCACTGTGCCTGTGAGTAAAAGGAGTGGCTTGAACCAGATAATGTCATTCAACCTCACTCCTGGGTTCTTGGCCTCAAGGGAAGAGACGTGGGTGTGGGGTGACCAACCTTAGAGAGACAACGGGGAGTATAGATACCAGACTATTTGATTTGATGGGCCTCTTTAAAATTTTATGCTGCTAAAACCTGCTCTTCTGGTTTCTTTAGAAAGAACCAGGAGATCTTCATGGTTTCTGAGCCTGTATAGGCTTCCCATTTAGAGGGCCCCTGGCACCCACGTGTCCCACTCTGTTACCCTTTGTTACTTTATGTGTTTATAAGCTGTTAAGTGTAGTGCCTTAAAACCTCAGGCTTTGGCCAGACGAGGTGGCTCATGCCTTTAATCTCAACACTTTCGGAGGCCGAGGCAGGTGGATCACCTGAGGTCAGGAGTTCGAGACCAGCCTGACCAATATGGTAAAACCCCATCTCTACTAAAAATACAAAAATTAGCTGGGTGTGGTGACGTGTGCCTGTAGTCCCACCTACTTGGGAGGCTGAGACAGGAGAATTGCTTGAACCCAGGAGGCGGACGTTGCACTAAGCTGAGATCGCACAACTGCACTCCATCCTGGGCAACAGAGTGAGACTCAAAAAAAAAAAAAAAAAAAACCTCAGGCTTTAATCAGGCAAGTTACCTAACCCATCCAAGCCTCAGTTTACCTGTCTGGAACATAGACTTGTGAAGATTAAATGAGTTAATTTCTGAAAGGTGCTTAGAGCAGTGGTTGGCCCATTGTTACATCATCTCTGTGCCTTGGCTTCCTGGTTTTAAGCCTCTGTTGGGAACCTGGGCTCTCAGGCAGATGGGATTGGGTACTTTTGCTACTTGCTGAATAACTCTTGGCCAGTGACTTTATGTCTGGACCTCAGTTTATTCATGTGAAAAATGGACATGATAGCAATAGTCATTAGATGGTAGGGTTTTGATTTGGGGGTTGGAAGAGATGCTGTGTATAGTGTATGGGCCTAAAGTAGGCACTCCATGCATGAGAACTAGCATCACTGTTCATTAATTTTTAATTTATTTTAGGATGGTCTAGTCTATGCAGTCGAGTTCTCCCACCGCTCTGGCCGTGACCTCATTAACTTGGCCAAGAAGAGGACCAACATCATTCCTGTGATCGAGGATGCTCGACACCCACACAAATACCGCATGCTCATCGGTGAGGGGTCTGGGGGTGGCCCCGGTGGGGTAGGACAGGCCACCGCAGGCTTCTGGAAGAAGCCAGTGGATCTCTGATTCGGATGGAGTTGGAGTGGATGAGCAGACCTCTTGAGTCTGCAGGAATAGAAAGGGGTAAGGGGAGCTAGGTGAGGTTGTGGAGGTGGCAGCTTGGCTTCAGAGTCTTGGAAGCCACCCTTGGAGGGCCAACCTCTTCTCCTTCAGTCTCCTCCCCATCTCCTAGGTCTCCTGTACTTCCTGCCTCTTGTATTTATTACACTACCCCTCCATAAAAAGCCTCCTTTTGGGGGTCCTAATCATTGTCTGGTGAGAGCATATCCCAGAAAACTAAGCATGGCTTGATCTGGAGGGGCCCACTGTGAATATTAATTACTTTGTTTAAAAAAACATTCAAAGATATAATATAAAAGTTGAAAAGCCTTATAAACCACCGCCAGAAGTAACTGATGAGAACAATTTGATGTCTGCTTTTCCCAGGTTTTAAATAATCAGTTTTCATTATACCACCTTTTCATTTTTTGAAAAGTCACACTGGCTTAAAAACATTATTTTTCATTCTGCTCCTTTTTCTTTCTGTGTTTTATTTTTCCCATGCACTCATACCATCCCCTTTGTTCTGCAACTTGTTTTCATTTCACAGTCCTGCGGACACTCTTGCCTATAAGTGCTCACTCACTCTTACTTGTCTTTTTGATGACGTGTCTGTCTCCCCACCAGACCTGGGAGCGTCTCGAGGGCAGGGTCCGGGTCTGACTCGTCTCTATGTCCCCCACGCCCGGCCCAGGGCTGGCCACAGAGTAGGTGGCAACCATGGTTTACAAGAAGAGTGGATGAATGATGTGACTGTGGGTTTTGGACTCATCTTGGGACACTGGAGGGAGGGGGACCAGTGGAGGTGGGGAGTGAAACTGGAGGCAGGGAGAATCTCCCAGGAACCTGCTGGTGATGGGCATAGGCCCCATGGGAGGATCTGGGGTGATCCCTGTGACTCCAACTTTTAACTGCTGCTCCTTTCTCCTTAGCAATGGTGGATGTGATCTTTGCTGATGTGGCCCAGCCAGACCAGACCCGGATTGTGGCCCTGAATGCCCACACCTTCCTGCGTAATGGAGGACACTTTGTGATTTCCATTAAGGTGCGGGGTTTGGAAGAGTCTAAGATGGGGTGGCAGTGTTCTAGGGAGGTATCTTCTCTATCTGTATCTGTCAAATAGCCACCCAAAACAGAGGGGCCAAGTCTGCAAAACTATAGCTTTGGATTTAAAGAGGCAGGAGAGTGCAGCGGTCAAGTGCAAAATTGAGTCTGACCATCTGAGTTTAATCCCAGCCTGCTGTGTGACTGAGCAAGTTACTTAACCTATATGCCTCAGTTTCCTCACTTATGAAATAGAAATATTGTCTAGTCTTTTTCAGGGTAGATGACAGGATCAAATTAGTCAATATAATATGAAGTGTTTAGAAAAGATCCTGGCATAGAATAGATACTAGATAAAAGCTAGGTGCATCTTTCACAGCATTTTTATTTGGAAATAATGGAGAACTCTCCCATGCACCCTTCACAAGGTTCACCATTTGTTAGCCTTTTGCTACATTTGTTTTATTATTCTCAACTGCATTATTACTATTATTAAAGAAGAGGAAGTAGAAATAAGCCAAACAATTCCTGGGTATAAAATTTAAGCACTGGCTTTTAGATAAATAGGACTGTTTAAGGCTTCCTGCTTCAAATCCAAAACAAAACTAAAAACTTTTTTTTTTTTTAATTTGAGACAGAGTCTCGCTCTGTCACCAAGGCTGGCGTGAAGTGGTGCAATCTCAGCTCACTGCAACCTCTGCCTCCCAGGTTCAAGCAATTCTTCTGCCTCAGCCTCCTAAGTAGCTGGGACTACAGGCGTGTGCCACCACACCTGGCTAACTTTTATATTTTTAGTGGAGACGGGGTTTTGCCATGTTGCTCAGGCTGCTCTGGAGCTCCTGAGCTCAGGCAATCTGCCTGTCTCAGGCTCCCAAAGTGCTAGGATTACAGGCACGAGCCACTGCACCCAGCCAAAAACTTTCATTAAGCCTTTTATCACATTTCCTAAACCCGAGTGTCTTAGCCCATTTTATGCAGCTATCACAGAATGCTATAGACTGGGTAATTTATTTATTTTTATTTTTATTTTTATTTTTTTGAGATGGAGTCTTACTCTGTCACCAGGTTGGAGTGCAGTGGTACGATCTCGGCTCACTGCAACCTCCAGTTCCTGGGTTCAAGCGATTCTCCTGCGTCAGCTTCCCGAGTAGGTGGGACTACAGGTGTGCGCCACCACACCCGACTAATTTTTGTATTTTTAGTAGAGATAGGGTTTCACCGTGTTGGCCAGGATGGTCTCAATCTCCTGATTTCGTGATTGAGCCACCTCGGCCTCCCAAAGTGCTGGGATTACAGGCGTGAGCCACCACGCCCAGCCTTAGACTGGGTAATTTATAATGAATGGAAATTTATTTGGCTCCCAGTTCCAAAGGCTGGAAAGTCCAAGATTGGAGGTCTGAATCTGGCGAGGGCCTTCTTGCTGTCATCCATTGGCAGAAGGGTGAGAGCAAGATAGAAAGGGGGCATAATCATCCTTTTAATCAGCAACCCACTCTTGTGATAATAGCATTACTCTATTCAGGAAGGCAGAGGCCTCATGACCTGAATCATCTCTCGAAGGTCCCACCTCTCAACTCTTGCATTTAAGGGTTACGTTTCCAACACATGAACTTTGGGGGACACACTAGAACCATAGCACTGAGTTTTACTTGAATTAATAATGAAAACATCTGGTTTAAAGAGCACACAAGAGAAAAACAGCCCAAAGCCCTGTTGTAGACATTAGTCCTTTCTCCTCTTTAGGCCAACTGCATTGACTCCACAGCCTCAGCCGAGGCCGTGTTTGCCTCCGAAGTGAAAAAGATGCAACAGGAGAACATGAAGCCGCAGGAGCAGTTGACCCTTGAGCCATATGAAAGAGACCATGCCGTGGTCGTGGGAGTGTACAGGTGAGCAGGGGCCCAGCAATACACCAAGACAGACATCTCTGTCCCTTGCACCCCGAGTGCCATGATCCTGGGGACCCTCCTTCATCACCTATCTTCCTCTCACAGGCCACCCCCCAAGGTGAAGAACTGAAGTTCAGCGCTGTCAGGATTGCGAGAGATGTGTGTTGATACTGTTGCACGTGTGTTTTTCTATTAAAAGACTCATCCGTCTCCCATGTCTGCTGCTCATTCCTCCCCTTGACCTGCTGACACAGGGAGCACGCACCCTTGGTCAATTTTGCGGGGTTGGGTAAATTCTCACTCGGTCACAGAGCGCATGCTCCGTTTCTAGCTGCCTTTGCGCAGCGGCAGCCTGGATTTCGGTTCTTGGGTGGGATTGGTAGCTCGCTGCGCATGCGTGCAGGTAAGCGGCCATCTCGCGCAGGCGGAGTGTCAGTGTGGGTCACGTGAGGGGAGCGGAGAGGGAGGGATGGGGGCGGAGTCCAGGGCGTGGGGGGGCCGGTTTGTTGTGGTCGCCATTTTGCTGGTTGCATTACTGGGTAATCGGGGCCCTGGCTTGCCGCGTCCGCCGGATACCCTCAGCCAGTGGGCAGGTCTGAGCTCGGGCTCCCCGAGCAGTTTGAGTCCCCTTGCCCGCTCCTTCAGGTAACGGCGCGGGGACGGGTGGGGCGGCAAGCGGTCGCAGGGAGGTGGGCAGGACGGGATCCGCCCTGCTCCCGTCGCCGTGAGACTTAGCACGAGGCCAAGGGAGGAGAGGAGGGGGGTGGCAGGCAGGTGCGGGCCCTGCCTGGCTATTCATAGTTGAATTCCTGGAACCGGCCAAGCCCGAGGAAGCAGTTGCAGGAGGGAGGCTGGGAGGGGGTAGCCGGGCCCCACTCCCGCCCTTTGTTTGGGCTCAGCTCCGCGGGCCGCTTCTTCGTCGCCTAGCAACAGCTGCCCTAGGCTGTGATTGGCTGAGCTCTTGGCACCAGCGACCAATGGTACAGTTGTTGCCATGGCAGGTGCCGATTGCCAAGCTCAGTCGGGCCCCGCCTTCCGGTCTCAGCAGGCCCAGGAGGGCCTCCTGGGTGGGGGGCGGGACGCCGGGTCCCTAGGGGCTGGTGGTCACTCAGGGTGGGGCGTGTCGCCCCTCCCCCGTCCACCTGCTCTACTCTTCCCCCGCGTGCCCTGGGCTGACCCTTGTCCCCTCCTCTCCCCGCCCCCGGTGGCAGTGGCGGCTGCTGTTGTCACCCACCGGGCCTCCTGTCCCGCTTGCCCTCCCCGCCGCGGGGCCGGCCGGGCCAGAGACAGGCGGTCGCCTTTTCAGCGCCGCCACCGCCGCCATGCTGGCCGCTCGCCCACCCCACTGGGGGCCCCACCGCGCCCCAGCCCCCCGTGGGCCCCGCGCCAGCCCTGACCCGGGTAGGGGGTGGGGGCTGGGAGAGATGATCCTGGTGTGGGAGGGCCCCGGAGAAGAGGTGGTTTTTTGGGGGAAGCTCCAAGGGTGGAGGAGTCGTGGAGTGGCAAGGCATGGAATAGGAGAAAGGGATTTGACATGGGGGAGAGAGTGGCCCATGGGGAGAAGATTTTTGCTGTAGCTGACAACTCTGGGAGGAGAGAACCCTATGTGATAACTTGGGGATTTGACTTTGAGGCCCTCTAGGAGTGGACACAGTTGTGGAATGACCCTGGTATAAAGAGGGGTGCCTGGAGAAAGGTCTGTGGTAGGAATATTAGGGTGTGTGTGTGTGTGTAGGGGGGCAAGGAAGCAGTGTAGGGGAGAAAAGGATGATCACTCTAAACTGTGGGAAGAGACACCTCCTCCTTCTCCCATCAGGAGGAGTGGGCCTTGATTGGGATGGGATATTGGAGTAATATGGGGAAGAACCCTGTTGTGGTAGGGGGAATTGGGATATGGTACAGGGAGACTACCTGGAAGGCTGGTTCCTAATATGGAGGACCTGAAATAGGGAAGCGGTCTTGGCATGATATGGAGAGGGTCCCCTAGGAAAATCGTGCCCTGGTGGATGAGAATGCTGTAGAGATAGGACTCTGTTCTATAGAGGTTCTCAGATAACTTTGGTGTGGTTGGGAGGTCCCCAAGGACGCTGATGTGGTTTTAGGGCTGCAGAGGACTCTGCTGTGGTTTGGGAGGGGAAGACTCATGTGGTTTGGGAATCCTAGAGTTCTCTGGGTTGAGGGAATCTACTGAGAAGGATAGATCTTAAAGTATTGGCCCTGGCTGTGCTACGGGCTGAGATCCTGATGTTCAGGGAAGACTACAGAAAGTGGCATCTTGTGTTAGGGGCCCTGGGGAGGGCCACGAGTAGTGAGAAAAGAATGAAGCCTACTCCTCTGCATACTGTCTGTGGTTTCTTTTTTCTTTTCCTCCTCTGAATTATTGGTGTCTTCCTGTCCTCCTTTCCCTGTGATGGCTCATATCGACCCCTGCTTGGCCCCCAATCATTGTCTTTTATGTGTTCTCTTTGTGCTGCCTTAATCATTTACTTGATCATTATTTGTCGAGGGACTGCTGTGCCATCCCCCCCCACCTGGCTACCACTTCTCTGCCCCTTCTCTTCATTGCTATCTGCTGCTCCGTTGTGCCCTTTTCCTCTTCTCTCTGTGCCCTGTCTTTCTCATGTCCACTCTTCCCCGCCTGGCACTATTCACATATCCCCTTGTTCCATGTTGTTTTCCCACTTCCTGTCTGCTCTCAGGTCTCAGCGGCGGTGGCAGCCGAGGTGCAGGATGCAAGAAGGCGCCCCCCGGCCGGGCTCCCGCTCCAGGCCTCGCTCCCCTGCGGCCCTCTGAGCCCACCATGGCCGTCCCACCGGGCCATGGTCCCTTCTCTGGCTTCCCAGGGCCCCAGGAGCACACGCAGGTACGCGTTCAGCTGGCTCCTCACCTGCGTGGTGGTAGGGGGAGGCTGGGGATAGAAAGGTCTCCAGACCAAAAGGTAGTGTGGTTGCCCAAGACATTCTTCTGGGCACATAATGGGTCCCATGGGATTGGAAAATAACAGAGGAGTTTTCAGGCAGAGTCAGGGTTTGGAGAGGCTGGGTTCAAATCCTGACCCAGTGGTTAAATTCCTTAGGTTCTCCATACTTGAGTTGGAGAACTCAACTCATTCTGTGAAATGGGGCCAATAATGATACCTACTTCACAGGGTTGTTGTGAGGATTAAATGAGTTAATGGTATGCATGTAAAACACTTAGAATGGTGCCTGGCACATAGTAAATACCCAATAAATGCTACTAAGAAAAGTTCAGAGTGAAAGATCTGGATTGGGTGAATTTGGAGGGGGGTTGAGTCTAAAGGGTCTTGAGGCCAACAGGCATGGGTGGTGAGGGCAAAGCTCTCCCAAGGCTAGAGGCAGTGAAGGCAGTGACATGCAGAGCTTGAAGCAGGATGAAGTGGGAGGTCCAGGGGCCAGATCCAGATCCAAGAGCCTTGGGGTGAAAGAACTGTGCAAAGAGTTGGTGGGAGTATGGGTTGAGGCCCAAGGGATGAGGGTAAATTGAGATAGAGGTACTTCAGAGGGTACCCAAAATGGCTGGCTTCAAAGTGAAGAATGGGGAGGAACAGAGCCCAGGTTTTCCATATGATCTCTCCCTCTGAGGTTCAGAAAGGAGTAAAGGTGAGGGGTGAAAGGTCAGAGTTCACTCATTCACACCACAGATCTCTAAGAGCATCCATTGTGTGCCAGGCCCTGCTGTAGGCACTGGAGGTATAGTAAGAACAAGAGAAAGTCTCAGCCCTGGGGGAGTTTCTTTCCTAGACAGGTGGAACAAATACAGACAGCAACCAAATACATGATGTGCCAGCAGCCCTTACAGTTCTTCCTCTTGAGGTCGGAGGTGAAGGCACGTCCTCAGTGCCCACCCCTCACCCTGCCCTGCAGGTATTGCCTGATGTGCGGCTACTGCCTCGGAGGCTGCCCCTGGCCTTCCGGGATGCAACCTCAGCCCCGCTGCGTAAGCTCTCTGTGGACCTCATCAAGACCTACAAGCACATCAATGAGGTGGGCAGGGGCTGGGGGATCCTGGGCTGGGTGCCGAGGGTCTTGTCTGCTGGCATGAGTCACTCACCAGTCCCCATCTCCTGGCTGGCTGGCTGGGCAGGTATACTATGCGAAGAAGAAGCGGCGGGCCCAGCAGGCGCCACCCCAGGATTCGAGCAACAAGAAGGAGAAGAAGGTCCTGAACCATGGTTATGATGACGACAACCATGACTACATCGTGCGCAGTGGCGAGCGCTGGCTGGAGCGCTACGAAATTGACTCGCTCATTGGCAAAGGCTCCTTTGGCCAGGTGTGGGACACCCCCCACCACCCTGATCCAAGGCCCCACTAACATTGATCACACACCCAGTGGTTCAGTGGCTTCAAGTCCCATGCTGGGCCACTCACCCTAGCCCACTTAGTTTCCCTGTGCCTCAGTCGCCTTTTCTGTAAAACAGTTTAAATAACAAGACTCAACATAAGGTCGTTATGTTATTTCACATCCAGTGTTTACACCAGCGCCTGACTAATGGTGCGCACTCAGCTGCGAAGTATGCATAGTGTTCTTGGTGGGTCTCCTTGCCTGGAGGGAGAAGAATGGTGCCTGGCTCTGCCCTGCTCCCACCCCTTTCTTCGTGACATGCCCTGCCCCAACAGGTGGTGAAAGCCTATGATCATCAGACCCAGGAGCTTGTGGCCATCAAGATCATCAAGAACAAAAAGGCTTTCCTGAACCAGGCCCAGATTGAGCTGCGGCTGCTGGAGCTGATGAACCAGCATGACACGGAGATGAAGTACTATATAGGTGAGGCCTGGGACTGGCAGGGCTGTGGGCACCTGGGATAGCGGGAGCTGGAGCCAGTAGGGATGGGTCACACCCCCGCCCTACTCTCAGGAGGAGGCTGATGTCTTCAGAGCAGGGTTTGGTCTGTGCTTCTCTGACATCAGTGATTCTCCTGCTGCTTTTATGATTTTTGTCCTATTTTCTTGGTAATGGTCAGAGGTTACTGAGTGCTCACCAAGGGCCAGGCTCTCTTGGAAGCACTTGGAAGTTAACTCACCACAGCCCATAAGGGGAAGGGCATTATTAACAACATCTTGAAGATAAGAAACCTGGGCTTCCATCCTAGTTTCTTCTTCAATAAAACAAACAAAACGGGCTGGGCACAGTGGCTCACGCCTGTAATCCCAGCACTTTTGGAGGCCGAGGTGGGCGGATCATGATATCAAGAGATCGAGACCATCCTGGCCAACATGGTGAAACCCCGTCTCTACTAAAAATGTGAAAAAATTAGCTTGATGTGGTGGTGCGCGCCTGTAGTCCCAGCTACTCAGGAGGCTGAGGCAGGAGAATCGCTTGAACCTGGGAGGCGGAGGTTACAGTGAGCTGGGACCACGCCACTGCACTCCAGCCTGATGACAGAGCGAGACTCCATCTCAAAAAAAAAAAAACCCAAAACAAACAAAAAACCAAACCTAATAACAACAACAACAGTTACAACAACAACAAAAAAAAACGAAGAAAGGAAAAAAGAAACTCAGGCATTCAAGTGCTGTCACTTGCATGAGGTGGCAGTTTGTACTAATTGAGCTATAATTTGATGAGGTCGTGGACTCCAGAGCTGTTACTCTTAACATCTGTGCCAGTCTTTCTCCTCCCTTAAACTGATTCCTGCTCATGGACATAAACATCACAACATAATCATAAACAGCAAGTGGATTTTAAAATGGTTTCGTTTGAAAGGAAAACGTATATCCTTAAAGTAAACGGAAAACCAGTGTCCTTTGCCACAAAAATGAATACAAGGGAGATGAAAGCAGTGTTATGAAATTAAATGAGGAAGTGTAGAATGTGTTAGAGCTAGTAGTAACTAATGAAACTTTCTCTTTGGTTTAATTGGAGGGTTTGACAGAGACTTGGAAAGAGCATTAACTTCCTGTGTGAATCTAGTTGTTAGATAAAAAGATTTTGACTAGCAGATGGTACCCGTGGGGACAGCACAATGTGGCTAGTAATCAAAGAGCGTTGTATGACCCCAGGCCACCACCTGCCCTCTCTGAGCCGTTTCTTCTCTGGCCCATTTCCTCCCCTCCCCCGCAGTACACCTGAAGCGGCACTTCATGTTCCGGAACCACCTGTGCCTGGTATTTGAGCTGCTGTCCTACAACCTGTACGACCTCCTGCGCAACACCCACTTCCGCGGCGTCTCGCTGAACCTGACCCGGAAGCTGGCGCAGCAGCTCTGCACGGCACTGCTCTTTCTGGCCACGCCTGAGCTCAGCATCATTCACTGCGACCTCAAGCCCGAAAACATCTTGCTGTGCAACCCCAAGCGCAGCGCCATCAAGATTGTGGACTTCGGCAGCTCCTGCCAGCTTGGCCAGAGGGTAGGGGGCGGCCCGGTCCTGGGAGCACGGCTAGTAGTTTGGGTGGGGCAGAGCCAACGGGAGGCTTAGGGGCGGGGCTTGGCTGGGATGGGATTATTAGGAGCCGTGGGAACTGAGGGATAATGCTTGGGGTGGGGGTGTGAATATACTGCCCACTAGGATGGGAAGGGTGAAGCCTGAGGGGCAGGGCCCATTTTGAAGCTGCCAGATGTGAACAGGGTGAAGTTGGGTTGGGTTTGAGCCAGGGGTGCTGCCTCGCTAAGTTTTTGTCTTCTCTGTTCTTAAAGCTGAGGATGGAGGTGGAAGGCTTCAACTTTGCAGCTCTGTATGAGCTGCCACTAAAAGTGACGATGGTATAGGGCTTATGGAATGTCAGCCTCTGCCTGGTGACCCAGAAGGGCCCAGGATCCGGGTTGGGGGTGGAGATCAGGGTCTGTCTAGGCCAGCAGACTCCCCAGATTGATAAACAAGATGGCACCAGTGGCTCCCAGAAAATTGGTGCTGATAATGGCAGGATTTGGAGCCTCAGTCCCCATTTTGTCAGCAAGAAGCCTGTCCTCAGTTGGGTCCTCTTAGCTTTGGGGGTGTCAGTGGGACCAGTAGGGGAGGCTGGGTCCCTTGACGATTACCCTTTTCCCAGATCTACCAGTATATCCAGAGCCGCTTCTACCGCTCACCTGAGGTGCTCCTGGGCACACCCTACGACCTGGCCATTGACATGTGGTCCCTGGGCTGCATCCTTGTGGAGATGCACACCGGAGAGCCCCTCTTCAGTGGCTCCAATGAGGTGTGCCCCCAGGAAGGGGTGTGCTGGAGGTGGAGGGGGTGGAGCCTGGCTGGCCTGATGACCTTGACCCCTGCCTGCTCACAGGTCGACCAGATGAACCGCATTGTGGAGGTGCTGGGCATCCCACCGGCCGCCATGCTGGACCAGGCGCCCAAGGCTCGCAAGTACTTTGAACGGCTGCCTGGGGGTGGCTGGACCCTACGAAGGACGAAAGAACTCAGGAAGGTGCGGCCCCTGCCCCATGCCACTCCTCCCACCCCGTGGCCCCTCACTCACACTTGGGGCTCTCTCCCCCTGCTCCCTCTCCCTTGTGTCTTTCCCTTCCTTCCACTCCCCCTTGTCTGTCCTTTCCTTCCTCCCCTGCCCACCCCATCTCCCATCTCTCCTTCCCACCCCACAACTCTTCTTAGCTTTTCTTTCCACTTTCTCTCTTGTGCCTCTGTTTCCCCGTGTGTGTCTCCCTGCCCCTCCTGCCCACTGACGGCCACTCTCTTGCCCCCCCTCCCACCCCCTCCCTGCCAGGATTACCAGGGCCCCGGGACACGGCGGCTGCAGGAGGTGCTGGGCGTGCAGACGGGCGGGCCCGGGGGCCGGCGGGCGGGGGAGCCGGGCCACAGCCCCGCCGACTACCTCCGCTTCCAGGACCTGGTGCTGCGCATGCTGGAGTATGAGCCCGCCGCCCGCATCAGCCCCCTGGGGGCTCTGCAGCACGGCTTCTTCCGCCGCACGGCCGACGAGGCCACCAACACGGGCCCGGCAGGCAGCAGTGCCTCCACCTCGCCCGCGCCCCTCGACACCTGCCCCTCTTCCAGCACCGCCAGCTCCATCTCCAGTTCTGGTGGGTGCCCAGGTGCCCAAATGGGGTACAACGGGTGGGGGCTGCTCAGGTTTGGCCTGTCCTGGGGGACCTGGTTACTGGGTCTTCACACAAAGCGCCGAAACTGATCCTGAACTGTAAGATGACGTGTGGGATGGGAGAGCTCCAACTGGCCCTGACACAATCACTGAAATTGGGCTCAGAGCCCTGAAACTGGTTCTGACTCTAAAACCCAAAACTGAATTCCAACCCAGAATCTCAGAATTGGGCCCGGTGCTTCAGATGGGCTCTGCTCTTGAAGCCTGAACCTGAGCCTGGGCCGTGACCTTCCCTCAGCCATCCCAAAACCCACTCGCCACCTTCTCTCACCTTATGCCCCTTCACCTCTCCTCCCTGGCACTTCCAGGAGGCTCCAGTGGCTCCTCCAGTGACAACCGGACCTACCGCTACAGCAACCGATATTGTGGGGGCCCTGGGCCCCCTATCACAGACTGTGAGATGAACAGCCCCCAGGTAATGGGGCTTTGGGGGCTTTGGAGGTGGGTGGTGGTGCCTGGGGCTTAGAGACCAGGGTCTCCATCACCCATGGCTCCTTTGCTTTTTTAGGTCCCACCCTCCCAGCCGCTGCGGCCCTGGGCAGGGGGTGATGTGCCCCACAAGACACATCAAGCCCCTGCCTCTGCCTCGTCACTGCCTGGGACCGGGGCCCAGTTACCCCCCCAGCCCCGATACCTTGGTCGTCCCCCATCACCAACCTCACCACCACCCCCGGAGCTGATGGATGTGAGCCTGGTGGGCGGCCCTGCTGACTGCTCCCCACCTCACCCAGCGCCTGCCCCCCAGCACCCGGCTGCCTCAGCCCTCCGGACTCGGATGACTGGAGGTCGTCCACCCCTCCCGCCTCCTGATGACCCTGCCACTCTGGGGCCTCACCTGGGCCTCCGTGGTGTACCCCAGAGCACAGCAGCCAGCTCGTGACCCTGCCCCCTCCCTGGGGCCCCTCCTGAAGCCATACCCTCCCCCATCTGGGGGCCCTGGGCTCCCATCCTCATCTCTCTCCTTGACTGGAATTGCTGCTACCCAGCTGGGGTGGGTGAGGCCTGCACTGATTGGGGCCTGGGGCAGGGGGGTCAAGGAGAGGGTTTTGGCCGCTCCCTCCCCACTAAGGACTGGACCCTTGGGCCCCTCTCCCCCTTTTTTTCTATTTATTGTACCAAAGACAGTGGTGGTCCGGTGGAGGGAAGACCCCCCCTCACCCCAGGACCCTAGGAGGGGGTGGGGGCAGGTAGGGGGAGATGGCCTTGCTCCTCCTCGCTGTACCCCCAGTAAAGAGCTTTCTCACATGCCTGCCTGAGCGTTTGCAGGGCCTCGGCTCCCCTCACCCGACCCTCAGAGGCATGGTGGGGAAGGGGGTTTGCGGAGGGGGTGCTGGAGGAGCTCTGGTGTGGAGACGTCTCGTGGGGAAGCTGTGGCGCGTGTTGCAGGCATGAGTCTGCAGGTCTGGGGCATCAGCATTCTAGATAGATCGTGGACAGGATCCTGGCCTACATTTGCCTTTTCCTGGGTAAATAGACCCTGAAAGGGTAAAGGTTCAGCTCTGGCCTGTCTCTGGGAAACAGGTGCCCTAATAAGCCGGGGCGTCCGCAGACTTAGCACAAGAGTGGCTCCTCATGCCAAGCAGGCGTCCAGTAGCAGCTGAGTACACTTAGGAGGCTTTGTTGGTGCCATCTGGGGAACAGGCAGACAATAGGTACAGACTCTGTCCCCACGTGTACTGTCCAGCTCTTTGGAATCATCGCGAAACAAAGAGTTTTGAGATTCTGAGACAAAAAGATTTTCCCGGGGTTCCAGGTAAGTGGTCCTGTTTCCACGGTAATTTGGAAATGTACGTCTCCCAACCGGCCAATCAAGAGCCCAGTTCAAAGGGTACCGTCTGCCACCACTGGGGCTCGGCGCTTTGTGGGAAATGAAGTTCTACTTAGCAATCGCTTTCTGCGGTGTTCGTTGGGGAACTACAGCAACCAGAGTTCTTTTCTCTCAGGCTTGGGGGCGGGTTTTCAGGCAGCCAATGAGCAGTCTGAGGTCCCGGGGCCTGGATGTTCATGGTGTTTAGGAGAGGGAGAGAAGGCTGTGACTGGGTGGCTTTGGCGCAGGTGTTGAGGTCTCCGAGGTGTGCAGAAGGTGGGTGCGGCGCCGTCCCGGGAGAGAGTGCCGGTTGTCGCTCACAGTTCCAGAGCGGGCAGTAGACGCCGAGGCCTGAAGAGGCCCCAGCACGCGGACATCACTGGCCGCTGTGCCTGGCCCGGCTTGCGGGAAGCCCCGCTCAGTGGGAGAGACAGGCAAGACCCCGTTGCGGACCTATGTATGTTCACTAATGGAGGCGGCATGGAACGCGGTGGGAACCCGAGGAGACCTTGGTAGGAAGATCATCCCGGAAGACTAGGAGCTGTCTGAGCTGAGACCTGAAGACGGAAGGATGTTTTGGGGGTCGGGGGCGGTGTGGTGGAATGGTTTGCGCAAAGGCAGAGAGAAACAGCCTGTTGTGTGAACATGGACTGCAGGCGATCTGGTGTTGGTGATCATACTGAAAATTCTGTATGAATGAGATGTGGAAGATTTTCTTGATCATTTAGGGACCTTGGATTTTGTCCTGAGAGCAATGAAGAGCCATGGGAGGATTTTTAGTAGGGAAGGGGTACGGCCCAGTTTGCTGTGACATGAGAATAGATTAACGGGAAAGTGACTGGGGTCAGGAAACCCAGGGTGGCAGATGTGACAGATTCCTAGGCAAGAGGTGTTGGGAATGGATCAGGGCAGGGGCCACCGTAGGGAGGGCAAGAGGGGATGGGAGAGACGTCCAGAAGGTTGACAGGCTGTGTGGGAGGGGGAGGCGGAGAGGAGTGGAGAAGGGATATCTCCAGCGCGTAGAGCAGATGCTCAGTGGCTAATGTCTTGAATGAACAATCCTAGGAGGCAGGTGCTGATGTGATCTCCCATTTGTAAATGATACCTAGGACAGAAAAGTTTAGGTAACTTGACCATTATCAATACCTAGGAAGGGGAGGGCCCAGGATGTGTGTGTGTGTGTGTGTGTGTGTGTGTGTGTGTGTGTGCGCGCGTACCATTAACTTACCAAGGAGACATCAGCAGGGCCAGATCACGTAGGTCTTGTGAGGAATTTGGGAGAGGCATGGAAATGTATATGTCACTTTTTTTTTTTTTTTTTTTTTTTAGACGGAGTCTCACTCTGTCTCCAGGCTGTAGTGCAGTGGCGTGATCTCGGCTCACTGCAACCTCCGCCTCCCGGGTTCAAGCAATTCTCCTGCCTCAGCCTCCCGAGTAGCTGGGACTACAGGCACACGCCACCATGCCCAGCTAATTTTTGTATTTTTAGTGGAGACTGGATTTCACCATGTTGGCCAGGATGGTCTTGATCTCTTGACCTTGTGATCTGCCTGCCTCGGCCTCCCATTATGTGTCACATTTCTATGTCCATCCCAGAATCTCTCCCCTGAGCTCCTGACTGGCTGCCTTCCTCATAACCTGTTGGTAATCTAGAGGTATCTCCAGAGTAATTTTGATCAAATTGAGCTCCTGCTCCTTTCCCCAAAATTTTTTCCCTGCATGTTCATCTCAGTAAATGCTCCCCCCATCCTCTCCAGGCCCAAACCACTGGAATTGTCCTTTACTCCTCTTTCTGTCTTATATTCATGTCTGTCAGCTAATATACCTGACCACTTCTCCCCACCTTCACTCCTGTCCACCCTTATCTCCTTCACAGACCATTATGGCAGGCTCCTCAGTGATCTCTCTGCTCTCACCCCTGCCCCCAGAGTGTTCCTTACATGCAGCTGGAGGGATGCTGTGAGCACCTGTATCAGGTCATATCCCTCCCCCGCTCAGAACACTTCCAAGGCTACATCTTGCTCGGGGTAAAACCCAGAGTCCTCTGCAAGGCCCTGCATTGTCTGCCCTCATCACCTCTCTGACATCATCTACTCTTCTTACTCCCTGTGCTCCAGCCACACTGGCCCGAGGGCCTTTGTGCTTGCTCTTTTCTTTGCCTAAAGAACTCATCTATCAAATAGCCCAGACTTGTTCCTTCCTCTTTAGGTCTCTCCTGAGATGTCACTGCCTTCCTGAGATCTTCCCTCACCACCCTTCTAAATTTGTGACTTATAGTCACATCTATCTTTGCTTCTTTAACTTTATCCTTAGCATTAATCATATTACTGTTTAACACTCTGTAGAATTTATCTGTGTTTATGGTCTGTCTCCCCTGACCCTTACCTCTAGGAGACTGTTGACTTCATCAGGGAAGGGGCTTTTGTCTACTTCCTCCGTTATCTCCAACACATAGAAAAGTGCTTGGCACACAGTTAGGGCTCAGTAACTACTTATCAAATAAACTATTGAAGAGCACATATCTGGATCCCAGCATGGCGGGGACTCTGCCGATCCCCTTTCTACAGAACTCCAAGGAGCTGCCTTAAAGTTTTCTGAGGGCTCAAGATATTCAACAAGTATTTCACCTTGCCTCTTCTTTCTCCTCAGCATTGGGAACACAGAAGAGAACAAAATATTCCCCTACCCCTATAGAACCTACAGTAATAGGGACAGTAATTTAGACTATCAAATAATCACACGTGTGAAATTACCAAGAAAGGTAGAGAGTGTTATAAGAATACTTGATAGGAAATCAAATCCGGATCCTAGGAAATGAGGTTTGAGGTGATGAAGGAGTAGGCATTAACTCCTTTAAGAGATAAGAGTTTGGGATGGTTGGAGCCTAGAGGCTGATGCAGAGCAAGAGGTCAGACCTTGTGTATGCCATAAGGAGTTTGGGTGTTTACCCCACATGTAGTGGGAAGTTGTAGAATTTTAAGCTGGGGACAGGAGCGTGGTCAGGTGTTTGTGTGTGTGTGTATGTGTGTGTGTGTGTTTCCTTCTAAAATTCTTCACACTAAAGTGTACTTTAAAAGACTCCTCTGGCTTCTGTGTGGGGAATTGACTATAAGGCATTAAGGATTAAAGTAGGGAGACCAGTGACAAGGCTGTTACTGTGGAATTAAAATAGCTGTGATTGAAGACAGCCACACATTCTTTGCTGTTTTTCCTATCAAGAGGTGGAGTCTCCTTCCTTCTCCTTATATCTGAGCTGGCCCTGAGATTTGTTTTGACCAATAGAATACAATGAAAGCAGGCTGGGTGCGGTGGCTCATGCCTGTAATCCCAGCACTTTGGGAGGCTGAGGCAGGTGAATCACTTGAGGAAAGGAGTTCGAGACCAGCCTGACCAACATGGAGAAACCCTATCTCTACTAAAAATACAAAAAAAAAAAAAAAAATAGCCAGGTGTGGTGCACTCCTGTAGTCCCACCTACTCTGGAGGCTGAGGCAGGAGAATCACTTGAACCCGGGAGGTGGAGGTTGCAGTGAACCAAGATCATACCACTGCACTCCAGCCTGGGTGACAGAGTGAGACTCTTTCTCAAAAAAAAAAAAAAAAAAATACAATGAAGATGATGCTGTACTAAATGGAGGCCTAGGCTTTAAGAGACCTGGCAGATTCTGCTTCTACTCTTGGAGCCCTGCCCTTTCTATAGATCTGCCCCAGCCCGCGGCTGTTCCAACTTTTAGCTGATGTGCAGGCGTGCAAGTGATGCCATCTTGGGATGGCCTAACTCCCATTCCAGTTGACACCATGTGGAGTAGGAATGAACCATCTCAAATCCCCTGACCCTTTGAGCCTTGTCCAAATTGCAGAATCATGAGCAAAGAAATGGTTGCTATTTTATGCCCCTGTGGCTTAGGATGCTTTGTTACACAGCAATAGCTAACTGAAACAAGCTAATATTTTTTTAAGATCTTACCATTTTATGTATTAGCTCATTTAATCCTCAGTCACCGTATGTGGTACTACTACTGTTCCCATTTTACAAACGAGGAAATGAAGGCACACAGAAGCTAATAAAGTACTAGTAAAGCGCCTGGCACAAAGCACTGAATATGTGATAGCTATTATTATCAGCATCATGTTCATCAGCATTACAATTTTCACAATTGTTGAAGAAGTGGCGGTCAGATGAATAAACACATTAGTAACCCACTTCCACTTCTTTTTCTTCTTCTTCTTCTTCTTTTTTTTTGTTTTTAAACAGGGCCTGACTCTGTCACCCTGGCTGGAGTCACTGCAGCCTAGACCTCTTGGGCTCAGGTGATCCTCCTGCCTCAGTCTCCTGAGTACTTGGGACCACAAGCATGCACCACCACACCTGGCTAATTTTTGTATTTTTTGTAGAGATGGGGTTTCACCATGTTTCCTAGAGTGCTCTCGAACTCCTGGGCTCAAGTGATCCACCAACCTTGGCCTCCCAAAGTGCTGAGATTACAGGCGTGAGCCACTGCGTCCAGCCAACCCACTTCTTAGTGATGTGATTTTAGCCATTTTCTTGGAAGGACTAGTAGAGAGATGGAAAGACATCGAGTCTTTGGTGATGTTGTTGAAGTGCTGGATCAGGCCTCACTTGGAGTGAGTTACCTCTAGACTTTCTCATTAGGGAATTCAACATATCTCTATCGTTTAAGCCAACTATATTGTTGAATTGAGTTTTCTATTACTTAGAATCAACAATATCCTAACTGATTCCAGGGTTTTCTTATTTGTTGAGTCATCAGATCTGGCTATTTACTACATGCCAAGCATTTTTAGGTGCTGGTATTATTAATAGTAGCAAACAAGACCCCCGAAAGCCCTGTCCTCCTGGAGCCTGCATTCCAGTGGGCAAGATGAATGCTAATATTAGTGAACAGAGCTGTAGAAGTTGAGGGTTGGAAGACTAGAGAGTGGGAAGAGGTGCTATTTTAGATAGAGGGGTTAAAGAAGACCTCTTTGAGAAAAACGTTAATGGACCTCACAGAAAGGGAGGACACCAGCTGGCTGTATGTATATTCTGGGAAGAAGGACATTCCAGGTAGAAAAAACCAGCAAATTCAAAGGCCCCGAGGCATGCTTGGTGTGCTGGAGGAGCAGAAAGGAGTGAACTGGACCTGACTGGACACAGTGGGAGGGAAGGAGACCAAGGCAAGGTCAGGTGGGACCGGGAGGCCATGGGAAGGACTTGAATTTGAAGCTGATGAGATGTGTGGCAGGGAGAGCATGGTGAGCTGAGGCGATGTGATCTACCACGGTAAGAGGGTTCCTCTGGCTCCCATGTGGCTACTAGGGTGGAAGCAGGATGCCAGTGAGGAGGCCACTGTGCAGTCCAGCTGAGATGATAGTGGCTTGGCCAGGGTGCTAACGGGGCGGTGGGGAGATGTGGTCAGATTTTGCATATAATTTGAAGGGAGAATCAGGTATGTAGGGTAAGAAAGAAGAGTCAAGGACCACACTATGGCGTTTAGTCTGCACAGAGGAAGGAGGGAGTGCCATTAACTGTATGGACAAGACTGAGAGAGAGTGTGGGCGTGTTTAGCCTCTGACTGGACCCACTGGCCAAACAGGAGCTTATACAAGACTGGCATTGAAGGGTGAGATCTGGGCTGGGAGTAGTTGGCATATTTATGGTATTAAAGCCCAGGATGGGATCACTAAGGGAGGGTGTATAGATGGAAGTGTGGGCTGAGAATGAGAGCAGGGAGGCCCGTGAGGAGGTTGCTGCAATAATCTAGGTGAGATGACAGTGGCCTGTACCAGGGCAGGGGCAGAATGAGTAGTCATTGGAGTCTGGGTGCATTTTGAAGGCAGAACTCACTGTGATTGGTTGTGGGTAGTGATGGAAAGAACCTGACAAGGGCTTCATGAGAACAGAATAGAAGCAGAAGTGAGACAGTGGTGTGACATTCCTCCTTTCCACTGGGCCCTGTGGTCTCTGCTTCTCTTTGCATTGGCTGCTTCCTGTTCTCAGGCAGCTGGGTTGGTCCTGGGTGGACTCTTGCCCCCACTCTATGTGATCTTCCAGCTCAGTTACCCGCAGCCCCTCAGTCTTCATTCCGAATTTCCCAGATAGGAATGGGATTTCCAGGGTCGGGTATCCAACCCTGCTCAACTCACTGGAGCTGGAGGGTTCCTATAGTGATGACTGTCTGCTCAGAAGGGCTGTGGACTGGGCAGGCCCCCCAAACATTCACAGTCACCATGTGTTTCTGACACTTGGTGTACAGGGCGGACATGTGGGTGGGCAGGTGTGGCAGGGGTTGGAGATGATTTGACCCTCTTTTGGCTGATGGGTGAGACAGACCATTTATATTGCCTCAGATGTGTCCTGGATTGAGCAAACAGGAAAGGGGATACCAGGAAGGTGGATCTGGCAGGCCTTGGGCTGTGAAGCGTTAAGGGTCAGTTGGGAGGATTCAGGCGCAGCTTCTGCCTGTTCATGGGTATTCCCAGAGGAGTCAGGGAGACACGCATTACTCTCAACTCAAGAGAGACACAGCAATGGCTGAGACACAGCAATGGCTGAGACAGCCTCCACCTTGCCCTCGCAAAGCTCACAGTCCAGTGGGGAAGACAACCCCAACGGCAGACAGTGACCAGGGCTGGGATGGGGAGGCAGAGGGGTTGGGGCCAGGATAGGGGAGCCACAGGGGGACTGTGGGAGCCAGAGGCAGCTCCTGACCCAGTCTGTGGTGTCAGGTGGGACTTCCTGGCGTGGGGAGCATGTAAGATGAGATCTGAAGGATGAGTCAAACAAAGCGTGCTTTGGAACTCCGCGGGGGACCACCTCGAGCCATATTGCAGAGGAGACTTAAAGTTTTGTGAACGTTTTAAAATTTAATAATTTTAGATTTACAGACAAGTTGCAAAGATGATACAGGGACTTCCCTATACCTACACCCAACTTCCACCTAGTGTTAGCATCTTACATAATTATTGTATATTTGTCAAAACTGAGAAATTAACATGGATTAATATTCTGTTAAACTCCAGACTTGAATCCTATTTCTCCTGTTTTTCCATTAATGTCCTTTTTCTGTTCCAGGATCCAATCCAGGATACCATGTTGCATTTGTTGGTCATTTCTCGTTGGCCTCCTCCAATCTGTGACAATTTCTCAGTCCTTCCTTGTTTTTCATGACCTTGACAGTTCTGAGGAGTACTGGTGAGATGTTTTTGTAGAATGGCCCTCAGTCTGAGGTTGTCTGACATTTTGCTCGTGGTTAGACTGGGATTTTAGGCTTTGGGAAGAATGCTCACTGAGGTGAGGTTAACCTGATCACTTCATGAAAGTGGTGTCTGCAGATTTCCCAACGATAATACCACTATTTTCCCTTTACTCATTTGTTAGAAGCAAGTCACTAAATCCAGCCCACACTCAGAGGAGAGCTAAGCCTGATTCCTGGAGGGAAATAGGGAGATACTTGGAGGCTGCACAAATATCCCATTTCTCCTTCAAGTTTACCCACACATTTTAGCATTCATCAGTGGACCCGGTCTGTAGCAGTTATTACCGTGATATTATAATGATGACTTTCTGTTTCCCTCATTTCTTTACATTTACTATTTAGAATTCCATATGGAAGATTTGTCCCTTCTATCATACTTCACTTATTTTATTTATACAATCATTAGTTTATTTCCGTGTGGACTCATGAATATTTATTAGTTGGGCATACCCCAACATTATTGTAATCAATTTTTTTTTTGCTCAAGTTGTTTTAGCCTTGGCCATCAGCGTTTATCTTTCAGGTTGGCTCCTGTGTTCTTTACTCTTTTTTTTTTCTCCAACACCTTCTTACTTTCTGGCACTGCAAGATATTCCAGGCTCATGTATTCTCCCTGCACCAGCCCTAGAATTAGCTCTTCCTCTAGAGTCACTGGTTCTTTTCATTGGAGAATGGTGTGTAAAAATAAGCATGAGTTCATACTGATACTCTGACACTAGTCTAGTACCAGAGGGTTCATTCTCACCATCCCCCCCTTGCTTTCTTTATAACTCCTTCCTCTGCCAGTGAGAAGCCTGGCTCAGTGGGCTCTTTTTGGTGCTCATCTTATTGGTCATCTTGGCAAAAATCGGCTGTGGTGACCCTGCCTGCCTTCTGTGAGCACACCCTCCCCTTAGTTTCTGTGAGTCTGCTATCCCCTGACATTTCCTCTACGTTTTGCTTCCTTGCGGGCTCCTCTGTTTTCACCAGTCTGTTAAATGTGGTGGGGCTATGTTCTCTCTTCTCACCTTGGGGCCACCTTACCCTCTTTCATGGTCTGTTTCCTATCTCTGTGCAGATGACACACTCTGTCCTTAGCCCTGACCTCTACTCTGAGCCCTAGACCTGGAGGATCCGGAGGCCTCATGGACAATCCCCCAATCCCAACTGGGCAATCCTTGGGCCCTTAACACTCACCATGTCCCAGATTCCAAACATGCTCTCTCAGCCTTTGTCTCAGGGGTGGCCCCTCCAGGCTCCAGGTTCTCAGAGGGAGCCATGGGCCTCATTCTGAATGCCTCCCTCCCATCCCTGCCCCCCGTCCAGCCCATCAGCTTCCAGGGCTTGTCCTCTGGGACTGCTGGACATCTCTCACATCTTCTCCCTTCTCCCATTTTCCACTCTGCCTTGGTCCAACCCGGTCCTCTCCCACCTTGTCTCTGCCTGTCCTCCTCCCTGGGCTCTTGGCCTCCCATCTCACCATTTAACGCAATTAAACCTGTTGTAGGGGGAAAAGTAAACAGGAAAATAAATCACATTATGTGTCAGCTTAAGATGAAAACAACTTTCAGGAATCACTTTATTACTTTAAAAAATCTACAGCAGTAGGAAGAAAACTGAGGCTCATTTCTCTTTACACTAGGGTTGTCACACCAGAGTGAAATTTTAAGGATCACTTGTAAGCTTCCTTTTGAGTCACATTGATTAAGAGAATCTTCTATATTAATTATCACAATTATCCTTATAAACATGACTTACAAGGTATCTAAAAAATGTCTCACAAGCATTTAGAACAACTGAATTGTATAAAAGGATTTTGTATGTGCAAGAGGGAAGTTAACTAGATTATTAATACTGGCATTGGGAGAATTCTTCCACTCTGATATCAGTGGCTGTTGGCACAGTGAGTTCAGTAAAGAGACTATTAGTGGGCTGGGAACGGTGGCTCATGCCTGTAATCCTAGCACTTTGGGAGGCCGAGGCAGGCGGATTGCTTGAGCTCAGGAGTTTGAGACCAGCCTGGGCAACATGGTGAAACCCCGTCTCTACTAAAATACAAAAGAAATTAGCCGGGCATGGTGGCGTGCACCTGTAGTCCCAGCTACTCAGGAGGCTGAGGCAGGAGAATTGCTTGAACTCGGGAGGTCAAGGTTGTAGTGAGCCGAGATCGCACCACTGCACTCCAGCACTCCAGCCTGGGTGACAGCAAGACTCTGTCTCTACAAAAAAAAAAAAAAAAAAAAAAGAAAGAGAGACTATTAGCGGATGTGCTTTGGGACATTTTGCAGTTCTAAGCCTGGCTAGCATAGGCTTTCACAGTAACTGCCCACATTTGTATGGTGCCTTCTTCATGCCAGGCACTCTTCTAAACCCCCAGCTTGCATACATCCAGTAATCCTCACATACCCCTTAGGAGGTAGCTACTGTTATTATCCCAGGTTTTCAGTGAGGCATTTAGAGTTTAAATCAGTTACTTCAGGTTCCATAGCTAGTAAGTGCCTGCAACAGGATTTGAACCTAGGAGTCTCAGTTCTATCATGTGTGCCTTTAACCACCTTCCTCCTTGACTCTATTCTGAAAGGAGAAACTCATATTTCTGATCTTACAGTTTCTTCCTTTGGAAGAGGGGCTTAAATTGCTTTCTTTTCCAGCGACTAGAAACCTTTCAACATCACCAATTATTTGTAAAGAAAAACATTTTTAAAATGCTGGGCACCATGACTCATTCCTGGAATCCCAGCACTTTGGGAGGTCAGGGCAGAAGGATTGCTTGGGGTCAGGAGTTAAGACTGGCCTGGGCAGCATAGTGAGACCCCTTTCTCTACAATAACTAAAAAAATTGCTGGGCATGGTGGTGCAAGCCTGTTGTCCCAGCTACTTGGGAGGCTGAGGCAGGAGGATCGCTTAAGCCCAGGAGGTTGAAGCTGCAGTGAACTAGGCAGTGATCGTGCCACTGCACTCCAGCCTGGGTGACAGAGCAAGACTCTATCTCTAAAAAGAAGAAGAAAAAGTAAAACACTTTTAACTTATTTTAAGGGAAAATTTCAAACATACATAAGAGCATAGAGAAGAGGCTGATGAACTCCTACGTTCTCATCACTAGCTTCTGCAGTTACCAGCATATGGCCACTGTTGCTTAATCCATACCTTGCACATCTTTTTCTGCTGCTCAGATTTATTTATTTATTTATTTATTTATTTATTTATTTATAGACAGAGTCTCACACTGTTGCCCGGGCTGGAGTGCAATGGCACGATTTCTGCTCACTGCAACCTCCGCCTCCCAGGTTCACACAATTCTCCTGCCTCCTGAGTAGCTGGGATTACAGGCGCACACCACCACACCTGGCTAATTTTTTTGTATTTTTAGTAGAGACAGTTTCACTATGTTGGCCAGACTAGTCTTGAACTCCTGACCTCATGATCCGCCTGCCTCAGCCTCCCAAAGTGCTGGGATTACAGTTGTGAGCCACCGTGCCCGGCCTCAGTTATTTTTAAAGCAAATCTAGATATGTTTTGTTAAGGGATTTTTAAATTTTCCTAAAAAAAGATAACCTGCAATTTCTTGCCCCAAGTCATTCCCTACTGACAAATTGCCCATCTTCCTGATTCTCTGATCCCCTCCTTTCTCCTCATTTTCCAAATTCAGACAAGTCTGTGCATGGGGTGATATCACCGCACCAGCTCTGTCCCTGGCTCATTTTCTGTAACCCTATACTCCAGGCGTTTCTCCACATTTCTCTGAAGCCTGAAAACGATCCTTCTTAATGACCATGAATGGGCTGGAGTTGCTTGGCAATCCTGTCCTCTGCAATAGGACATTTAATCTGCTTGTGGCCTTTCGCCATGGTGGTGGCCTCTTCCCTTATTTGGGTTATTTTTCTGGATCCCTTTCCACTCAAATCGGGTCAGACCTTCCCTGACACTCCTTGTACACTGCAAATTCACATTAAGCATATTATGTTTCACATAGTCCAAATGAAACAGTGATTTGGCTACTCATTTATTAACTGTCTGGGAGTTCCAGCAGGGTCAGAATCAGGTCTGTCTGTACCGTCGGTGAGTCCTCAACATCACCCAGCACAGGGCCTGGCACTCAGTAGGTGCTCAGTAACCATGCGCTGAATGAATGAGTAAATGAAGGAGTGAATGAATGATTGCCAACCTCAATAGCTGGACATTTATCATGAGGGCAGTAGGAAGCCACAGAAGTATTTTAGGCAGAACTGGACCCATTTCTCTCAAACTCTGATGTGCATCTGGGATTTTGAATGTAGATTCCGCTTCGGTGGGTTGAGGAAGGGGCCTGAGATTCTGCATTTCAAGCTCCCAAATGATGCCAAGGCTTTGAGTAGCAAAGGTGTTGCCCTGCTCTTCAGTACAGTACAGGAGCCACTGGCCACATGTGGCTCCTGGGCACTTGAAATGTGGCTCGTGTGACTTGAGATATATTTTAAGCATAAATACCCACCAGAGTTAAAGACTTGGTACAAAAAAAATGTTTTATATTGATCACATACTGATATGGTAATATTTTGGATATATTGAGTTAAATAAAATATATTATTAAAATTACAATTAATTTTATGGTTTTTTTAATTGGGCTATTAGAAAATGTTTAATTAGCTTTGCAGCTCACATGTATGGCTCGTGTTACTCTTCTGTTGGATCATGCTGGTCTAGAACACTCCCGACTCCCTGTCACCTGTGGGCATTTGTACGTGCTTCTCCCTCTTTTTGGAGCACCCTTCTTTCACCCACCTCCCCACAACTAATTCCATACACTGTTCAGGTCTCAGTAAAGGTGTCTCCTTTAGGAAGCCCCCTTGGTCCCCCAGGGTGGGTGGGGGGCCCGTTCTGAGCTTCCACAGCTCCTGGGGTTTCTCCCATCCCAGCCTTGACCCATCTGTCTGCCTCTCCCCTGTCCCACCTTGACCAGCTGTGATGTCAGCATCTCTGCGTCTGTCTCATCTTTGGACAATAAATCCATGAGCATGGGGGCAGAGTCTATCTTGGTTGCCACATTATCTGCAGAGCCTGGCACACAGTCAGTGAATATACTGCATTAATAAATGACACGTGAGATGTGGGTCGTGCACATTTCACAACTGGACTGTGAAGCCAGCCTCAGAGGCCTCATTTTGATGGCCCAGCCACCAGCACAGCATCTCCTGCTGCTTCGACTCCTGCTGGGCGTGCAGTAGCCATGCCATGGATCACATCTGCCTTCTGTAGAATTGCTCTGCCCACCTGTCTCTGAGCTACCCTGTAGCTCCTCTCAGGATTTGCCCTTTACCAATGGCACATTCCTGAACGGGGGCTTGGTCTTTTCTTTGTTAAGTTATATCAGTTTTGGGTACAACATAGATTGTGATAAAGAGATTTTTTTTTTCTCCAGAGATTTCTTTTATTTAAATTGCATAGAAACATTGCTTTAAATAAAGTAATTTTAAAAATAGTCTGTCGGTCTTTTCCTTTGAGATTCTTTGGTTGCTTCAGTAGTTTTGTAATTGACATGAAAAGATGTTCCAACTCATCCCTAATCAGAGCAAGACAAAGATCAGGAAACTGAAATCCACTTCCTCTCCTTCCAGCTTGCTTGTTCAAGTACCACCTCTGCTTCCAGCGCAACCTCCAGGCCACGTTCCCACACTCTCCCTGTCCATCATGGCTCTCCTTTTTCCATCCCACCCTGCCCACTGTCCCCTACCAATTATAGATTCATCATTACAGTCACCCTCTAAATTCCCTTCCTCCTCAATCGTTTGGTCCCAGCCATCTGACTAAAAGCCAGCCCCTAATTATATGGAACATCTAAAGAAAAAAAGGCCACACTAAAATTCTGTTTCACAGCCTCAAATTGACAAAAGTTAAGATGGCTGTAGGTGAGGATGGGGATTCACAGGACATCTCATATGTTGCTGATGGGAGTTCAAATTAGTACAACCCTCTGGGAAGTAGTTTGTTGTTATTTTGAAAAACTGAACCAAATTGAAAATCTGAATCCCATATGCTTGGCACTCCTAGGTCCTTACCCAAGAAGAGATATTTGACCACATGCATCGATTGAGATGTTAAAGTTCATAGTATCTCTTCTCAGCCTTTGGCTAAGATCAAGTATACAAAGTTCATCTGTCAACTTTTGTATGCTTTTGTAAAGCATTTATCTGATAGCAAAAAGAAACACATCTGATGTCCATTTAAAGGAGAATTGATAAATTTTAGTATATCTCACATGACGGACAATTACACAGCAGTGAAAATGAAGGAACAACAGATGTACAAGAAAAAGATGAATTTAGGCTGGGCATGGTGGCTCCTGCTTGTAATCCCAGCACTTTGGGAGGCTGAGACGGGAGGATTGCTTGAGGCCAGAAGTTCAAGACCAGCCTGGGGAACATGGTGAAACCCTATTTCTACAAAAAATGCAAAAATTAGCTGGGCTCAGTGGCGTGTGCTTGTAGCTCCAACTACTCGGGAGGCTGAAGTGGGAGGGTCGCTTGAGGCCTGGAGGTCGAGGATGCAGTGAGCTATGATCCTGGACACTGCACTCCAGCCTGGGCAAGAGGGTGAGAGTCTGTCTCAAAAAAAAAAAAAAAAGAAAAAAAAAAAAGAATTACAGAAACATAATGTGAATAAAACAAAAGACTCCATATAGGATGATACTATTTATAAAGCTCAAAGCCAAGCAAAAGGAAACATTTTTAAGCATACAAAAATATGTGATAAAACTGTATCTTAAAATCACAAGGGATGAGGGAAACTTTTGGGATTTATTGCATTTTATACTTAAAGTGGATATATTTTATTGCATGTAAATTATATCTCAATAAAGTTGAATCACAAAAAGAGAGAGAGGCTAGAGCAGACTCCCTGTTCTGTCCCTGGAAATGCCGTGTAAGCGGGTGATGCCGGGGCGGTGGCCACCATCTGGTGATGCAGGTGTCATGCTGAAGATGGCAGTGCAGAAAAGACAAAGGACCTAAGTTCTTGATAATGTCACTGAACCACCTAAGGGACTTTGCTTTCTTCTATGCTATATCTCCAGATCCTGGAACAGTGCCTGACAATGGGTTGGTACTCATGTATTTTTAAATAAAATTTTTACTGAAGTAGAACTAAAATGTTTGAATAGATAAATTAATGAATTTAACAACCCTGGAACCCACCTCTGCTTTTCTTGCTATGTGAAACAATGCAGTTCCTTTTTTGTTCAGCCCCTTTTGGTTTTTTTTTTTTTTTTTAGACGGAGTTTTGCTCTTGTTGCCCAGGCTGGAGTGCAGTGGCATGATCTTGGCTCACTGCAACCTCTGCCTCCTGGGTTCAAGCGATTCTCCTACCTCAGCCTCACGAGCAGCTGGGATTATAGGCATGCAACACCATGCCTGGCTAACTTTTTGTATTTTTTTTTTAAGTAGAGATGGGGTTTCCTCACGTTGGCCAGGCTGGTCTTGAACTCCGGACCTCAGGTGATCCACCCGCCTCGGCCTCCCAGAGTGTTGGGTTACAGGTGTGAGCCACTGCACTGCTGATTTGGGGCCATTTAGCTGCAGTCAAACACATGTTAACTAGTGATCCACATGATACACACGTTAAAACTAACATTTTAGGAGGCACCTACTATGCATCAGGACCTGCGTTGCAGGCTTTAACTGCATGAATCCTTACAACATCCCTGCGAGGTTGGTTCCAGGTCCCCCATTTTACCGAGTGGGCTCTAAAAGAGACCACAGATTATCATGCTTGGTCTTGCCATCCATTGGAAGCCTTCTGTGCCCAGACACACTGCTGTTTCCACCCATCACTTTTAAGAGATTTCCAACATTGCAGTCATACATTTAAGATCAGGAGAAAGTTGTCGATATTTACAGAAGCTGTTGGAGGCAGCCCACGGTTTAAGTTATCTACTGCTACACCAAATTTTGCTGTTGAAAACAACTTAATTATTATCACTCATGGTTCTCCAGGTTGACTAGGCTCAGCTGGGCGGTTCTCATGCCATTGCAGTTGGATATCAGCTGGGACCACAGTTATCTAAAGGCCCCACTCTGAAGGTCAAGATGGCTCACTCACATGGCTGGAAGCTGATGCTGGCTGTGGCCTGGAATGCCAGACATAACCTCTCCAGGTGACTTGGGCCTCTCACAGTGTGATGACTGGGTTCCGAGAGGGAGCATTCCAAGACTGAGCTTTCCAAAAAGCTCAATCAGAAGCCACACATCTTATGCTCTAGCCTCGGAAGTCCCAGAATGCCACTTCCTCTGAATTATATTGGTCAAGTAAGTCACTAAGGGCAACCTGGATTCAAGCCAAGGTATGCCAACCATCCCTTGATGGGAGGAGCAGTATGTGTGCCCCGCCAGGGATCTATTTTTTTTTTTTAACAGTCACTGCAACCTCCACCTCCTGGGTTCAAGCGATTCTCGTGTCTCAGCCTCCCAAGTAGCTGGGATTACAGGTGCCCGCCACCACACCCAGCTAATTTTTGTATTTTTAGTAGAGATAGGGTTTTACCATGTTGGTCAGGCTGGCCTCGAACTCCTGACCTCAGGTGATCCACCTGCCTTGGCCTCCCAAAGTGCTGGGATTAGAGGCATAAGCCACCGCGCCCGGCCTTCACCAAGTGTCTATTTACGCTGACTTTTTGCAGTCAGTTATGACTCATCACCAAGAACTACCTAGCACCAAACCCCTTCTTTTCTTGCTTCTCTTTCTCTCCACGGTGCCACCCCCTCTCCAGGGCTCTTGGCTGCAATCTTCATCTGGCATCAAGCTTTCTGATGGGAGGGCCAGAAGTGGCTTAAGTTTCATGTTTTTTTTTACTATATCCTGACTTTTTCTCTGATGTCCTCTAGCTTTGAAAATTTTACCTGTTTTTTTCTTAAGTAAGCTTTTCAAAATTATTTTTAATTTTTCCATTTTTGTGGGTACATAGTAGGTGTACATATTTTTGGGGTCCAGGAGATATTTTGGTATAGGTGTGTGTGTAATAATCACATCAGGGTACATGGGGCATCCATCACCTCAAGCATTCATCATTTCTTTGTGTTATGAACACTCCAATTGTACTCCCTCAGTTATTCTAAAATGTACAACAAATCAGTTCTGACTGTAGTCACCCTGTTGTGTTATCAAATACTAGATACTCATTTTGTCGAACTGTATTTTTGTACCCATTAACTATCTCCACTTCCTCTCCCCTCTACTACCTTTCCCAGCCTGTGGCAGCTATCCTTCTACTCTCTATCTCCATGAGTTCAGTTGTTACATTTTAGCTCCCACAAATGAGTTAAAATATGTCAAGTTTGCCTTTCTGTGCCTGGCTTCTGTCACTTAATATAATGTCCTCCAGTTCTATCCATGTCATTGCAAATGACAGGATCTCATTCTTGTTTATGGCTGAATAGTACTCCATTGTGTATATGCACCACGTTTTCTTTATCCATTCATCTGTTATGGACACTTAGGTTGATTCCAAATTTGGGCGCTTGTAAACAATGATGCAACAAACATGGGAGTGGAGATGTCTCTTCCATATACTGATTTTCTTTCTTGTGGATATATACCTAGCAGTGGGATTCTGCCAGGATCATATGGTAGTTCTATTTTCAGTTTTTCTTTTTCTTTTTCTTTTTTTTTTTTTTTTTGAGATGGAATCTCGCTCTGTTGCCTGGCTGTAGTGCCGTGGTGCGATCTCTGTTCACTGCAACTTCTATCTCCATGGTTCAAGCAATTCCCCTGCCTCAGCCCCCGGAGTAGCTGGGATTACAGGCACACACCACCATGCCCAGCTAATTTTTTTGTGTTTTTAGTAGAGACGGGGTTTCACCATGTTAGCCAGACTGGTCTTAAACTCCTGACCTCAGGCAACCCACTCGCCTCAGCCTCCCAAAGTGCTGGGATTACAGGCATGAGCCACTGCGCCCAGCTATTTTCACTTTTTCTGAGGAACGTCTATACTGTTCTCCGTAGTAGCTGTACTGATTTACATTCTCACCAACTGTGTACGAGGGTTCCTTTTTCTCCACCTCCTCACTAGCATTTGTTATTGCCTGTCTTTGGGATGAAAGCCATTTTACTTGGGGTGAGATGATATTGTAATTCTGATTTGCATTTCTCTGATGATCAGTTATGTTGAGCACCTTTTCATGTGCCTGTTTGCCATTTGTATGTCTTCTTTTGAGAAATGTCTATTCAGATCTTTTGGCCATTTTTAAATAAGTTTATAAGTTTTTTTTTCTTATTGAGTTGTTTGAGCTCCTTTTATATTCTGGTTATTAATCCCTTGTCAGATGGAGAGTTTGCAAATATTTTCTCCCATTCTGTAATACATGTTTGGTGTACAATTGAATACATTTTCACATCTCATTCAGTGGCTGGGATACTGAGGTGAGTAAGACAGATTGTTACCTGTCCTTGTGGAATTTGTGGTCATGGTAATAGTCTCTGAAGATGGTCCTGGTTTTCTGGGGGTTTTCAAGACAAACATTTTAGGTGCAGGAAAATATTAGAAAGTCTATTTACAACCACTTTTTTTTTTTTGATATGGAGTCTTACTCTGTTGCCCAGGCTGGAGTGCAGTGGCACCGTCTCGGCTCACTGCCACCTCCGCTTCCTGGGTTCAAGAGATTCTCCTGCATCAGCCTCCTGAGTAGCTGGGAATACAGCAGCGTGCCACCACAAGCGGCTAATTTTTTTTGTATTTTTAGTAGAGACAGGGTTTCACCATGTTGGTCAGGCTGGTCTCAGACTCCTGACCTCGTGATCTGTCCGCCTCGGCCTCCTAAAGTGCTGGGATTACAGGCGTGAGTACAACCAATTTTGTCTCATCCTTTAAGCATTTCTGTCTTAGCGCATGTTTTATATTGTGCCTATTAATACTGTACAGTTTGTAAATTACCACTGTATCTGTATATATGTACACGCACACATACATACAGCGGAGATGCAGCTCATGGATGTGATAAAAAATCTTTGAGGACGGCCGGGCGCGGTGACTCACGCCTGTAATCCCAGCATTTTGGGAGGCCGAGGCGGGCAGATCACCTGACGTTAGGAGTTCGAGAACAGCCATGGTCAACATGGTGAAACCCCGTCTCTACTAAAAATACAAAAAATTGGCCAGGTGTGTTGGTGGGCACCTGTAATCCCAGCTACTTGGGAAGGCTGAGGCAGGAGAATTGCTTGAGCCTGGGAGGCAGAGGTTGCAGTGAGCTGAGATCCGCCATTGCACTTCAGCCTGGGCAACAAGAGTGAAACTCTGCCTCAAAAAAAAAAAAAAAAAAAAATTGAGGACTTCTGTCCTAGAGTGGAGGGTAGACACATAACCTGGACAATTTAAGGTAAGGTAATATTTACTATAATAGAGGTATCACTAGGCCTCATGGAGCTGAGAGAGCAGAGGTTATTGAGGGAGTGTAGGATGTCATTAGTGGTTTTGTGAAGGAGAGGACAGTAAAGCTAAGATTTGAAGGAATTAATGGAAGTCTGGAACTCTGGAAATGACATTGTGGTGTAGTTTAAAAATTAGGCAACTGGGTTGGGCACAGTGGCTCACACCTGTAATCCCAACACTTTGGGAGGCCGAGGTGGGCAGATCACTTGAGGCCAGGAATTCGAGACCAGCTTGACCAACATGGTGAAACCCCCTCTTTACTAAAAATACAAAAGTTTGCCAGACGTGGTGGTGCACACCTGTAGTCCCAGCTACTCGGGAGGCTGAGGCACGAGAATGGCTTGAACCTGCGAGGCGGATGTTGCAGTGAGCTGAGATTGCACCACTGCACTCCAGCCTGGGCAACAGAGCAAGACCCTGTCTCAAAAAGAAAAAAATTATGCAACTGGCTGTGAGCAGCATGCAGATTTAAAAAACACAGCACTAATAGCCCCCCAGAATCCCCCGCATGCCTTCCTTCCAGTCATTGCCTCCCTGTGGCATATTATTTTACAAAAAGGACGGTGACAATCAATGTCTCCCATTCCCCCTGCTCTTCTGATCATGTACCACTCCCATTCCAAGAGCTGGAGTCTGTAACCACTCCTCTTGATCCTAGGCATCAAGACAACCAGGAGAGTATGGTAGAAATGACACTATGTGACTTCTGAGGCCAGGTCACAAAAAGGCAACACAGCTTCTGCCTGGTTCTCTTTCTTGAAATGCTCACCCTTGGAAACAAATTGGTATGGAAGGAAGCCCAGGCCGCATGGATGGTTCACATGAGTGTATTCTGGCCAGCAGCCAGCATCAACTGCCAGACATGTGTGTGAGGAAGCCTTCGAGATGACCCCAGCTCCCGTCACTATCTGACTATAGCCACGCGAGAGACCCCAAGAGAAAGCCTGAAGTGCAGTGACACTATCATAGCTCACTGCAGCCTCAAATTCCTTGGCTCAAGCAATCCTCCCACCTCAGCCTCCCTAGCAGCTGGGACTACAGGCATGTGCCACCACACCCGCTAAATTAAAAAAAAAAATTTTTTTTTTTTGAGACAGAGTTTCATTCTTGTGGCCCAGGGTGGAGTGCAGTGGCACAATCTCAGCTCACTACAACCTCTGTCTCCCAGGTTCAAGCAATTCTCCCACCTCAGCCTCCTGAGTAGCTGGGATTATAGGCACCTGCCACCACGCCCAGCTAATTTTTTATATTTTTAGTAGAGATGGGGTTTCACCATGTTGGCTAGGCTGGTCTCGAACTCCTGACCTCAAATGATCCACCTGCCTCGGCCTCCCAAAGTGCTGGGATTACAGGTGTGAGCCACCATGCCTGGCCTTTTTTTTTTTTTTTTTTTTTTTTTTTTGTAGAGACGGGGTCTCACTATGTTGCCCAGGCTGGTCTTGAACCTCAAGTGATCCTCCCACCTTGGGCTCCCAAAGTGCTGGGATTACAGGTGTGAGCCACAGCACCTGGCCTGGGTTTTCCCTTTGATCATGATCTCTGTGCTTGGGCCCATCCTTTGAGAGTTTAATGTTGAACACATTTTGTCCTTTGAGGATGGTGTAGTGGACATTGGTTATATTTGCCTGCTCAACATTCATTTCCTTTTTTGGCCCCAGCACCCGATTCTTCTACCCTACTCTTGATCTGTGTGCTTTTAGTGCAGCTCAGCCCACTTTCTGCTCTTTAGAGGTGAGCCCATAACCCAGGCCTAGCTAATAAGAACATTACATTTCCTTGACCACAATGATTGTTCAGAAATGCGCCTGTGATCCATGTCTGGCCAATGACAGCCAGCGTGTACTTCTGATGGGATAATAGGAAGGGGTACTTGGGGGTTTCTACCTGGTGGAATCTAAGGCCAGAGTTGCTGGGGGCCATTGTGAGGGGAGAATGAAGACAACAGAATGAAGGCAGAGAGGAAAGCTGAGCTGAGAGATGGAGAGAAAAAGAGGGAATCCTAACTGTTAATACCTCCTGGATCCTTAGGTCCAGCTGTGCCTAGAGGCAGACTTAGGCTGTTTCAAGTGGCCTATAGATACCATTTTTGCTTAAGACAATTAGAACAGGGTTTTCTGTCATTTGTAGCCAAAAGAGTCCCGGCAAGGGGCTCTGCACATGGATTTTCTCAAAAAGCCTCAATCAACATTTCCATTTGCTGGACTAAATCCTCAGGTGGGGAAGGTGGTAAAACATGGCACAATGGTTCTCCTAGAGTGAAATTGGACCAGGAGCCTCCGAATCATCTGGCCTTGTGAGAAATGCAAATTCTCAGCCCCAATTCTAGTGAATCACAGACTCTACCAAGGGGTTCCAGCAGGAGTGTTTTCAGAAGCCCCCCAGGAGTTGTGTGCTAAGGTCTGAGCAACACTGCAGTAGAGCCCAGTGGTGAAGGAAGAGCACATGCTCTTGAGGTTCAGATTGCATCTCTCCCTCTGTCTGGCTCTCTGATTTTAGGTAAGTTACATAAATTATCCTGTCTCACAGCTCCCATCTGTAAAATGGTTCACCTTCTATTTCATGATGCCATTATGTGGAATATTCAGTTAATAGAGGCAAACACTCAGAATAGCGCCTGGTACATAGTCCACGCTCAATTAAAGTTAGATTTATGGCTCTCAGAATTTATCCAACATTGGAAAAGCCACCTTGGAGGGCTTCTTAAAACAGGGATTACTGGTCCCTCCCTGTGCCTTAGAGTTTCTGATTCTTACCAAGGGGGGGCCTGAGAATGTGCACTTCTAACCAGCTCCCTGGTCAAGCTGATGCTGCTGGTCTGGGGATCTGGCTTTGAGAACCACTGAGTTAGATATTTCTGTTATTGATCTCCAACTCCTCTCTGGTGGTTCGTCAGTTACCTCAGGTGCTCTGGAATCGCTCTTTCCGCTGAGTCAGGCCTCTGTCTCCTCCTCTCCCTCCCCTCTGGCATCAGTTTTGATAGTTGGATTCCTCATGGCTGGTAATTGGAGCTCTGAGCCTGGCTTTCCGCTGAGAGTAGCCCCAGCCTCCACCTGTTCAGGGCACCTGATTGATGGTTCCTTCAGTTGCAAGTGTTCCTTTTTTGGCAGCCTTCAGAACTGTCTCCAGCTTTCTTATATAAGCAGATGTCTTTCCTCCTAAACTCTGGGAGGCTGCAGTTGCCACATCACTTCTGACACTGTGGCTGCTCATTCCAGTCCTCATGCAACCCCCATCGCAGGCATTTCTTTGCCTCACTAATACAAATGGTTTTAAATGCAGGGCCAATTAAACCTCCTCCAACAAACAGCTCTGTAACTTGGCACTGTTGGCTGGAGCAAAAAGGTCAGTGTGACTAGAGGTGACAGGAGAGAGGGAGAATGGCAGGAGATCAGGTCCAAGATAGGCAGAAGATGGTTTGTACAAGGCTTTATATATCATGGAACGAGCTAGGACTTTATCCTAATAGTGGTAAAAATTTTTTAATCATTTTAAAGAATTGTGAAATATAGCATATATGTGTATACCTATACACATACACACGTGCACATTTGTACATATAAATAGAGTCAAAAAATTATACAGTGAACACACATGTAGCCATCACATAGCTAAGAAATGGGACATTACCAGTCAAAGACATCTCTAGCATTTGTGGATCCTGGACAAAGAGTACAAATGGAGGCGCCCTATCTATAGCTTACTCCCTTCTCTTGCCTTCCTTGTTGATGTCCTGTACCCCTAAGGAGTTATTCATGCATGTATGTGGATACCAAGCCTGCACATTGGAGCTTGGTGCATGTACCCCACATCACCTCTTGCCTACCCCTTGGGTTTGGGGTGTGCGTACCAGCATGATCTGTTCTGGGTGTCAGGTAGAAGATGGACTAGGAAGAGGCCCAAACAGTTGCTGGAAGCAGGTTTGGGAACATTTGAGTAGGGAATTCTAAGGAATTGGTACTCTGAGCATGGCCTACAATTGCATTGTTCAAGAAGATAGCCACTTATCTTCTTGAAGTTAAATATGGCTATTTATGCTTAATCGAAATGAAATAAAATTTAAAATTCACTTTCTTAGTTACACTAGCCACATTGCAAGTGCTCAATAGCCACATGTGGCTAGTGGCTATTACATTGGACAGGGCAGATATAAACATTTCTATCACTACAGGTGTTTTACTGGACAATGCTAGTTAGGAAAGAGAAGTGCTATGGGTTCTGGAAGAAACGAAATGTTACCCTTACACTGGAAAAAAAGCGGGCAACAGAAACGTCCAGTGAAAGCAACCAGATGTCAGACTGAGCACACAAAGCCTTCAAAGTAGCCATTATAAATCTGTTCAAATAACTAAAGGAAACCCATTTTTTTAAAAAAGGAAAGGAAAGGTATGGTCAAATAAAAAATATCGCTAAAAAGTTAGACATTATAAAATAAAACCAAATGGAAATCGAGAGCTAAAAGTATAATAACCGAAATGAAAAAAATATACTAGAGAAGCTCAATAGTAGATTTGAATTGACAGAAGAATTAGCAAACTTGAAAGTAGAAATAAGGCTGGGTGTGGTGGCTCACGCCTGTAATCCCAGCACTTTGGGAGGCCAAAGCAGGCGGATCATGAGGTCTGGAGATCGAGGCCATCCTGGCTAACATGGTGAAACCCCACCTCTACTAAAAATACAAAACTTAGCCAGGCATGGTGGCACACGTGTAGTCCCAGCTACTCAGGGGGCTGAGGCAGGAGAATCACTTGAACGCAGTGAGCCGAGATTGCGCCACTGCACTCTAGCCTGGGTGACAGAGCGAGACTCCATCTCAAAAAAAAAAAAAAAAAAAAAAGAAAAAGAAAAGAAAATAGAAATAATGCAATCCAAAGAATGGGGGGAAAGAACAAAGATGAAAAAATAAGTAGAGCCCTAGAGAAATGTGGAACACCATTAAGCAAAACAATAGGAATGGCAGAAGGAGAGGAAAGAGAAAGAAACAGAAAAATTGTTCTAATAAACAGTGGCTTAAAACTTCCTAAGTTTATTGAAAAACAATAAAATACCTATCCAAGAAGCTGAATGAACTTCAAGTAGAATGAACACAGACACACACACACACAGACACATCTTGGTAAGAATACTGACAGCCAAGGACAAGGAAAAAAATTGAAAGCAGAAAAAAGAAAATGCCTTGTCACTTACAAGGGAACCCCCAGTAAGAGTAACAGCTTCTTCTCACGATAAAATTAACACGCTTGTAATAGGGCTGGCACTTTGGGAGGCTGAGGCAGGTGGATCACCTGAGGTTGGGAGTTCGAGACCAGCCTGACCAACATGGAGAAACCCCATCTCTACTAAAAATACAAAATTAGCTGGGCGTGGTGGCGCATGCCTGTAATCCCAGCTACGAGGGAGGCTGAGGCAGGAGAATCGCTTGAACTCGGGAGGCAGAGGTTGCAGTGAGCCGAGATCGCGCCATTGCGCTCCAGCCTGCGCAATAAGAGTGAAACTCGGTCTCAAAAAAAAAAAGTGTATAAAAAAATAATTAAAGCAGTGCATTCCTGGGTTTATAATGTTTGATGCAATATGTATAACATCTAACAAAAAGTGGGAAAAGGCAATAGAGCTTCATAGGAACAATGTTTCTATATCTCACTAGGATTAAGTTAGTATAAATCTGAAGCTCATTTTGATAAGATGTATATGATAAGCCGTAGAGCAACCACGGAGGAAATAATTCAGAAATTAGTGAAAAAATCAGTAAAGAAATTAAAATCCTATATTAGAAAACTTTCACTTAATATAAAAGAAAACATAAAGGAGGAATAGAAGAGCAAAAAAGACATAAGACATAGAAAAGAAAAAGTGAAATGGCAAATGTAAATCTAACTATATCATTAATAACTTTAAAAGTGAATGGATTGAATAAATCAAAAGGCAGAGACTTTCAGACTGTATTAAAAAACAATATCCAATGATATTCTGTGTACAGAAGACAAACTTTAGATTCAAAGATACAAAATATTGAAAGTAATAGAAAGAAAAAAGATATATCATGCAAACAGCAACCACAAGGAAGCTGGAACAGCGATACTAATAATGCAAAATAGACTTTAAAAAACGTTACCAGACATAAGAAATATGTTATGATCTACAGGTCACTGTATCAGGAAGATGTAACAATTATAAACACATAGGCATCCAACAACAGAGCCCCGACATGCATTAAATAAATACTGACAGAAATGAAGAAATACACAATAAGCAACAATATTTGGAGATTTTGATACCCAACTTTAAAAAAATGTTGTAACTATATGAGATGATGAATATATTAATTAGCTTAGTTGTGGTAATCATTTCACAATGTATATCAAAACATCACATTGTACATCTTAAATATATACAATTTTTATTTGTCAGTCATACCTCAAGTCAGGAAAAAAATAACGAATAGAACAATTGGGCAGAAAATCAATAAGGAAATAAAACACTTGAGCAACACTATAAACCAACTAGACCTAGCAGATATCTGTAGAACAGGAGAATTTGTATTCTTCTCAAGTGCACATGGAACACTCTCCAGGATAAACCACATGCTAGGCCATAAACCTTGATAAATTTAAAGGAGTAGAAATACAATGCATACTTTCTGATAACAACATAATGAAATTATATATAAATAAAAGACAGAAATCTGGGGAACTCACAAGTATGTGGAAATTAAACAATGCACTCTCTTTTAAATTTTAATTTAATTTAATTTTACGTTCTGGGATACATGTGCAGGATGTGCAGGTTTTTTACATAGGTAAACCTGAGCCAAGGTGGTTTGCTGCACCTGTTAGCCCATCACCTAGGTATTAAGCCCCGCATGCATTACATTTGCTATCCAACCTGATGCTCTCCCTTCACCCACCCCCAGGCCCCAATGTGTGTTGTTCCCCTCCCTGTGTCCATATGTTCTCATAAACAATGCACTTTTAAATAACCAAGAGGTCAAAGAAGAAATTAAAAGGGACTTAGAAAATACTTTGATATAAATGAAAATGAAGACATAATATACCTTATAACTTGTAGGATACAGCAAAAACAGTGCTTAAAAGAAATCTGATAGATGTATATGCCTATATTAAGGAAGTGATTGAAAATAACCTAAATTTTCACCTTAAGACACTGAAAAAGAAGAGCAAGCTACACATAAAGCAAGTAGAAAAAGAAAATAATAAAAGATTGGAGCAGAAATAAGTGAAATAGAGAATAGAAAAACAATAGAGAAAATCAACCAAACCAAGAGTTGACTCTTTTACAAACCAAAATATTGGCAAAACATTGGCTAGATATACCAGGAAAAAATAGCAGACTGGATTACTAGAATCAAAAATGAAAAAGGGACTTCGAAATGTACAATAAATTATTATTTATTATAATTACCATTTTATGCAATAGATTACTAAAGTTTATTCTTCCTGTCTAACTGAAACTGTACCTTTTGATCAACAGTTTCCCTTTCCCCATCCATCTTCCTCCCCAGCCTCTGGTAATCACCATTTTACTCTCCACTTCTGTGAGTTTGACTCTTTTAGATTCCATGTATCTCACATATATATGGAGTCTATTTGTCTTTCTGTGCCTGGCTTATTTCACTTATCATAAATGTCATCATGAAAAATAAGTATGTGAGGTGACAGATTTATTAATTAGTTTTATTTAACCATTTAACAATATAAACATAGCAAAACATCACATTGTACCCCATAAATATATATAATTACTATTTTTTCAATTAAAATAAAATTTAAATTTTTAAAAAAAGAAATGAAAGAGGAGACATTACTACCAACCTTATAGAAATAAATGCTGTGAGCAACTATTTGCTAATAAACTAGATACTTGAGATGAAAAACAAATTTCTAGAAAGACACAAACTACTGAAACTGAGTCTAAGAGAAATAGGACATCTACATAAATCTATAGCAAGCAAAGAAAGTGAATTAATAATATAAAAACTACCCACAAAGAAAACCCTAGGCCCTTCACCACTGACCCTACCAAACATTTGAAGAAGAATTAATATCAGTTCTTCACAAAGGTTTCCAATAAATAGAAGAGGGAACACTGCCCAACTCATTCTTAAGGCCAGTATTACCCTGGTACCAAGACCAAGCAAAGACACCACAAGAAACCTACAGCCCAATATCTTTTTACCAATACAGATGCAAAAATCCTCAAATAAATACTAGCAAATGGAATCCAGTAATATATAAAAAGAAGTACGTACCATGAAAAATGAGCTTTATCACAGGATGAATGCAAGATTGGTTTTACATCCCCAAATCAATTAATATAGTATATCCTATCAGTTGAATACAAAACAAAAACCACATGATCATCTCAATAGATACAAAACAAGCATTTAGCAAAATCCCATTCATGGTAAAAACTCTCAGGAAGTTAACAATAGAAGAGAACTTCCCCAACCTGACACTGGGGCCTCTACGAAGCACATCTAACATCATACTTAGTGAAAACAGACTGGATGCTTTCCCCCGAAGATCAGGAACAAGGCAAAGGTGTCTGCTTCCACCACTTCACCATTGTACTGGAGGTTCTAGTCAGGATAGGCATGAAAGGAAAAAAAAAAAAAAAAAGCATCCATCCAGATTGAAAGGAAGAAGTAAACTCTTTGCAGATGACATGATCTTGTATATAGAAAAATCCTAAGAAGTCCAGCAAATAACTGTTAGAACTATTGAACAAGTTCAGCAAGGTTGCAGGATACCAGGTCAATATATAAAAATCAATTGTATTTCCATATGCTTGCAATGAATAATCTGAAAACGAAATCAAGAAAACAATTCCATTTACAATAGCATCAAAACCAATAAAAAATTCGGAATAAATTTAGCAAAAGAAATGCAAAACTTATACTCTAAAAATGGTGAGATTTTGTTGAAAGAAATGAAAGAGGATTTAAATAAATGGAAAAAAAATCTCTCTTGTATATGGATCAGAAGCCTTGTATTGTTAAAATGGCAATACTCCCTAAATTGATCTACAGGTTCAGTGGAATCCCTGTCAGAATCTCAGCTGACTTTGTAGAAATTGGCAAGCTGAATGTACAATTCATATGGAATCGCAAGGGACCCAGAATAACCAATATAATCTTGAAAAAGAAAAGCAAAGTAGGACTGGCACTTCCCAACTTCAAAATTTACTGAAATTACTTTTGTACCAACCTAAGGCAAAAGTAATCAAGACAGTGTGGTACAGACATGAAGACAGACATATAGATCAAAAGGATAGAAGTAGAATCTAGAAATAAAACCACGTGTCTACGGCCAACTGACTTTCCACTAGGTTGCCAAGATTACTCAGTGGGGAAGTGATAGTCCTGTTAACAAATGGTTCTGGGACAACTGGATGGCCACATACAAAAGAATAAAGTTGGGCTCTTATCTCAAGTTTGTGTCATTTTAAAAAAAACTTCATTGAGATGCAATTCACAAACCATAACATTTACCCATTTAGTATACAATTCAATAGTTTTTCATATATTCACAGATATGGACAACAATCACCATGATCAATTTTAGATTTTCATCCCCTCCAAAAGAAACCTTATGTCTTCAGCTATCATCCCCTGTCACTCCATCCTCCCCATCCCTAAGCCACCATCTACTTTCTCTCTATAGGGATGGGAGAGCTGCTGTCACAAACCAAGGAACACGTGGAGCCACCAGAAACTGGGGGAGGCAAGAAAGGATCCTCTCCTAGAGCCTTTAGAGGGGGTGCAGCCCTGCCAACACCTTGATTCCTGACTTCTACCCTCCCCTCCAGATTTGCAAGACAATAAATTTCTGTTGTTTAAACCACCCAGCTTGTGGTCCTGTAATTGCAGCAGCCCCAAGTTAACACAGTCACTTTCTACCCTCAGTTAGAAATCAGCTTGTTATGCCTCTTACCACAGGGGATACAAATTCAACCCATCAGTAGTCCTTCCTAGCTAATACCAGCTCTCTAAGGTACCTGTGTCTGAGCTACTAACACACACACCCCTAACCATTATGGTGAGTTTTCCTATAGCAATTCCTCGATCCTCTCATGAGAGCTGACCACTCTGGTTTAACAGAAATGTTTTAGAACTTTTGTATCTCAAAGTGAAGGAGTGTGGCTGTCAATCTGTTTACTCCCAGAATACCCACATCCCTTAAGATTTTCCCTTCCTGGGTTCTTAGCAATTGGGGTAAACACTTGCTTTACATGTGTGTGACTGAAGAGTTATTCTAGTGACTTTTTCAGAAGACAGAAGATCTGTTCCAAGAAGGCTAGTCATTTCTGCTATCCAGAAACAACTAGCTGGAATCCTTAACAATCTCTTTCCAATAAAGTAAAACATTAAAGTGACAAGGTTTTTTTTTTTTTTTTTTTTTTTTTTTTTTTTTGAGACGAAGTCTCGCTCTGTCGCCCAGAGACTGGAGTGCAGTGGCGCGATCTCCGCTCACTGCAAGCTCAGCCTCCCGGGTTCACGCCATTCTCCTGCCTCAGCCTCCCGAGTAGCTGGGACTGCAGGCGCCTGCTACCACGCCCGGCTATTTTTTTGTATTTTTAGTAGAGATGGGGTTTCACCGTGGTCTCGATCTCCTGACCTCGTGATCCGCCCGCCTTGGCCTCCCAAAGTGCTGGGATTACAGGCGTGAGCCACCGCGCCCGGGCCACATTTTAATTTATTTAATTATCATGACGTTTTTATTTAGTTATCACAACAACTTTATGATGTAGACATTAACTGTTATTATCTCAATTTCCCAGATGAGGAAACCGAAGCTCAGAGAGGTGAATCACTTGCTCAAATTCATCCAGGTAGAAGTTGCAGAGATGGGACTCTCATTTAGGCTAACCTCTTGGTCCAGGGCCTTAACCACAACTGTGTCATCTCAGGTGGAGGAAAGAGAGAAGTGAAGCGCCTGGGGGCTGGTTGCAGAGAGGAAGTGGCTAACGTTACCCCAGCACTTCTTGACACTTACACTGAGACATGCAGCAGAAGGGACCAGTTTCCAGTCACTCTTCCCGCTTCCCACTGAAGTCACCCTCCAGGTCCCCCTTTGCTTTAACCAAGAGGCTTCAAACTGTCAAAGGAGAAGGCATTATAAAAGTCAAGCCAGGCGTGGTGGCTCACAGCTGGAATCCCAGCTACTCAGGAGGCTGAGGAGGGAGGATGGCTTGCAGCCAGGAGTTCGAGGCCAGCCTGAGAAACATAATGAGACCTCATTTCCTGAAGAAAAAAAAAAAAAAGAGAGCAGGTGGGGTGGTATGATGTTCTCTGAACATCTCTTCCCTGGGACTCCTCTCTTGGCACCCTTTCCCCTGAGCTTTAGAAGAGTGCCCAATTTTTTTGTCCATCGAGCAGTGTAATAAACCTACTCTCAAAAATTAAGACAGTTCGGCCGGGCACAGTGACCCATGCCTGTTAATCCCAGCACTTTGGGAGGCAGAGGCGGGTGGATCACGAGGTCAGGTAATCGAGACCATCTTGCCAACATGGTGAAACCCCGTCTCTACCAAAAATACAAAAATTAGCTGGGTGTGGCGGCGCGTGCCTGTAATCCCAGCTATTCGGGAGGCTGAAGTGGGAGAATCACTTGAACCCGGGAGGCGCAGATCGCAGTGAGCCAAGATCACGCCACTGCACTCCAGCCTGGCAACAGAGCGAGACTCTGTCTCAATAAATAAATAAATAAATAAATAAATAAATAAATAAATAAATAAAAATTAAGACAGTTCATTAAGCAGACGTGGAGACGGCCTGGAGTATGATAGGATTTTAGGATTTTTTTTTAAAGGCAGGAGACAAAGTTGTTAATCACAATTTGCCCATTATGTAGACTCTATGTGAATACAGACATGGAGAGGGCCAGGGAAAGAAGGAGACAGTTGCTTTGGGCATTGTAAGAAAACTCACTCTTCAATAGATGCTCTCTCTCTCTCTTTTTTTTTTTTTTTTTTTTGAGACAGAGGAGTCTCCCTCTCTCGCCTAAGCTGGAGTGCAGTGGTGCGATCTCGGCTTACTGCAACCTCCGCCTCCCAGGTTCAAGCGATTCTCCCACCTCAGCCTCCTGAGTAGCTGAGCTGGTATTACAGGCGAGGGCCACCACGCCTGGCTAATTTTTGTATTTTTAGTAGAGACAGGGTTTCACCATGTTGGCCAGAGTGGTGTCGAACTCCTGACCTCAGGTGATCCTCCAGCCTTGGCCTTCCAAAGTGCTGGTATTACAGGTGTGAGCCACCGTGCCCTGCCTTCAATAGATAGTCTTAAACAAAAACCTTAACAAAATAATCAGAGATATTGAGGGTTTTAAAAGAAATCTTTAGCATTTCAAAGGTTTGGACGAGGGGGATTGGATACATTTTTAAAATAAATTTTTTATTTTAGAATGGTTTTAGATTTACAGAAAAATTAAGGAGACAGTACAATTACGATTTGTCGGAATGTATAGCAGAATTTGCCCATAAAACCTTCTAGGACTTTCTTAGATCTTTTACTTCCTTTGTAAGTTCTTTGGTTATTGGTCCATTCAGACTTCCTATTTTTTCGTAGACTAATTGTTGCCATTAAAACTTCCATGAAGAATCTTCCATTTTCATCTTCATTTAAATTTTTAGGTTTAAAAAAAAAAAAAAAGAACCCTCTGCCTCCCCAGGCCCCTGGGGATCCAACCCTCGCTCCTGATTGGACATCAAGGATAAGGGGTGAGGCTTAAGCGCTGAGTGACATATTGAAAGTCGAGCGGGGAACTTGGACAGAACCTCTTGTTAGAAAGCAGGTTGGGGCGGCCGGGTCAACTCGTGTTTCCCGACCAGTTTGTGGACCTAGGAAACAGGGGTCCCTGTGCACAACAGGAGTGCTGCCCACCGGCAGGAGATGGCACAGAGGACCACAGCCTGGCTCAGTTCCCCTGCAAACATCATCCCAAGCGCCCCGCGCGCTTTCATGGGATGTTCGCGGAGCGCCCCCTGGAGCTCAAAGGCTGGTGGTGACCCTGGAGTTAGGCATCTGGGCTGCTTAATACATTCATTTCCCAAACTCTCAGGACATGGCTTAGCCCCAGGCTTCTGGGATTGCTCCCCAGGATCAGTTCCCACTTCCCAGTCAAGTTCCACCACCACGACCCCTTGCTTCACCGGGGGGTGAGATGCAGCTCACCAATTCCTCCGAAGACAGACATCCCTGTTACATGTAGGGAACAGCTTTTGTTGTTGTTGTTGTTTTAAAAAGCTCCCACCACACCTGCCACCAACAATTCTCAATGTTTTATTTTTCTTAAATGTTCATGCAAACAGAATAACAAAGTAAACAACCGTGTACTCACTATTTCACCGCTTAATACAGTCGTTTATTAAATTTCAGAAGTAAGCTATGCTCACCATAAAAAATGCCTAAACATTACGAAAGTCAAAAGCAAAACTCCAGGCTGTGGTCTTATCCTCCAGCTCATAGGGTCCCTTCTAGAGAACGTGGTTGTATTTGCAAATCTGCACTCAGAGGATGGGTGGGTTACAAGAGAGCACTCTATACCAGGGGTCCCCAACACCCCCGCTCCCCACCCCCACAGACGGGTACCCATGGTGGCCTGTTAGGAACCAGACCGCCACAGCAGGAGGTGAGCAGCGGGCCAGCCAGCAAAGCTTCATCTATATTTGCAGCCACTCCCCATCGCTGGCATTACAGCCTGAGCTCCGCCTCCTGTCAGGTCAGCTTGGGCACTAGATTCTCACAGGAGCGCAAACTCTATTGTGAACTGCGCATTCGAGGGATCTAGGTTGCATGCTCCTTATGAGAATCGAATGCCTGATGATCTGTCACTGTCTCCCATCACCCCCAGATGGGACCATCTAGTTGCAGGAAAACAAGTTCAGGGCTCCCATTAGATTTGACATTATGGTGAGTTGTATACTTATTTGATGATATATTATAATGTAATAATAATAGAAATAAAGTGCACAATAAATGTATTATGCTTGAATTTTCCCCAAACAATCCCCCACCCCAACCCACCCACCCCACCGCTGCCGTCTGTGGAAAAATTTTCTTCCACGAAACCAGTTCCTGGTGCCAAAAACATTGGGGACCGCTGCACCTCACAGTTCCGCAGCTGCTACCATCCTGGTTTATCGATACATCTTGAGGCCTCCAGGTCAGCCCCTGCAGCTTTACCTTCTTGTTTATAGCTGCATAGACTTAGATGGTCAGAGAATAGTCCAGTCTCTGTTCCATCCAGCTTTAGAGCCTCAGCGTTTCTTCACATCAGTCACTTACTTATTAATTATTTAAAGGTTCTTGCTTCTTCTTCCTGAAACTAAAGGAGAGGTACCTGATCAAGTTGAATTTTGCAAAGGTGAGTAGTGACTTTTACAGCTAACTCCTGGGATTGGCTGGTGGAACTCAAGGGCTCCAGCCCTCACTAAGTTCTCTTAGGGAATCATTCATTCCTTTAAGATCAAGCTAGACATTTTTTTTTTTTTTTTGAGACAGAGTCTCGCTCTGCCACCCAGGCTGTAGTGCGGTGGCACGATCTTGGCTCACTGCAACCTCTGCCTCCCAGGTTAAAGCGATTCTTCTGTCTCAGCCTCCTGAGTAGCTGGGACTACAGGCGCATGCCACCACACCTGGCTAATTTTTTTTTTTTTTAAGTAGAGACAGGGTTTCATCATATTGGTCAGGCTGGTCTCGAACTCCTGACCTCATGATCTGCCCATCTCTGCCTCCCAAAGTGCTGGGATTACAGACATGAGCCACGGCGCCCGGCCGAGCTAGACATTTTTTTTTTAAAATTAAGACATTATTATTATAATTTTTTTTGAGATGGAGTTTCACTCTTGTTGTCCAGGCTGGAGTGCAATGGTGCGATCTTGGCTCACTGCAACCTCTGCCTCCTAGCATCAAGCGATTCTCCTGCCTCAGCCTCCCAAGTAGCTGGGATTACAGACATGCACCACCATGCCCGGCTAATTTTGTATTTTTAGTAGAGATGGGGTTTCACCATGTTGGTCAGGCTGGTTTGAACTTCTGACCTCAGGTGACCAAACCACCTCAGCCTCCCAAAGTGCTGGGATTACAGGCGTAAGCCACTGCGCCTGGCAATAGACATTATTTTTTGAAGCAGTTTGAGGCTTACAGAAAATTGAGCAGGTAGTACGCAGTTCCCATATACCACTCAGCCCCTAATACCTTTCCCTATCATTTTGTTCTAAATTTATTTGTTTTTTAAAATTGTATGACTTTATCTTGTACAATATAATGTTTTGAAATATGTATACATTGTGGAATGGTTAAATCTAGCTTATTTATTTATTTATTTATTTTTTGAGATGGAGTTTCACTCTTGTTGCCCCAGCTGGAGTGCAATGGCGCAATCTCGGCTCACTGCAACCTCCGCCTCCAGGGTTCAAGTGATTCTCCTGCCTCAACCTCCTGACTAGCTGGGATTACAGGCATGTGACACCATGCCTGGCTAATTTTGTATTTTTAGTAGAGATAGGGTTTCTCCATGTTGGTCAGGCTGGTCTTCGAACTCTCCACCTCAGGTGATCCTCCTGCCTCAGCCTCCCAAAGTGGTGGGATTACAGTTGTGAGCCACTGCACCTGGCCAAATCAGCTAATTTAAAGAAATGTGTTACCTCACATAGTTATCATCTATTTTTTTGTGGTGAGAACACCTAACATCTACTCTCTTAGCATTTTTCAAGAATGCAATATATCACCATTAATTATAGTCATCATGCTGTCCAATAGATCTCTTGAACTTATTCCTTCTATCTAAATGTAATTATGCATCCTTTGACCAGTGTCTTCCCAACTCCCCTTTACCCCCAATGACCCCAGATTCCTTTAACCGCCATTCTACTCTCTACTTCTATGAGGTCCACTTTAAAAAATGTATTTATTTTTTCAATTTTTTTAAATTATTTATTATTTATTTATTTATTTATTTATTGAGACGGAGTTTCCCTCTTGTCGCCCAGGCTGGAGTGCAATGGTGCGATCTTGGCTCACTGCAACCTCTGCCTTCCGGGTTCAAGTGATTCTCTTGCTTTAGCCTCCTGGGTAGCTAGGATTACAGGCGCCCGCCACCATGCCCAGCTAATTTTTTTTTGTATTTTTAGTAGAGATGAGGTTTCACCATGTTGGCCAGGCTGATCTCGAACTCCTGACCTCAGGTGATCCACCCGCCTTGACCTCCCAAAGTGCTGAGATTACAGGCGTGAGCCACTGCGCCCAGCCTTATTTATTTTTATTATTTTATTTCAGTAGGTTTTTGGGGGAACAGGTGGTGTTTGGTTACATGAATAATTTCCTAAGTGGCAATTTCTGAGATTCTGGTGCACCCATCACCCAAGCAGTGTACATTGTACCCAATATGTAGTCTTTTATCCCTCACCTCCATCCCATTCTTTCCCCTGAATCCCCAAAGTCCATTGTGTCATTCTTATGCCTTTGGATCTTCATAGCTTAGCTCCCACTTATGAGTGAGAAAGTATGATGTTTGGTTTTCCATTCCTGAGTTACCTCACTTAAAATAATGGTCTCTAATCTCATCCAGGTTGCTGCAAATGCCATTATTTCATTCCCTTTTTATGGCTGAATAGTATTCCATGGTATGTGCGATATATATATATATATATATCTCACATTTCCTTTATCCACTTGTTGATTGATGGGCATTTGGGCTGGTTCTATATTATTGTAATTGTGAATTGTGTTGCTATAAACATGTGTGTGCAAGTATCTCTTTTGTATAATGACTTATTTTCCTCTAAGTAGATACCCAGTAGTGGGATTGCTGGATCAAATGGTAAATCTACTTTTTGCTCCTTAAGGAATCTCCACTGTTTTCTCCAGTGGTTGTACTAGTTTACATTCCCACCAACGGTGTAAACGTGTTCCCTTTTCACACATGCACAACACCTATTATTTTTTGATTTTTTGATCTTTGATTTTGTTATTTTTTGATTATGGCCATTCTTGCAGGAGTAAGGTGTAAGTAAGGTGTCAGATCCACCTTTTAGGATTCCACATGTGTATGAGATCATGTGGTATTTGTCTTTCTGTGTTTGGTTTATTTCATTTAACATAATGTCCTTTAGGCTCATCTATGTTGCAAATGACAGGATTTCATTTTTTTAAATTATTTTTTAATGGCCAAATAGTACTCCATTGTGTATAAATCACACTTTTTGTTGTTGTTTTTAGATGGAGTCTCGCTCTGTTGCCAGGCTGGAGTGCAGTGGCGTGATCTCGGCTCACTGCAACCTCCGCCTCCTTGGTTCAAGCAATTATCCTGCCTCAGCCTCCCAAGTAGTTGGGACTACAGGTGTGCACCACCACACCCAGCTAATTTTTGTATTTTTAGTAGAGACCAGGTTTCACCATGTTGGCCAGGCTGGTCTTGAACTCTTGACCTCAGGTGCTCCACCCTCCTCGGCCTCCCAAAGTGCTGAGATTACAGGCGTGAGCCACTGTGCCTGGCCTATTATTTTATTAAATACTTTCTTACCCTTTTCTCTCTCTTTGCCTTCTGGGACCCCAGTAATTTGAAAATTTGGTTGCTTTATGGTATCATATGTCATGAAGGCTTTTATCATTCTTTTTAAATTCTTTTTTATTTTTGTCTTCCTGGGTTATTTCAAAAGATATGGCTTCAAGTTCTGAAATTCTTTTTTCTACTTGATTTAGTCTGTTGTTGAAGCTTTCAAATATATTTTGTATTTCATTCAATGAAGTCTTCATTTCCAGAATTTGTTTGGTTCTTTTTTATATCTATCTCTTTGGTAAATTTCTCATTCATATCCTGAATTGTTTTTCTGATTTGTTTGTATTATTTTTCTGAGTTCTTTTGTATCTCACTGAGCTTCTTTAATATCATTATTTTGAATTCTTTATCCAGGTATAGTCTCTGTATGATTTATTTGGCTGTAAGCAACATCAGTAGTGTTATTTCCTCCGTGGCTTAAGGTGCAGTTGTTGGTGGAGGCTGTGAAGCTTTTCTGGGATAGGGGATGTCAGGTGGGCCGGTTTTCGGGCCCAGTGGTGGCAGTGGTGAGCCTGTCCTTGAGTCCCAGGGTGGTGTACGCTGGCACAGGTTTAGCAGGTTTAGGTAGGCCAATTCCCAGGCTTCCAGGTGGCTTTCTTGGGTGCTGGCATTGCCAGCCGTAGGCCAGGTAGGTGCGTAGTTCCTGGGGCCACTGGGCAGCAAGGGTGGCATGGGCAATGGCAGTAATATTGGCAGGACAATCTAGCTCCCAATCAGCTTGTGCTAGTGTTGGTGATGGCTGTGACGGGCTGAGCAGGCCAGTCTCCAGGCCTGTAAGTGGCACATGCAAGTAGATGCCACCTGAGGTGGTAGTGGCCAGCTAGGTGTGTTCAGCCTCAGGTCCCTGGGACTATTCTCATCTCCTGGAAATGCTTGTGCATCAGTTTAAAATCACCTCTTTGCTGTGATCTAGGGAGACTAGTGAATGTCAAATCCCTTCAGTTCCCAGAGATAGGTGATTTAGGATGCCGTGGAAGCTGCAAAAATTTGGGTGCTCACTGCATGGAAAAACTCCTTCCAGGGAGAGTCTGTAGACTTACCACTAGAGCAAGCAAGGGCAAAAGGCTTGGACAGTGTCTGAACTCCCATTCAGGCTCCCAAGGATCCAGCATTTGTCTGCCCTGTTGACTTCCAGATACAGGCTGGTTAAAAGCATGACTATCAAGCAGCAGCTGGAAGAGTGTGCTGGCAAATCCTTTTTGAGGAGTAACTGGGAGCTGTACATTTTGACCCCTTCTCTGCACTGCTCTGGTTGGGGGAGTGTGGTGGAGGAAGGCTAGCCCTGAAGTGCTTGTGTGCCTGCTTAAAACCACCTTTTTCTCTGTGAGCTAGGGAGACTCACATATGCCTAATCCCTTCCATTTCCAGAGCTAGGGGATTTAGGATGCAGTCCCTTGAGTGCAGGTATAAAAGTTGGGGTGCTCAATGTGTGGACAAACTTCTTCCAGGAGGAATTGATAGACCTGGATTTATTGCTGGGCTGAGCTGGGGTGAAGCTTTGGGTGGCACCTAGCTTCTGTTCAGGCTCTTGTAAGTCTGTAGTTTACCTACCTAGTCAACTCCCTGATGCAGGCTCGTTAGGAACTTAACCATCAACTGTTAGGGTGCTATATGTGTGGTTCACTGCTTCTCTCCTGGGGGAGAAGCTGGGAACTGGGGATTCCTTCCTGATTGTATGGCTCAGTGCCCAGGGTGGGTTTAGTGTTTCTGAGTGCTTCAGCTTTTGCTGCCTGTTTGATAAGACATTTTTTTTCTTGTCTTTTCTTCCTTTTCTTTTTTTTTTTTTTTGAGATGGAGTCTTACTCTGTCGCCCAGGCTGGAGTGCAGTGGTGCAATCTTGGCTCACGCAACCTCCGCCTCCCGGGTTCAAGCAATTCTCTTGCCTCAGCCTCCCAAGCAGCTGGGACTACAGGTGCCCACCACCACACCCAGCTAATTTTTTGTATTTTTAGTAGAGACAGCGTTTCACCATGTTAGCCGGGATGGTCTTGATCTCCTGACCTCGTGATCCACCCACCTTGGCCTCCCAAAGTGCTGGAATTACAGGCGTGAGCCACCGCGACTGGCCTGCTAAGACATTTTCTTAGTTGCCTGGTGTGTAGGAGTCTCTCCACTCACTTCTGACTTTCTTCCAGAGAGAACTGATGTAGGCACAGACGTTTATTCAGTCCATCAATCAGGAACCTCCTATGTCACTGTGTTCCTGGCGTCACTTCTCTGAATACAATCTTTAATGCTGAAATTTGGGTGAGGAGGCACTCAAATGGAGTTCAGAAAATGCAGGCAATGATGAAAGGTAGGGGAGTTCCTTTATTGTTTTTTCTACAGAAAAAGATAAATTCCCAGCCCCTGATCTACTTAGACTGGGGTCAAACCATTAAAGATGTGTGGAAATATGTCTCAGTGGGTCAGATCCAGACCTCCCCTAGAAGTGATGTGTAAGAAGTTACACTGAAGATTGGAGCTGGTCATACTCAAGGCATACTGGAAAAAGATATTGATTTAGGCTGCTGGTGTCATCTTCCCCTGGCAAGTCATAGATCTTTACAAATTCATCTATTTCAAAGAGAGTGGAGGCCCAAGGAGGATTTGAAGCCCCCAGACATATCTGTTCAATGTCATATGACTGAGAATCCCAGGATGAAACCCTCGCAGAGGCGCTGGCTCCTCCAGGATTCTTGATACCAGAAGGCTCACGTAGATCATGGTCATTTGCATCAGAGATTCCAGGACTTACTGGACGAATGTTTGCAGTAGTTATGGCTGAGGGAGTCTCCTCCTTCTTCACTGAAGTTGTCTGGTTTGCTGGCCCTAGTGATGGCCGTGTCTGCATTTGCTGCCGCTGCTGCCTCTTCCATTTGGCACGCTGGTTCTTGAACCAGATCTAAGGAGGGAGGAGGGGGGAGGTTAATAATGGATGTTGAGTATAAAGGGGCATCCTCATGTTCCTCAGGAATTCGGTTTTTTGGTGTGAGAGAGAGTCTCACATTTATTGGAACAAGGGAAGCCCTTTCTACTCTCTGCTGTCCTGGGTTTCAAGGGAAAAGTGGGTGTAGGATTGTACTAGCAATGGGTGGAATATGACCTAGATTGTGATGTATTAAATAGAAGGGTGTTTTTATTAGTGGTGTATTTTTTTTTTTTGAGACAAGCTACCACTCTGTCACCCAGCCTGGAGTGCAGTGCTGCAATCATAGCTCGCTGCAGCCTTGAACTCCTGGGCTTAAGCAATCCTCCTATCTCAGTCTCCCAAGTAGCTGGGACTACAGCCATGTGCCTCCATGTCTGGTTAATTTTTAATTTTTGTTTGTAAAGACATGGTCTTGCTATGTTGCCCAGGCTGGTCTTAAACTGGGCTTAAGCGATCCTCCTGCCTCCACCTCCCAAAGTGCTGGGATTACAAGTGTGAGCCACCATTCCTGGTGCCCAGAGAAAGTATTTTAAAGTCAGAGTATGGGGTGAGAGTTTAGCTTGGGTCATCTTTAGGGTTCATCCAGGTGTTCTCCCATGAATACTTTGTGGGAACTTAGTGACAGGCATCTGGATGACTGTGATGGTCCTGATTAAGCAGAACCCATCCTGAATACACAAGAACAGACCCAAATGGGAGTATCTGAGATCCAGCCTCAAAGAGTCCTGTGTAGCATGGTGGGTCTGGAGTTGGAAAGGTCTGGGTTCAAATTCCAACTCTTGTGTTTATAATGCTTGGAAGACAGCTCTTCTATGTGAGCTTTAGTGTTCCTCAATAAAGTGGGTGCTCATGACAATAAAAATATAAAGTGCTTAACATCTGTCCTTACACATAGCAATTGCCAATAAATAGGAACTGTTATAACAATGATCAAAAGTGTGTGTGAAGCTCTGGGTTAGGCGTGCTACCTACAGACACACTTGGGAACAGACCTTTACTACGGATAGATCAAGTTGTAGCTTTGAAGCCAGTTTCCCCATTGTAGCCAAACTTGGGTGCATGGTCTTTTCAAGCAATTCTCTCAATGCTGTGAGTTGTTTGGAGAGAAATCTTGTGCGTGGCCGACGATAACGCCTTGGCCCTTCTGCAGAGGGAACAGATAAAAGGCTTTCATTAAAAAAATTCGGAAGGAAATGAGGAGAGTACTACATCAAGGGAACACCTGTGGGACAAAAGAATCTGAACAACAGCCTTGAGCCCTAGACCGTCCCTCTGACAGAGCCTACACAAATGAGAAGGAACCAGAAAACCAAATCTGGTAATATGACAACACAAGGTTCTTTAACATCCCCAAAAAATCACATTAGTTCATCAGCAATGGATCCAAACCAAGAAGAAATCCGTGATATACCTGAAAAAGAATTCTGAAGGTCAGTTATTAAGCTAATCAAGGAGGCACCAGAGAAAAGTGAAGCCCAATTTAAGGAAATTAAAAAAAAAGATACAAGAAATGAGGGGAGAAATCTTCAGTGAAATAGAGAGCATAAATAAAAAATAATAAAAACTTTAGGAGACAATGGACGCCCTTTTATCCACTAGACCTAAGAAATGAGATAGACAGCAACACAATGACCAAGAACCCAAAAGCAAATGCAATAAAAACAAAGATAAATAGCTAGGACTTTATTAAACTAAAGAGATTTTGCATGGCAAAAGGAACAGCAGAGTTCTAGACAACCCACAGTCTAGAAGAAAATCTTCACAATCTATACATTTGACAAATGACTAATATCCAGAATCTGCAACGAACTCAAACAAATTAGCAAGAAAAAAACCAAACAATTCCATCAAAAAGTGGGCTAAGGACATGAATGACATGAATAGATAATTCTCAAAAGATATACAAATGGCCAACAAACATGAAAAAATGCTCAACATCACAAATGATTAGGGAAATGCAAATCGAAACCACAAGAATGGCCATAATAAAAAAAATAAAAAAAAATAGATGTTGGCGTGGATGCAGTGAACAGGCAACACTTCTACACTGCTGGTGGCAGTGTAAACTAGTACAGCCACTATGGAAAACAGTGTAAAGATTCCTTCAAGAACTATAAGTAGAACTACCATTCGATCCAGCAATCCAACTACTGGCTATCTACCCAGAGGAAAATAAGTCATTATACAAAAAAGATACTTGCACATGTATGTTTATAGCAGTACAATTCGCAATTGTAAAAATGTGGAACCAACCCAAATGTCCATCAATTGAGTGGATAAGCTGTGGTGTGTGTGTGTGTGTGTGTATATATATATATGTATATATATATAATAATTTATGTATAATGTATATAAATTATATTGTATATAATTATATATAATACAAATATTATAATTTATATATATATAATTTATATATATATAAATTATATGATGGAATGCCACTCAGCCATAAAAATGAATTAATGATATTTGTAACAACCTGGATTAGATTGGAGACCATTATTCTAAGTGAAGTAACTCAGGAATGGAAAACCAAACATCATATGTTCACACTCATAAGTGGGAGCTAAGCTATGAGGATGTAAGGGCATAAGAATGACACAATGGACTTTGGGGATTCGGGGGAAAGGGTGGGAAGGGGGTGAGGGATAAAAGACTACAAATATGGTGCAGTGTATGCTGCTCGGTTGGTGGGTGCACCAAAATCTCACAAATCACCACTAAAGAACTTACTCATGTAACCAAACACCACTTGTTCCCCAATAGCCTACGAAAATACAAAAAAAAATTTAAAAATGTTTTATTAGAATGCAAATATGTATATTCCAAAGGTAAGCTTCTTTCCTAAGCTTGACCTGTGAATCAAGAGCTTAGGCTAAACATTTGACTCACGAGACCCACTCCTCACTCTCTTGCTGGGAGTGTTCTGCATTCCTAGAAAATCAGTGCCAACTTCCACTGAGCAGGACATGTTTTTAAGCCACAGATGGGATAAGCTTATTTTGGTGGCCTCATCCTACAGCCCCTGGAGGAGGAACATCAACCTCTCCATGACATTGGGCACCAATATGTTTTCCTAGCAACTTGGGGACATCTTTCTGTTTCTCATGCTGCTAATAAAGACATACCTGAAACTGGGTAATTTATAAAGGAAAGAAGTTTAATGGACTCACAGTTCCACATGGCTGGGGAGGCCTCACAATCATGGTGGAAAGCAAGGAGGAGCAAAGCCACATCTTACGTGGTGGCAAGCAAGAGAGGGAATGAGACCTAAGCAAAAGGGGAAACCTCTTATAAAACCATCAGATCTTATGAGACTTATTCATTACCATGAGCACCGTATGGGGGAAACCGCCCCATGATTCAGTTATCTCCCACCGGATCCTTCCCACAACGCATGGGAATTATGGGAGCTACAATTCAAGATGAGATTTGGGTGAGTCCTTATTGAGATAGAATAGAATAGTGGCATGATGTTGACACCAGGTTTATATGAGTCTATAAGATTCATAAGAGTATTTGAGGCCCTATTATCCTAACCGGTCATAGACTCAGTGGCACTGCTGTCTATGTTGATTGGCTTGTGAGACCCTGAAGCTATTGGTTTGGCCATTTATTAATGGGGTCTGTAGGGAAGGAGATATGAAGCTTAGTGACCTAAGAATGAATGTCGATTCTCTCATTTACTAGCTCTGTGACTTTGGCAGCATCAGTACACTTATACTGTTTGCCTCCGTATCTTTAACAATAACATGGTCCCAGAAAGCTCACTCCTTTAGGGAAGATGTGAGTAACCAAAGAAGCAAGTCTGTTAATTACAGGCTTGGTGCATGTGTTAGTCCATTTTGCATTTATAAAGAATTACCTAAAACTGGGTAAATTAGAAAAGAGGAATTAATTGGTTCACAGCTCTGCAGGCTATACACAAAGCATAGTGCTGGCATCTGCTTCTGGTGAGGGCCTTAGGAAGCTTCCACTCATGACAGAAGGCGAAGGGGAGCCAAGGTGTTACATGGTGAGAGTGGGAGCAAGAGACAGCAGGGGAAGGTCCCAGACTCTTTTAAACAACCAGATCTCAGGTGAACTTAGAGATAGAGAACCCACTCATTACCATGAGGATGGCACTAAGCCATTCAGAGGGATCTGCTCTCATGATCCAAACCCCTTCCACCAGGCCCACCTCCAACACTGGGGATCACATTTCAACATGAGATTTGGAGGGGACAAATATGCAAACTGTATTAGTGCATAATGGGAGTTTTTACTATGGTTTAGAATATAAATAAGACCTCATCATCTAGTAAAACCTGATTCTCATGGTCATCTATTTTATAGGAAAGTTTCTATTTTCAGGATGCTCTTATTCCTCATGCAAATACATGGAAAAACAGAAGCCAACATGCTGCCCAATTATCGCACAGTGAAGACAAGTGATCGGGCACATGGGTTTCTCTTAGTGTCTCAGCATTTGTTTAGACACAAAGGGAGAACAAAAATTTACAGGACATTGAAGAAAAATTCTCAAACAGGAAGGGGACAGCAAGAAAGGGAGAGAGGGAGAGACAGAGAGAAAGAGAGAAAAAAGAAAGGGAAAGTGGAAGAGAAAAAGAAAGAAGAGGAGGAAAGCAGCAAATAACCACATTTTTTCTTAAGAAAAGAAATAAGGCTGGGCACGGTGGCTCATGCCTGTAATACTAGCACTTTGGGAGGCCAGGGAGGGTGAATCACTTGAGATCAGGAGTTCAAAACCAGCCTGGCCAACATGGTGAAACCCCATCTCTACTAAAAATATAAAACAATTAGAAAAAAATTACAAAAAAAAAGAAAATCTATAAATGTTAAAATTAATATGCTCGGATAAAAGATATTGCACTCATACATCAAGAAAGTCTTGAAAAGAAAGGAAAATCTGATAAGACAAATGTTCTTTGAAATCAGTAGCTAAAAAGAAACCCTTAGGCAATAATAGAAGAGTTGGAAGACAAAGCTATTCCAGGAAGTAGAAAAAGTATACAAAAGTGGACAAAAAGAGTGAAAAGGTCGGAAAAAAATAAGATCTCTGCTCAGGGATGTCCAGCACTAGCAATATTTATGTGACTAAAAATATCTCTGACTAAAAAATGTTTCAGAGAGTATCATGAAAGTATTTATTAAAAAAAATTCAAGATTTGAGAGATGAGGCACAGGGGTTTCCAGAATGAAGACATTCCACGATGAGCACAATAAATGAACAAAAGGATCGTTGTTGCAAAAATATCAGAATACCAGGAATATATAGAAATTTCCAGAAGCTTCTAAAGGGAAGTAGAATTTCCATCAAAGGAATGGTAATTAGAATTCTACTGGTCTTTAGAAAAGCAACACTGCACATTGATAAGTTATAGGAGGTAAAATCGAGGAAGGATGTGGCTTTGAGTTTAAAATCATCTACCAAGCTGAGAGGTCAATATGTAAAATCGACTAATTAGTATTTTTGTAAGTTTAGTATTAAACAATAGGAAAATGTATTAGAAGAGCCAGGTACAAGTTTTGATAAGTGAGCTTGTTGATGCATAATTTTTCTATTAGAATCAAATCATTTTAAGAAGTTAAAATAAAATGTAACTAAAATTACATTTATGTCCCCAGCCAAGAAATACACTTTTTTTGTTTTTGAGACAGAGTCTTGCTCTGTTGCCCAAGCTGGAGTACAGCGGTGCAATCTCAGATTGCTGCAACCTCTGCCTCCCAGGTTCAAGCAATTCTTGTGTCTCAGCCTCCCAAGTAGCTGGAACCACAGGCACATGCCACCATGCCTGGCTAATTTTTGTATTTTTAGTAGTGACAGGGTTTTGCCATGTTGTCCAGGCTGGTCTTGAACTCCTGGCCTCAAGAGATCCGCCTGCCTTGGCATCTGAAAGTGTTGGAATTACAGGTGTGAGCCACCATGCCCAGCCAGTAATATACTTCTAAACTACGTTTTACAAGTACAATTATAAAAGGAAAATGTTGATAAATATCACAATGACAACTTTTAGAATATTTGTACAACGGTACTCATAAGTAAATTGAAAAACACAAGCCAGGCTGGGAGAATATATTTGCAACACATATAAGAGATAAATTATTAGTGTCTAGAAGACAACAAAAATATTCTACTAAGCCTCAAGAAAAAAAACATACTAAAAACTGGGAAATGATATAAATATAAAAATTAGCATAGGGGAAAAACAGAATGGCCTTTAAAATAGAGTGAACAGATTCAATCACACGGGTTAGTAAAGAAATGGGAATTAAAGATCACATACTATTTTATACCCATCAATGGACTGACATTTAAAAAGTATGAAAGTTACCAGGCATTAAAAAGGATGTGAGTTCAAGACGACCTTAGGCAACAGAGTGAGATCCTGTCTCTACAAAAAATTTAAAAATTAGCGGGACATGGTGGCACACACTTATAAGTCCCAGCTACTCCTGAGGGTGAGGTGGGAGGATCACTAGGGCCTAGGAGCTCGAGGCCAGCCTGGGCAACATACCAAGACCCCATCTCTTTAAAAAAGAGATGTGGAGAAACAAATTCCTAAGTTACTAGAATCCCTTGCAAAGTGTTTTTCAAACAATCCTTGTTGGTATAACCCAGTGGTTTCTAAATTTACCCAGTGGTTTCTAAGAAGCCACCACAAGGTCCCACACCTCTCACTTGATTTGTCTGCAACCCAATCACTGAAACCCCAGCCTCTTGCCTTCGCCCAACTTACCAAACATGGTGTCCTCTAGAAATGAGTGGGTTCGATCAGCTGTGTGCTGCAGAGCTCCTGAGCTGAGTCTATGTGACTGCTGGGCTAAAAGACCCGCTTATTTAAGCAGAATTTTAATGTAATCATGTCCCCACCCTGTCCTACCCTAATACCACGCCCTCCAATAATCCATTCAATATCTGTTTATTTAGAACCTATTATATGCCTGATGCTGTGTAGGGCACTGGGAATAAAACTATGTTTAAAAAAAAAAAAAAAAAAAAAGACTGATCCTTGACTCCAGAGAGTGGAAGAAAACAAAAGAAAGTGGAGCGAACTGAAAATGGATAAAATGTTCAAAAATGTCACTTGGGATCAATGAGTAAATAAACAAGGCGCTGAGAGAAAAATAAGTTGGTAAGATGATTCAAACTGGAAGGTGAAGGAGGTGCCCTGTGCGTGGACGGCTTCCAGTGAGACCCGGAGTGCAGCAGGAGGCATCCTGCTAGGAGTTTGGGATGATGGGAGTTAAGCCCTTCACCCGCCCATCTCGGTTCAACCTCTTCCAGTTGAGACAGCAATGGATGACAGTGAAGAACTTGGCAGAGCCTAAACCATAGGGGATCTTGTATCTTCTCTTGAGTATGGATTTGGGGGCAGCTGGGGAGCCCATAACGAGTTTTCAGCAAGGAAACTTAAAATATAAATTGCATTAAAAGAATCATGCTTCTTTCTTTCCTCTGAGCATCCCTCTCTCTGTCCCTCTGTTACTCATTTACTCCACCTTTCAGGCACCTTATTAACTCATTTATTTATTCCTCCCCCTAACGTTCTTCTCCATGATGGGTCTTATTTGTGGGGTGAGTGTAATTCACTAGACAGATCTAGTCTCTATCCATGAGATATGGCCTCCCCACACTCAATGTGGACCCAAGCTTTCTGAAGCAGAGATGGGACTCTGGTCTTGGCCCATCTTATACTACCCCTCAACTCTGTCCTCTCCCGCAACCTCCACACCCCCACCAGGTTGGTTTGGAAAAGTCTTGGACTAGCGAAAGAACTCTGTCTCTGGGAACATTGCAGGTAGCCTGAAGGCCAAATGATTGAAGGACCCATCTGTATCTTTTTACGTTTTGTTTTAGGGTCTCACTCTGTTGCCCAGACTAGAGTGCAGTGGTGCCATCATAGCTCACTGCAGCCTTCAACTCCTGGGCTCAAGAGATCGTCCAGCCTTGGCCTGCCAAAGTGCTAGTGAGCCATTGCACCTGGCCCCATCTATGTCTTTTACAGGAATAAAATTCAGGAACACTTCTAACACAGTCAAGGGTAGAAACTCCCAAATCCTATCGGAAAGGATAAAGTGGGCCTCAAATTTTCCGTTTAAATGTTAGAATCAGTCCCTGGAGTTGCCCTATGACACTAATGAGGATGGAAAGAGAGTGATATATTCAAAGGGTATGACCTCCCCAATAGCAGGGAATTTTGCAGAACTTAACGTTAAAACACCCCTGACACTTCTTCATTTGTTTGCTTAATTATTTGAATGCCTGCTCTGCTAAGATTTGTTCCAGTGACTAGGAAATTGGGATTTACAAAAATAGAACTCACTGCCGCCTTCCCAAGTGCTGGCATTCTAGGGAGGGAAGCAGGAAATAAAAAAGGAAACAAGACAATACGCAGTTCTGATTATGATACTACTGGTGTTATGAATGCCACCAACAGCACTGATTCAGAGGATGTGCAGTAGTTTTAAGGTAAGGTAAGATGTCTCTGAGGAAGTATCATTTTCACTGAAGGAGAGGGAAGAGTGTTCTAAGCAAAGGGAACATCAAGTGCAAAGGCCCAGAGACATGAAAAACCTTTTCATGTCTGAGGTGCAGATAAGAGGCCACTGTAGTTGAGGTGTGTTGTGGGAGAGGAATATCGGGAAAAGCTCAAACTGGAAAGGCCAACCAAGGTCGGGGCAAGGTGAAGAAGTTTGAATTTTATTCCAAGTGAAGGACAAAGCCATTCAAGGGGCCTTGGGAGACACAGAACACTCAGTTCACTTTCTTTCCCTTTTTTCTTTCTTTTTTTGAGATGGGGTCTCGCTCTATCACCCAGGCAGTGGTGTGATCTCGGCTCAGTGCAACCTCCGCCTCCCAGGCTCAAGGGATCCTCCCGCCTCAGCCTCCCAAGCAGCTGGGACTACAGGAATGAGCAACTGCACCCAGTCTCAGCTCACTTTTCTTACCACAAGCTACTTGAGAAATGAAAGAAAAAAATCGCCTCACCTTGAGAAAGTTGCTTGAGATTCCAGGTGCCCGCCTGACAGGCAGGTTCCACGGAGGCATGAGGCTGAAAACCGTGTGCAGTTACAGTTTCTCTTTTTGTTGCATTTGTTTGGAGCACACCCTCCCCTTACTTTCAGAGGCCTCATTCCCTACTTTCTCATCAAAGGCTTCTCTCATACGCCCCAGGCCAGGTCAGAACTTCTGTGTGGTGCGGCAGCACTCCCGGAGCTTCACCATACCTCGCTATGTTTATTTGCGTGGGTTTTCTGGGAATGTTGGTCTCCATGAGGGAGGTTGTGGGTCTTTCCCTGTGATCCTCAGAGCCCTGCACAGGACCTGGCCCATGGTAGTTGCTCATTATAAGAGTTTAGGAGACATGAATAAAATATTGGACTCTCCCTGGGGGAAAGTGGCTGTAGTTGACCTTGCTACTGTGAGATTTCAAATGTAAATAAAATATTTGCCTATTTTGGCATGCACTGAAGTATTAGGAACATGTTTCTACAGCACTTAGGATGGGACACGGTGGTACAGGATGCTGTCCACTAGCCTGATCCAGGCATGCCTAGCATGTGAACCGTAATTCCATTTTCTTATTCTAAGTTGCACATACATGCAGAAAAGTTCATGAGTGATTAGTGTAACACCAGCGATTTTAAGCCCCCATGTAGCCAGCACCCAGATCCAGAAACAGAATATTTCCAGCATCCCACAAGCTTCTTTCCATCTCTGCCTATGCAATGGTACCAACTTGCCTGACTATGTCATCGCAGATCAGTAATGCCAGCTTTTGAACTTCATATACATGGATTATAAAGACTTTTTTCTCTTTTATTTTTAATTGACATGGAATAATTGTACATATTATATTTATAGAATACAGAGGTTTTTTTTTTTTTTTTTGAGACAGGGTCTCACTCTGTCACCCATGCTGGAGTGCAGTGGCACCATCTCAGCTCACTGCAGCTTTGACCTCCTGGGCTCAAGCAAGCCTCCCGCCTCAGCCCCTGAGTCTATAGGCATGGTGACAAAGGAGACTAAAGAAGCATAACAATGAAAGGCATGAAATCTGATTGGATGATGGATTTTAAAACAGCTATAAAGGACATGCTTTTGGACAACTGGGGAAATTTAAATAGTACTGTGAATTAGATGCTAACTTTTAAGAGATGGCAGAGTAGAACCTAACAGTCTTGTGGAGCTGAATGTACAAAAATGGTAGGTTGGTGCCTGCCAAGTGCGAGAGGGAATATTAGGCTTTTATTTATTATTATTACTTTGAATTTTTGTTTTAAAACAATTCTTCATCTTTTCTGTTGTATTCTTCTCAGACTGCTTTCAGGAGCTACCAGAAAATAACACGCAAAGTTTGAGACTCTGGAAGATTTTGCTTTAACTAAGTCACACTGATGTATTAAATTTATCATTTTAGCATTCCCTGTAGATCTTGTCATTCCTTACAAATGACACCCTTTGTCCTGGAGAAGAATACTAAGTTAGAGCTGGTGGGTTTCTAGTTTAGGAGAGTAGCTCGAAAATATAATCTTTAACAAGTTGAAAAATAAAATATGAAATAAGAGGGTGCTTTCTCTTTTTGTGCTCACCTGTATTAAGCAATTTCCTTTCACAGATAGCTCCCTCAAAGGGAAATCCTTTTAATTTAATTTTCTTTTTGGATGATGATTATTCAAAGTCTATGTATTTATTTATTCAATTAATTAAATTTGTTTTTTTGAGGTGGAGTTTCACCCTTTCACCCAGGCTGGAGTGCAGTGGCGTGATCTTGGCTCACTGCAACCTCCACCTCCTGGGTTCAAGAGATTTTCCTGCCTTAGCCCCCCAGGTAGCTGGGACTACAGGTGTCTGCCAAGACGCCCAGCTAGTTTTTTGTGTTTTTAGTAGAGACTGGGTTTCGCCATGTTGGCCAGGCTGGTAGCAAACTCCTGACCTCAGGTGATCCACCCACCTCAGCCTCCCAAAGTGCTGTGATTACAGGTGTGAGCCACTGTGCCCGGCCTATTTATTTATGTTTAAATATTTGTTTCAATAGGTTTTTGGGGAGCAGGTGGTTTTTCGTTACAAGAATACATTCTTTGGTGGTGATTTCTGAGATTTTGGTGCACCCATCACTGCAGCAGTGTCCACTGTACCCAATGTGTGGTCTTTTATCCCTCATCCTCCTGCCTTTTCCCCCAATTCCCCAAAGTCCATTGTATCATCCTTATCCTTTTGCATCCTCATAGCTTAGTTCCCGTGTTAAACTTTTAGTGGGAGCGATGAAAGGACTGTGCCCTACACGAACAGGTGTACCAATCAGTACTTAAATCAACCAAACTCTGAATCTAATCAACTTAATCCCTATTTAGATTAAAGTAATAAACCCCCATTCTCACTGCCTGAAATGTTAATCCACTCTAGAAGCAGATAATGTCTTTTGAGCATTAAATATGCATGTACTTTGATATATTATGCACCATTAAACACGCGATTGCTTTCAATAAAATTTAGCAGGCATTCCAGATTTATTTCACAAGTCTACTTGTACAGATTAGATTTATAAAATCTAATTGCATTAAATGGCCTCACAACTCTGAAACCATCATTCTATGATTATTTTATCTAGTTGAGGAGATAACACACACTCTTCTATAATAAGAGTTAATATTTACTGAGTGTTTACTTTGTGCAAGGCACAGTTCTAACGCTAAGGTGATTTTCACATATTTCTTTTGATCTTCACAGAAACCCTGTGATGCAAGTCCTAATATTATCTCTAGTTTACAGATGAAAACTTTCAAGCACAGAGAATTTAAGCATCTTGTTACTATTCATGGGCTAACAAGTGGCAAAATCAGGCTTTGAATCCAGCCAGCCTGATGCCAAAGTTTGCAGTCTTTTTTTTTTTTTTTTTTTTGAGATGGAGTCTCTGTCTGTTGCCCAGGCCGGAGTGCAGTGGCATGATCTCAACTCACTGCAACCTCCGCCTCCCGGGTTCAAGCGATTCTTCTGTCTGAATCTAACGAGTAGCTGGGACTACAGGCGCCCCCCACAACGCCCGGCTAATTTCTGTATTTTCAGTAGAGACAGGGTTTCACCATATTGGCCAGGATGGTCTCGAACTCCTGACCTCATGATCTGCCCGCCTCGGCCTCCCAAAGTGCTGGGATTACAGGCATGAGCCACCGCGCCCGGCTAAAGTTTGCAGTCTTTAACTGTAGTGGTGTAATTGTCATCAGCCTCTCCTCTGAGCTTAAGACTTGTATATCTCATATGCCTTAAATTACTATAGGTTTATAAAGTCACGGCATCTTGTTAAGCCAGGTTGTCATTCTATCTTGTTCTTATTGATGTGTGTCATGGTCCTTCCATTTAGAATTGCTGGGTACCTCTGCACTCATAATTCACATTCCTATTAATGCCACTTATAGAAAGTGGCAATATGTTTGTCATGGGTGGGGTAGAGAAGAATTGATGAGTAGGAGGCTCCTTAGAAAAATGTTGCCTGGTGTCCAGATGTGTGCTACGTGCATCAACATGTATTTAAAAAGCAAACTAGTTTTCCCTTCTTGTTATGCTTTGAATATGTTCTCCAAAGTTCATGGGTTGAAAAGTTAATCCCTAATGCAACAGTGTTGGGAGATGGGGCCTAATCAAAGGTGATTAGGTTAGGAGAGCTCGGCTTGCCTGACTGGATTAATGGATTAATGTCATTATCTCAGTATCTCGGGAGTGAGTTTGTTATAACATCGAGTGTCTCTCTCTCTCTCTCTTTCTCTCTCTCTTTCCTTCCCTTTCTTCTGCCTTCTACCGTGGGCTGATGAAACAAGAAGACCCTCCCCATATGTGAGCCCCTTGACCTTGTACTTCCCAGCCTCCATAACTGTAAGCAGTAAGTTTCTTTTCATTAAAAATTGTCCAGTCTGTGGTATTCATTATACTTTAGGATAAGATACTTTAGGATAAGATATGATAAGAAGTTGTATGTGGATGAAAATAAGTGTGAGGAATATCAGTTTAAGGCAAATCATGTTGAAAGACAAAATTACAGCACATTTAGATAAAGATCTTATTGGCTTTTATTCGTAATTCATGAATCCTTTTATTCATCCTTCATTCTATGAAATAGAATGAGAGCTCCCACTGGCCAGTGGCAGAACAGTGAATTTTGTAAGGTGGGAAAAAGGAAACAGAAAAATAGGAAAAAAAGCTGATTGGTTCATGTCAAATTACTTCCGGTTACTTTTTAAATAAGGGTTAAAGCAGAGGGGACTTCCTTCTTACACTGACTGAGGTAAAGTGGGATCTCCTATTGTCAGGAAAAACTGATCTGTTTGGGGATTTTTCTGCCATCTTAAAGTTTCAGTTGGATAATGTGGCATTTAGCATGAGTGACTTTATTTTGGTTTGGTCTGGTCCGTTGGGCCTAGTATAGGAGCTCAGTCCAAAACAATGGCCTTCTACAACTTTTGCTTGACAGTATTATCAAATGATCTGTATGAGTTTCTTCCCTGTGAACCTTCATATACAGAATATTGAAGAAAGATACATCTGATTTAGCATTGAAATTCAAATGCAATGCCCTGGGTGAGAGACTGAAGGGATTTGCAACACAGGTGGCCTGAAATAACAAGGTTTCCTTCTGGACTGAGACTAACAAGGTAAATGTTCTCCCTTGGAGAGATGGTGTTACAGATTAGATTCCTGAAGCACAGCCTCAGACAGGGATTCTTGTTCAAGTGATTTATTGAAACAGAGCTTCCAGAAATAGAGATGTGAGAAAACTGAAATACAGCAAAGGGAGCTGAGCTGGAATGTGGTCTCAGCTGGATGTAGCTTAGTCTAATTCCAGGGAGAAGCACTGGAGGTTGAACTGCACCTCACAGTGGCTCTTTGAGGTATGGGAGTGGTCTTCTGTACCCCCATATCACCAAGTCATTGACTGCATTCTGCCTTCTGGGTTTGTAACCGAGCCTGCATTATGAAAATCGTGAGAGATTTGTTTTCCTTATTTTCCCGTCTTCCTCCATGCATGCTGGCTTTCACATAGCCATTTTGGTAGAGGGAGTCACGAGTAATTGGCTAACTTCATATCCTAACTCCTGGGGCTACTTGCAGGGTTAATGAACTTGTTTTTCTAAAGAACAGTGGTCCATGGGGCTGGGTATGGTGGTTCATGCCTGTAATCCCAGCATTTTGGAAGGCCAAAGCAGGAGGATCACTTGAGCCCAGGAGCTTGAGACCAGCCTGGGCAACATGGTGAGATCCTGTCTCTACAAAATGTTTTAAAAATTAGCTGGGTGCTGGGCGCAGTGGCTCACGTCTGTAATCCCAGCACTTTGGATGCCGAGGTGGACAGATCACAAGGACAGGAGCTCGAGACCAGCCTGGCCAACATGGTGAAACCCTGTCTCTACTAAAAATACAAAAAATTAGCTGGGCATGGTGGCACGTGCCTGTAATCCCAGCTACTTGGGAGACTGAGGCAGGAGAATTGCTTGAACTGGGACACGGAAGACAGAGTTTGCAGTGACCCGAGATTATGCTACTGCACTCCAGCCTGGGCTACAGAGTAAGACTCTGTCTCAAAAAAAAAAAAAAAAAAAAAAAAAGTTGCTGGGCATGGTGGTGCACGCCTGTAGTCCCAGCTATTTGGGAGGCAGAGGCGAGATGATCACTTGAACCCAAGAGTTCGAGAATACAGTGAGCTATGATCATGCCCCTCACTGCACTCCAGCCTGGACAACAGAACAAGATCCTGTCTCAAAAACCAACAAACAAAAAAGAAACTGATTCTTAGGTCACACAGACCTCCTTCACGGCATCCAGAAGTTTGATCAGGCCCAAGAATGCAATCAGTTTTGATTATTAGGGCATCTCACCTCCCACACACCTACCTTCCTCATAAAAGCCCTATTATGTTCACAGGCAGGTTAGATCTGAGAGACTTTCTCTCCTACCCTCTCACTTTGGCCAAATGGGATAATCCTCTCTACTCCTAAGCACTGAAGTGTCAATGTTTGGCTGACTGCACGTTGGGAATGTGAACCTAAATTTTGGGGTTCTACAACAAGTTGGAGGAAGTGAGGGGGACCTTCACCTCCGAAGTGAAGTGACTTCTGTTTGACCAAGGACAATTCTCCAGAGCGGGGGGAGCCAGCTTCTCGTGACAGCATCTGAGGGATGAGTGCCCTGATGGGTAAGAAGATCTGGGAGCAAAGTTAATAGCATGCACTACAGATGCAGGACACAGAGCTCAAGAAGGCATGAGAAACAGTAGGGAGGACTTTCCTCCTTCTCCCCTTCAACAGAGTCCCAAGGACATGAACTATAAGGGATTTCTGGACAAAATAGAGGGTAATTTGAGAGAAAGTCTCATGTGCAGGCCCCCAAATTCAGATCAAAAATAGAATTTCTGTAAAATTCTCTGGAATGTTTGGGCTTGGGGAAGTCAAAAGGAATGCAGTACATTGTATTTAGAAAATATCAGAACATAGGGAGTCGCTCAAGTTTCCTGTGGATCTGAGAATAAGTTTGAGGGGTTTATTATATCCATCATCGGCCCACAAAGAATAGCTTTGAGCTTTTTTTTTTTTTTTTTTTTTGAGATGTAGTCTTGCTCTGTCACCCAAGCTGGAGTACCATGGCCCAATCTCGGCTCACTGTAAGCTCCGCCTCCAGGGTTCACGCCGTTCTCCTGCCTCGGCCTCCTGAGTAGCTGGGACTACAGGTGCCCAGCTAATTTTTTGTATTTTTAGTAGAGATGGGGTTTCACCATGTTAGCCAGGATGGTCTCGATCTCCTGACCTCGTGATCCGCCCGCCTTGGCGTCCCAAAGTGAGCTTTTATGCATTCTCAAAACGCGACCCTCTAGGAGTGAGGTCATATGCATTGAAGACATTTTCAGGTTGTAGCCATCAAGGGCGAGAGGATGGGTAAATTTCTATTGGATCTTCCTTTCCTGGGAAAGGAATGAGAAACTGTGCCATCTTCCAGAGTAAAGGCATCAGCTAAGACAATCTACAAAGAGGCCATCAGCAGCTGAGGTTAGAGCAGTCCCACCCTTTTTCTGGATTTCCTGGAGCTGTAGTTATGTCGGTTGTATAGGTTGTAAAATTCAGCATTACGGAGAGAAGAGGGTGGATAAAGCTCAGATATGAAATTCTAATCTGGACAAGAAAACAATTAATGACATTCAATTTATTTTATTAACAAAAGACATGTACATGGTCTTTTTTGAACAATAAAAAATCAATGTATGTAATTTCATAACATAACTAAGAGGTAGTTGGTATTATCCCCATTTTACAGATGAGGAATTAGCATGGATATGTTAAGAAATAACTTGCTAAGGGCACATTTTAGAAGATGACATGGAACTGTACCCAGGCAGTGTGTCTCCAGAGCCTGGGCTGTTAACCAGAAGACTATATTGCCTGTTGTGACAAAACAAAAAATAAAGACTTGGTCTTTGTCCAGGTTCCTGGCACACAGCTCCAAAATCCTTGGATTCTCTGGAGTAAGGAGTGTCTTTTACATGTGAATGAGATGACTGGTGGCTGGGGGCCCCTAGGTAGCTTCAGGATGAGGGCTGCTCACTGGAAAGACCAAGACGTGATTAGAGGGTTGGAATTTTTAGCTCCACCCCGACCTCCAGGGAGGCAAGAGGGACTGTAGATTGAGTTAATCACCCATGACCAATGATTTAATCAATTATGCCTAAGGAATAAAACCTGTCAGTGAGCTTCCGGGTGGGCTAACACTTTAAAGTACTGGGAGCATGGCACACTCAGGGCCTGAGAGTTCTGCACCATCCACCCAGCCCCCCATTTCTTGCTCTATACATCTCTTTCATTTGGCTGTCCTAAGTCGTATCCTTTATAATAAACCAACAATCTAAGTAAAGTGTTTTCTGAGTTCTGCAACCATTTTAGCAAATTATTCAACCTTTGGAGAGGGTCATGGGAACTCCCCAATTTATAGCCAGTTGGTCAGAAGTGCAGGTGGCAGTTGAGACCTTGCGACTGCCACCTGAAGTGGCAGCAATTAGGTGGGTCTGAGCCCTTTAACTTGCGGAGCCTGACGCTGCTATTGTTGTTGGCTGGCCAGTTCAGGTTCTTGACTTCACCGCACAAAAGAATTTCAGAGTCAAGTGCAGAGTAAAAGTCGGCAAAGGAGTTTATTGCAGAGCGAAAGTGCACTCTGAAAGCTAGGTCAGAGGCGGCAGCTTGAGAATGAGACAGCCCAGACTGGCACTGGGAAACTCCCTTTATGGAAGTCTTCCACGATTATTCATGAGGGCATGGAAAGGGGTATTGTTTTTAAGCATGTTGTGGGTGGTCTCCTGGATGCGCATGTGCTATTGCTCTACATATGAGTACATACATCACATGTCTTACTGGTATTTTATTTTATTCATTTTTAGAATGTTTTCTAAATTTCAATAGTTTTGGGGGTACACGTGGTTTTTGGTTACATAGATGAGTTCTTTAGTGGTGAATTCTGAGATTTTTGGTGCTCCCATCACCCAAGCAGTGTACACTGTACCCAGTATGTAGTCTTTGTAGTCATTTTTTTTTTTTTGACGGAGTTTCGCTCTGTTGCCCAGGCTGGAGTGCACCACTGCACTCAGCTTACTGTGATCTCAGTTTACTGCAACCTCTGCCTCCTGGGTTCAAGTGATTCTCCCACTTCAGTCTCCCGAGTAGCTGGGACTACAGGCACCCACCACCATGCCCAGCTAATTTTTGTAATTTTTTTTTAAGTAGAGATGGGGTTTCACCATGTTAGCCAGGCTGGCCTTGAACTGCTGACCTCAGGTGACCTGCCTGCCTCGGCCTCCCAGTGCTGGGATTGCAGGCATGAGCCACTACCCCCAGCCCAATACGTGGTCTTTCATCCCTCACCCCTCTCCCAACTTCCCCACCCCCGAGACCCCAAAGTCCATTATATCACTATGTATGCTTTTGTGTACCCATAGCTTAGCTCCTACTTATAAGCGAGAACATGCAATATTTGGTTTTCCGTTCCTGAGTTACTTCACTTAGAATAATGGCCTCCAGCTCTATCCAAGTTGCTGCAAAAAACATGATTTCATTGCTTTTTATGGCTGCGTAGTATTCGATGGTGCATATATACCACATTATCTTTATTCACCCGTTGGTCAATAGATGCATAGGTTGGTTCCGTATCTTTGCAATTTCAAATTGTGCTGTTGTAAACATGCATTCCACATCTTTTTTTTTTTAAGGGGAGTCTCACTCACTCTGTCGTGCAGGCTGGAGTGCAGAGTGGCGTGATCGCCGCTCACCGCAAATTTCCGCCTCTAGGTTCAAGCGATTCTCCTACCTCAGCCTCCTGAATAGCTGAGATTACAGGTGCACACCAACACACTCAGCTAATTTTTGCATTTTTGGTAGAGAAAAGGTTTCGCCCTGTTGACCAGGCTGGTCAAAATATCGCTGATGCCGCCTGTAATCCCAGCACTTTGGGAGGCCGAGGCGGGCGGATCACGAGGTCAGGAGATCGAGACCATCCTGGCTAAAACGGTGAAACCCCGTCTCTACTAAAAATACAAAAAATTAGCCGGGCGTAGTGGCGGGCGCCTGTAGTCCCAGCTACTTGGGAGGCTGAGGCAGGAGAATGGCGTGAACCCGGGAGGCGGAGCTTGCAGTGAGCCGAGATCCCGCCACTGCACTCCAGCCTGGGCGACAGAGCGAGACTCCGTCTCAAAAAAAAAAAAAAAAAAAAAAAAAAAAAAAATATCGCTGATGCATCCTCTCCCACCGCTAGAGGGCAGCATCCTGGGAATCCGTTTCCAAAGGGCTGAAATTGAGTTTTTAAAGGTCACAGACCCTTTTGGTAAACAAATAAATGCTCTGGACTCCTAATTTTTAGGGCATTTTCTCATGTTTACGGGTTCTTCTATATTCAGAATTTTAAAATATCATTCTCACCAGGAATTGGAACTTACTGAAAAAGAAGAGAGTGAAAGAATTTCTGAGCCAGTGGGAAGTCTGGCCATGTAGTGCAGTGGAATGAAAACTAGGACTCCAGGGGGCAAATGAGGGTAAGCGCTGCTCCTGAAGCAGGGAGTAATTAAAAGACGACAATCACTACCTTAGGTGGAAGGTTGGTGAGTTTAGCCCATGGGATAATATGTGTGCTTTTCTTTTGCGGTTAGGGGTTGAGCCGCAAAATGCTTTAAACTTCAATTTAAGAAGAAGAAGGTGAGAACACTTGGGACATTATTTTCCCTGGTAGCTAATTCTGTTTTCCTAACCCCAATTTGATTTTTTTGGTTACGTAGTGTTTGGCTTCCCCTAGTGGCTTCTCAAGACATATTGGGCCAATTTTCACTAGATTCCCACTGTGACATTATGTTGTCCATGTAATAGTTCAACAATCAGACTCAGATTTGCTAAACATGAAACCTCATTGCTGCATCTGACATTAAATTTTGATTCTTCTCAAATATAACCTGCCTTCTTCTCAAGATAGCGTATACGTGGCCCCTTCCGGAAAGGAAAATGTTCTTTCCAGAGAATTCTTGATTTAAAAAAAATCCATAAGAGACTGGGCGCGGTGGTTCATGCCTGTAATCCCAGCACTTTGGGAGGCTGGGACCCCAAAAGAGAAGCACATATATTATCTCATGGGCTAAACTCACCAACCTTTCACCAATCACCTAAGGTAGTGATTGACCTTTTTTAACTGATCCCCGCTTTAGGAACAGCATTTACCCTCATTTGCCCCCTGGAGTCCCAGTTTTCATTACACTGCAGTGCATGGCCAGGTTTCCCACGAACTCAGAAATTCTTTCACTCCCTTCTTTTTCAGTAAGTTCCGATTCTTGGTGAGAATGATATTTTAAAATTCTGAATATAGAAGAACCTGTAAACATGAGAACATACTCTAAAAATTAGGCGTCCATAGCATTTATTTGTTTACCAAAGGGTCTGTGACCTCTAAAAACGCAATTCCAGCGCTTCGGAAACGGATCCTTAGGATGCTGCCCTCTAGCGGTGGGAGAGGATGCATCAGAGACATCTTCAGGCTCCATCCATTTCCAGCCTTGGAAAAGAAACTGTGTCCTATACTTAATAAGACAGACTGTCTGTCCAGTGATGCCTCTCCAAGGCATAAAGTTGTCTTATAATTATTTCTTACTTAGACTATGTCTTTGTCAATTCAGGTTGTTACAACATCATACCACAGACTCAGTGTCTTATAAACAACAGAAATTTATTTCTCACAGTTCTGGAGGCTGGAGGTCTGAGATCTGGGTGCCAGCATGGCTGGGTTCTGCTGAAAGGCCTCCTCCAGGTTGCACGCTGCTGATTCCTTGTTGTATCCTCACATGGTAGAGAGAGGGCGAGAGAGCTCCTTGGGGTACTTTTTAGAAGGGCACTAATCCCATTCATAAGGGCCCCACCCTCACGAGTTAATCACCACCCTAAGACCCTACCTCTTTATGCCGTGACATTGCCGGGGGGGTTACGATTTCAATATAAATATGAGGGGACACAAGCATTCTGTTTATTGCAGACCGTTGCCATACCTTAGATATTCATCTTATGAGCTGAGACATTAAATGAGGGAGTGAATGAGCCTGAGCTTTTATTACAATAATTAAATGGGGACCTGGGAAATCCAGCCAAGCTGTCAGTGCCCACTTCTTTTACCTGAAAAGCCAGTCCTGAATTCCTAATTTAACTCTGCTCAGATGACCAAGAGATACATGGGTCTTTATTGACCCCAAGGCATCTAGCACAATCGGCGTGTCTGTAGAAACAAGGAGAAAACTTTTTCCAAGTGCTTCCTGGATGTCTTCTGATGTCCACATCCTAGTCCCATAAATGCTATTTGCTTGAGGAAATCCATGTGATAATCTTGAGGCAAGACAGGTAGTCAAGGAAGAGACCATGTTTTTGGGATGCAGCAACCTTGGTGGCCATACAATCAACACAGTAAGCCTCAGCATTCACATTGTAATAGAGCTCATTCAAGCAAAGCTCCCTTCAGTAGAGGATTTCGTTTCTAGAAAGAATGTGCATTTTAATTTTACCTGTCCTCAAGCAGATCTGTTGCTCATTATAATAGTAAAAAACACATCTCTGGGTGGAGATTTAAGATGCTAATGAGACACATGATGTATGAACAGGCATGTACAGCTACTGTGCGTGTGCACCCAGAAGACCACCCAGAACATGCTTATTAGTAACACCTTTTCCCACCTCCTTATGAATAATCATGTAAGTTTCCCAGAAATGAGGTTTCTCCAGCAAAACGCAACACTGTCTCATTCTCATGAGCAAACTACTCTGACCTCTCTCTCTTAGGGTGTACTGTCTATTCTGCACTTAACCTTCAAAGTATTCTTTTGCAATAGATTACTCTATGCTGCATCTCTTTTGCTGTGTGTCTCTTGTTTAAATTCTTTTTTCTTAAATCAACTTTTATTTTAAGTTCCGGGGTGCATGTGCAGGAAGTGCAGGTTTGTTGCATAGGTAAATGTGTGCCGTGGTGGTTTGCTGCAGGGATAATCCCATTGCCTAAGTATTAAGCCCAGCATTCATTAGCTATTCTTCCTGATGCTCTCCCTTCCCCTGCCCCCCTGACAGGTTCCAGTGTGTGCTGTTCCCTCCCCTGTGTCCGTGTGTTCTCATCATTTACCTCCCACTTATAACTGAGAACATGCGGTGTTTTCTGTTCCTGCATTAGTTTGCTGAGGATAACGGCTTCTACCTCCATGCATGTCCCTGCAAAGGACATGATCGCGTTCCTTTTTACGGTGGCATAGTATTCTATGGTGTATATGTACCACATTTTCTTTATCCAGTCTATCATTGATAGGCATTTGGGTTGATTCCATGTCTTTGCTATTGTGAATAGTGCTGCAGTGAACATTCGTGTGCATGTATCTTTATAATAAGAATAATTTATGTTCTTTTGGGTATATACCCAGCAATGGTATTGCTGGGTCGAATGATATTTCTGGTTCTAAATCTTTGAGGAATCGCCACACTGTCTTCCACAATGGTTGAACTAATTTACATTCCCACCAACAGCATAAAAGCATTCCTTTTTTTCTGCATCTTGTTTAAATTCTTTTAAACTAAGAAGACAAGAACTGAGTTATCACAACAGCCGTCAACAATCTCTGTGTGTAGACAATCAACAATTTGTTGTTCTTCAACGCCTCTGGAGCCTGAAGTTGTCAGATGAACCCTCATGGGTCAGCTGTAAGGTGAGGCAGAGCCTGGGCCAGTGCTTTGAGGCTGTATGTGTAGTGGTAGGTTGTGTCCTATATAACTGCCTCATTGGGAAGGGACACAGACTTATCATCAGTAACATAACATTGTATACTTTCAAAACATGCTAATAGGCTGGGCCCATTGGCTCACGCCTCTCATCCCACCACTTTGGGAGTGCCTCGGCCTCCCAAAGTGCTGGGATGACAAGCGTGAGCCACCATGCCCAGCCTATGACAATTTTCTATCAGATGAAAATAAATTATCTTGAGGAAGAGTTCTTTTTTCAGTTGCTACACTGATGTTTAATTTAAAAGATATTGCTCTTTCTCCTCTTTTCTGCTGGTGCTCAGCAATTCTGTGCCATCCCATTTCTTTGTCTCAATCTTAACAGTTGCCTCGAGGGTGGGTTTTTTACCTTCTAAGGGTATATATTTTTTGGGTTCTGCTTTTGCAAGGCCCTTTCTGTATTCCCAGATGTTCCCTGCTGCAAATATCATTGCATCCTTGTCATGCTGCTGTCTGCTGTGAGTCCCAACACTGATTCTGCGGGTTCCAAGTATGGTTGTTATTTGATGTTGTGGTGGGGGAGGGGGTGGGGGATGGAATTTCTCATTCCTAGAGCCTTCTCATGCTTCTTCTATTCAATTCTTAAGGATCAGACTTTTGAAGGGCTTAGTCTTGGGTTCCCCATGTTTCCACATCTGTGTTAGTTTCCTTTAGGCCATATCAAGTCTGCACGTGTTTAAGATATGTGCTGAATATGCCAAGTTTATCTCTACCATAGACCTCAACCTTTTCTACTGGAGCTCCAGACATATTAACATGTAATTTCTGCCTTAACATCACTACTCACATTTCTTCTGGACACCTGTCACTATTAATGCAAATCAGGTTCTCCTCCATTTTTCCCTGTACCAATATGGAAACCCTCTCCACTTAGCTGTTCCTGAACGGGAGTAATCTTTGACATACTCTCCCTCACATTGAATAAATATAAATCCTGCTCTCTCCCTTTCTCTCTCTCTTTTTTTAACATGTAAATGTTTCAAAAATCTGGTCTATTGGCTGGGCGTGGTGGCTCAAGCCTGTATTCCCAGCATTTCGGGAGGCTGAGGCAGGTGGATCACTTGAGGTCAGGAGTTCAAGACCAGTTCGACCAACACGGTGAAAACTTATCTCTATTAAAAATACAAAAATTAGTCAGGTGTGGTGGCACATGATTGTAGTCCCAGATACTCAGGAGGCTGAGGCAGGAGAATCACTTGAACCTGAGAGGCAGAGGTTGCAGTGAGCCAAGATTGTGCCACTATACTCCAGTCTTGGCAACAGAATGAGACGCCATCTCAAAATAAATAAATAAATAAATAAATAAATAAATAAATAAATAAATAAAATAAAAAAAGAAAAAAGAAAAATCTGGTCTATTTCTATCTCCTTTGAAACTGGTATTGACTCCTTGGATGTACAATTTAATGTGGGATGCTGTCTCAAATTGATTTAAGAATGGTTCATAAAAGTAGGTGATTGACACTACCAGTGAGAAAAGATGGATGTGTCTATCAAAGCCAGTATGCCAGGACCAATAGAATAGCACATGCCTTTTTTGTATTGTTTTTAATTTTTAATTTTATTTATATGGGAACATTGTAGGTGTATATATTTATGGGGTTCATGAGATATTTTGATCCAGGCATGCAATGCATAATAATCACATCATAGAAATTGGGGTTTACATCCCCTCAAACATTTATGCTTTCTGTTATGAACAATCCAATTATACTCTTTTAGTTTAGGGTTTTTTTTTTTTTTTTTTTTTTTGACAGAGTCTTGCTCTGTTGCCCAGGCTGGAGTGCAGTGGCACAAGCTCAGCTCACTGCAACCTCTGCCTCCCAGGTTCAAGGGATTCTTGTGCCTCAACCTTTCTGAGTAGCTGGGACTACAGACATGCGCCACCACGCCCAGTGAAATTTTTGTATTTTTTGGTAGATACGGGGTTTCACCATGCTGGCCAGGTTAGTCTTGAACTCCTGGCCTCAAGTGATCCACCCACCTTGGCCTTCCAAAGTGCTGGGATTACAGATGTGAGCCACCATGCCCGGCCTCTTTTAGTTATTTTTAAATGTACAGTTATTGACTATAGCCACCTGGTTGTGTTATCAAATACTAGGCATTATTCATTCATGCTAACTATTTTTTGTACCCATTAACCATCTGCATCTCTCATCCCCAGCCCTCTACTATCCTTCCCAGCCTCTGGAGACCGTCCTTGTACTCACCATTTTCATGAGTTCAATTGTTTTTGATTTTTAGATCCACAAACAAGTGACAACATGTGATGGTTGTCTTTCGGTGCCTGGCTTATTTCACTTAGCGTAATGAACTTCACTTCCATTTATGTTGTTACAAATTGCAGGATCGCATTCTTTTTTATGGCTGAATAATACTCCCTTGTGTATAAGCACCACATTTTCTTTATCTATTCATCTGTTGCTGGACACTGAGGTTGCTTCCAAATCTTGGCTGATGTGAACAGTGCTGCAGTAGACATGGGGGTGCAGATATCTCTTCAACATACTGATTTCCTTTCTTTTGGATATATACCCAGCAGTGAGATTGCTGGATTTCCATTTTTAGTTTTTTGAGGAATCACCAAACTGTTCTCCATAGTGTTTGTACTAATTTACATGTATTCTTTAACAAAATTTTACTTTACTGTGGTAAAAATGCTTGACATGACATCTACCCTCTTAACACATTTTTTATGTTTGCAGTACAGTGTTGTTAACTATTGGCACAGTGTTGTACAGACAATTTCTAGAACTTATTCATCTTGTGTAAGTGAAACTTTATGTCCGCTGGTTAGCAATATCCCATTTACCCCTCCTCCCGACCCCCAGTAACCACGATTTTACTCTCTGCTTCTCTAATTTTGACTATTTCAATCACCTCATATAAATGGAATCCTGCAGTATTTGTCCTTCTGTGGCTGGCTTATCTGCTTAGCATAATGTCTTTAAGGTTCATCCATGTGGTTGCATATTGCAGGATATCCTTCTTTCTAAAGGCTGAATAATTTTCCATTGTGTGTATACACCACATTTTTTTTATTGAATCATCTGTCTATAGTCATTTAGGTTGTTTCCATATCTTGGCCATTGTGAATAGTGCTGCAATGAACAATGGGATGCTAATATCTTTTTGAAATCCCGATTTCAACTTCTTTGCTATATTCCCAGGAGTGGGATTCCTGGGTCATATGGTAGTTATATTTGTAATTCTTTGCAGAAGTTCCATACTGTTTTCTATAGTGGCTGCACCATTTTGCATTCCTACCCACAGTGCACAAGGCCTCCAATTTCTTCACATCATTGCCCACACTTGTTATCTTTTGTTCTTTCGAAAATAGCCATGCTAACAGATGTGAGGTAATATCCCACTGTGGTTTTGATTTGCATTTCCCTGGTGATTCAGCATCTTTTAAAAAAAGTATCGATTCACCTGATGCTCACAACAACTATATGAGATAGATACAACTATCCTCATTTTTCAAAAAAGGAAACTGAGGTATAGAGAGTTTAAGAAACTTGCACAAGGTCACAGAGCTAAGAATTAAGACAGCAGAGGTTTGAACCAGGCTTGCTCCAGAACCTGAACTATTTTTGTTTGTTTTGATTCAGCATCTTTTCATGGTTATTATTGTGGTAATAGATAGACACGTAAGCAATATCAAAACTTCTTGGGGAGCCAGACGTAGTGGCTCACTCCTGTAATACCAGCACTTTCAAGGGCTGAGGTAGGTGGATTGCTTGAGTCCAGAAGGTTGAGTCTGCAGTGAGGTATGATCCTGCCAGTGCATTCCAGCCTGGGCAACATAGAAAGACTGTCTCTACAAAGATAAAAAAAATTAGCTGGGCATGGTGACATGTGCCTGTAGTACCAGCTATTAAGAAGGTTGAGGCAGGAGGATCACTTTAGCCCTGGGGTTCGAGGCTTCAGTGAGCTGTGATCACACTGCTGCAAGCCAGCCTGGGTGACAGAGAAAGAGCTTGTCTCTAAAACACAAAACAAACAAACAACAACCAAAAACACAAAAAAAACATGAACAAAACTTTCCGAGGAAAATCATGGAAGAACACTCTGAGGGCCTAAAGATGACAAAAGCAACCATTCTTTTTACATGAAGTGTCTGGGAGTTTGTGGAAACTCAGGGACCACAGAAACTTGGAGGATAATTAGGTCTACAGGTTTTGGCTTTTCTGTATGTCTCCAGAGGACCTCAGGCTAGAGAGGTCTGGAAAGGTCTGAGCCCAGTCTCCTGGATCACACTTTGTGACCCCTGAAAGCTTTTGGGTGCACCCTGAGTGGTCCTGAGTGGAGGGAGGGGAGATAGACCTCCAGAAAGCCATGCATCAGGGTTCAAGGTACATCTGCCTGACCAACTGACACTTAACTCCTGAGTTAAGGAGCCCCTCTAAGAACAACTTCATCCCTAACTCATCAGTATCGAGTTCCTTTTGCCAATAGGATCATTTCCTGGTCCTCTCAGCTCCTTACACCAGTGATATGGGAATGTCTGGCATACATAGAGGTATATGACAGTAAGGGGTCAATAACTATGTGTTGAATGAACAAACAACTCAAAAGAGAGTCACACGCCCAAAGCCATATTTCTTCCTTCCATAGCCCAACACCCTTCCATCTTCTGCATAATATCATGAGATGCTTTGGCTCTGTCTCTATTTCAGGGGCAACCATTGACATTTTAACCACCTGCACCTTTCCCAAGCCACACTCTGTACACCCTACCCAGGATGAATTTCCACATGTGCCAAATCTTCCCTTGGGATCTTTCCTATTAGCGAGAGCCAAGTCCTGGCTAATACTAGGAAGATTTTACTATCATTAGCTTAAGTGTGGGGATTGGGAGACACTCTGGCACCTTCTGGGAGATGCTGTGATCATGCACATTATAAAAGAGTGTAATGAGGTGGATATTTTTATTGCAAGATTCTCTGCCCCTTACAATATATCCACTGAAGTCAGGAAAGTATCTCCCTTCACCTGCACCATTTTCACAGACTGTGGTGAAAGGGAGTGGGCAAACATATAGGTGGACTTCCCATTCACAAACACCTGGGGAAAGAGATGTACTGTTTGTGAGCTCAGAACATTCAGACCTCCACCTTCCCTTTCCTCAAATGCCTTTCCTCTCATTGCCTGTAAAAATTTCTATTCTCCCTCAAAACAAAACAGCTCAAATATCTCCTTCTCCAGGAAACATGGCCAAGCCTTGGCTGCAGTAAATCATCCTCCATTGTCCCACTTCTTTGCTTCCAGAGCTTCTCATCCCTGGTCTACCCTGATGACAGCAAGCCTGTAATTTTCCCTCAACATTCCTGACTGTCCTTGAGGGCAGGAGATGTGTTGGATTCACCTCTGAATCTGTACTTGCACAGCACACACTGCAGTGCTTAAAAAGTTGTCTTCAATATTTTCCTCAGGGTCAAGACTGCTGCCATGCACAGGAGACATGTCCTCCGCCCTCAGGGATGAAGGACTGCAGTGGGGAATGTGTCTGTGATCTGTGTTTTCTCAATGAGAAAGAGACAGTGACCAATAAGGTTCAGAGTTTTGATGTTTCAGCTCCATCTGCAAGAATGAGCATGTTTTATGGAGAAGACAAGGAGAGCACCAGAACCAGAGGTCAGCTTTTGTGGCTGGGGCTTGTGTGCAGCAAAGGGCATGGTAGGATATGGAATCCAATTTTTCTACTGAGACCAGATCAGATTTGGACTCAGTTCCTCCACAGCAGCCCCACCCCAGCCACTGAGGTCCATGCCCCTCACCCCTTAGGGCCCACATACCTGGTACTGATTGTCCAGCACCAAAACTCACAGCTCAAAAGACTTCCCTGTCACAAAGGAGCCAGAGAAACATGTTTTTCTCATTCCATAACCCTTTCTGGATGCTGTTCATCACTACCACATTGCTCGAGTACACTGGGAAGTGGAATGTCATGGTGGCGCCTTCCTTGGGATATTCACAGAAATCCACCTGGAATTCTGGACTCCTTCTGCAGAGACAGGAAAACGACTTTCTCCATAAAGCCATTACTATAGGAAATGTAACCTCCTGAGAGCAAACACAGTCCTTCTTGCTCTCTCTGTCTCAAACATCTACTTACCTTTATTAGTTTGCCCCCACCCCAACACACACAGGCACACACATGTGGAAAGGAAATCCTGCCTGGAGTGTATCTCAGGCTCTTACATCAGCCACCTCTGCTCATTTTGGTGACTGGAGAAGTCTGAGTTGTCTCTATTGTGGGTCCCAAGGCATGCTAATACTTCCCCTTTTCCCATCACCCTCCATTACACACAAACTGCAGTCTACTCCATTAGAGGGGGACATGAGATTTATCATGATCTTCATCATATGACCCACAATCAGGGAAACAGACAGTCAGCAGGGGTTGAGATGTGGGAGAGATGGATGCATCAGTAGGTGAAAGCCAAGACTTTGTTTCCTACATTGATGCCCAGGTAGAATCAGGACACAGAGCATGGTTTCCTCTTGCAGCTAAGAGACGCAGGCATGCCCCTGACAAGGAGATATTAATCTGAATCCAGACACACACACTCAGGGGCACAGACACACATTTTATATACAACTAATTCCAAACTTAAATAAAAATACAAAAAAACAGAGAATTAGGCAAATCCAGCCATTCTCATTGACAAACATATACATATTCTCTTTTGCACTATAGGCCAGTATGTGTGTAACCAAATCTAGGTTCAGCTGCTCGCCACTCAAAAGCCAAAGTCAAGAGACGAGAGTTGGTGTGAGGAGAAGCAGGTTTATCGGGAAGCAGCAACCCAAGGAGGTGGCAGGCTAGGGTTGCAAAGACCATCTCAAGTTTCTTAGGCTGGCTGGAGGGTTCTTATGGGAGGGCGATATGAGGAAACTATGCTCAGGGGTTGGGATCAAGAGGTGACTGAAGTCTGCAGACATCTGGGTACCAGTGAGGCTCTGAGAAGATTGGGAACTTCTTTGTCCTTGGTCAAGTCACAATGCTTCTATAAATCTTCAGGAAAACATAGTTAGTTGTTTCCATATCTCCCCTTTAATTGTACAGTTTACTTAAAAAACTACATGGTTGCTTTTGTGTTTTATCTCAGTGCTTTAAAATTATCTTAACTTACATGCAGGAATGGGTAAATGCCTCTTAAACAAAAGTGGAGTTTGTTTTGGTAGTTCCTTTGCTGTTTCACTGTTACATGTGTTCAATGATTTGTGCCCGGGTGACCTCCTCACTCAGAGGGAGATGTAGGATTTGCCTTGAACTTTATCAAATGACTCAGGGAAACAGTCAGTGAACCTTGGAGAAAAAGGTTCCAGACAGAGATATTAGCTACTGACAAGGACCATTATGAGGAAGTGTCAATAGAAGTTTTAAGGAGCAACAAGGAGGCCACTGTGTCTGGAGTAGAGGGGGAAAGAGGTAGGAGATGAAATTGAAGAGAATATGGAAAAATAGATCACAGAGAAACTTATGGACCATTATTAAGGAATTTGGCTGTAAGTGAAAGATGGGAGGCATGGACAGAGGACAGATATGATCATGCTTATATTTTAAAAGGATCCGCCTTGCTGCTGTGTACAGAATGGACTACGGATAGGCATGGACAGAAGAAAGAGTATTTGTAAGGCTATGACAGTAATCCTCCAGTGACAATGGTAACTCAGATCAGATTTGTGGAAGTAGAGCTGGTAGAATTGGTCAGAATATTTATATGTTTTACAGGAAAAGCAAACTGTATTTCCTGGTGAATTAGATGTGAGATGTGATAAAAAGAGAAGAATCAGGAATGACTACCGGGATTTTGGCCCAAGACACTGGGCGGGTGAGGAAGTCATAAATTAAGATTGGCAAAGCTGTGGATGGAGCATGTTTAAGGGGGAAGAATATCAGGAGCTCAGCTTTGGAAATCTTGAGTTTGAGATGCCTGTTGTATGTCCAAGTGCAGGGAGTTGAATACATGAGTTTAGAGTTTGGTACAGAAGTCTGGATTGGGGATATAAATTTGGAGCTTGTAACAGATAGATAACATTTAAAACGTGAGAGGCTGAGATCACCAAAGAGTAAGTACAGCTGAAAAAGAGAAGGGAAACGGCATTGGGTCAACCCAAGATAAAGAAGTCAAGAGAAAAGGAGGAAGCAGTAAAGGACATTGAGATGGAGCAAACAGCGAGATGAGAAGAAACTAAGAGAGTTCAGTGTCCTGGTGGCTAAGTGAAGAAAGTTTATCAAGCAGGAAGAAATAATCAACTGGCAGGTTAAGTAAGAAGAGACCTGATAACTGACCATTATGTTTAGCAATATGCAGGCCATTAATGACTTTAACAGAATCATTTCTATGAGGTGGAAGGATAGAAGGCCACTTCAGACTCAGTTTAAGGACAAATGAGTGAAGAAATTGAAGAAAGTAAGACTATGCAGTTTATTTTTCATATTAAGTAATCAATATAATTTTTTCATCTATTATAAGAAAACTTGCGTGGCTGTTCTTTATTTTATCCTTTAAATCCTTTACAAAGATGCTCAAGATTCTTTTTTTCAAAAACTTTAGATTTGGGGGTACCTGTGCATGTTTGTTACATGGGGGTATTGCACAATGGTAGGGATTGGGCTTCTAGTGTACCTGTCACTCAAAAACTGAACACTGTGTTCAATAGGTAATCTTTCAATCCTCACTCCCTCCTCTCTCTGCCCTTTTTTGGAGTCTCCAGTGTTTATTATTTCCATTTTTTATGTCCATATGTATCCATCGTTTACCTCTCATTTTAAGTGAGAACATGCAGAATTTGATTTTTTTGCTTCTGAGTTTGTTATCTTAGGATAATAGCCTTCAGCTTCATCCACATTGCTGTAAAGGATATGATTTTATTCTTTTTATGGCTACATAGTATTCCACAGTGTGTATGTAGCATATTTTCTTTTCTTTTCTTTTCTTTTTTTTTCACCCTGTTGCCCAGGCTGGAGTACAGTGGCATGATCTCGGCTCACTGCAACCTCTGCCTTTTGGGTTCAAGTGGTTCTCCTGCCTCAGCCTCCCGAGAAGCTGGGATTACAGGTGCGTGCCACCACACCCGGCTAATTTTTGTATTTTTTGTAGAGTCGAGGTTTCACCATGTTGGCCAAGCTGGTCTCGAACTCCTGACCTCAAGTTATCTGCCCGGCTCGTGATCCTCCCAAAGTCCTGAGATTATAGGTGTGAGCCACTGTGCCTGGCCATATGTAGCATATTTTCTTTATCCAATCAACTGTTAATGTACACTTAGATTGGTTCCATGAACTTTCTATTGTGGATAGTGCTGGAATAAACATAGGAGTGCAGGCCGGGCGCTGTGGCTCATGCCTGTAATCCTAGTACTTTGGGAGGCTGAGACAGGTGGATCATCTGAGGTCAAGAGTTTGAGACCAGTTGGGCCAACAAGGTGAAATACTGTCTCTACTAAAAATAGAAAAATTAGCTGGATGTGGTGGCATGCACCGGTAATCCTAGCTACTCTACTCGGGAGGCTGAGGCAGGAGAATCGCTTGAACCTGGGAGGCAGAGGTTGCAATGAGCCGAGATCGTGCCATTGCACTCCAGCCTGGGTGACAAGAGCAAAACTCCATCTCAAAAAAAAAAAGTAAATAAAAATAAACATAGGAGTGCAGGTGTTTCTTTTCCTTTGGGTAGGTACCCAGTAGCAGGATTGTTGGGTCGAAGGGGAGCTCTATGTTTAATCCCTTGAGATATCTACATACTGATTTTCGTAGAGGTAGAACCAATCTACCTTCCCATGAACAGTGTACAAGCATTCCCTTTTCTCTGCATCCATGCCAACATCTGTTGTTTTTTTGACATTTTATTAATAACACCCAAGAGGAAACAAAGAAATGGAATCACAGCTAGCAGAAGAATGAGATCAAAAGATGGACTTCTCTCTATTGTCTGGATTAAAAGTTTTAATTGACGGAGAAGTTGCAGTTTTATTGAAGCAGCTGCACAAATAGAAAGGCTTTTATTTTTTGTTCACTATTTGAAGAAAAATTTTTCACCATTTTTTGAGAAGCATTCTTAAGATTGTTGGCCTCACTATATTTTTATTTGCTAATATCCTTAAATCGACTTTCTGCTTCAGACAAGAATTGAAAGAAGTGGCTTATAGACCCTGAATCTGGAAAAATGTCAGTGGAGAAGTTTAACTGTCTTTCTTTTTAATTATTTCAATTTCTTTGTTAAATACACTTGAAAGCATTCTGAATTCCATCTTTGTGTTATCTTGAATTTCTTTGAGTTTCCTCAACACAGCTATTTTTCTCTGCCTGAAAGGTCACATCCCTCTGTTTCTCCAAGATTGGTCCCTGGTGACTTATTTAGTTCATCTGGTGAGGTCATGTTTTTCTGGATGGTGTTGATGCTAATAGATGTTCTTCAGTGTCTAGGAATTGGAGGATTAGGTATTTGTTGTAATCTTCACTGTCTGGGCTTATTTGTAGCCATTCTTCTTGGGAAGGCTTTCTGGATATTTGAAATAACTTGGGTGTGGTGACCTAAGCTGTATCTGCTTTAGAGGATACCCCAAGTCCAGTAACATGATGCTTCTTGCAGACTCTTAGAGGTACTGCATTGATGGTCTTGGACAAGATCCAGGAGAATTCTCTGAGTTATGAGGCAGAGACTCTTGTTCTTGTCCCTTAACTTCTACCAAACACACAGAGTCTCTCTGTGCTGGGCTGCCTGGAGCTGTGGAAAAGGTGACACAAACACCATTGTGGTCACCACCACTATGACTGTTCTGGGTCAGACCTGAAGCCAGCACAGTACTTGGTCTCCTCAAAGGCTTTCTGTAACCACTGCCTGGCTGCTGCCTATGTTTGCTCAAGAACCTGGGGCTCAATATCAGCAGGTGGCAAATATCCCCCAGGCCCTAGGTGGGTCCAGAAGTGCCATCCAGGAGTCAGGGACTGGAGTCAAGGACCTTAGAAGCCTACCTGGTGTTCTATTGTATTGTGGCTGAGCTGGCACTCAGACCACAAGGCATAGTCCTTCCCACTCTTCCTTGCTCTTTCCAAAGGCAGTGGTCACCCCATAGCCACTGCCACTCTAGGCCACAAGGAATACTGCCAGACTCCCTCTGATATTCTCTTAGGGCTCAACAGCTCCTAGGTCAGCTTGTAGTGAATGCTGCCTGGCCTGGGGCTCACCCTCCAGGGCAGTGGGCTCTCTTCTGGCCCAGGGCTGGTTCAGAATTGCTGTTCAAGAGTCAAGTCCGAGTCAATGACTCTAAGACCCCGATTGGTGCTCTACTCCCTGTGGTCATGCTGGTACCTAAGGTGCAAGACCAAGTCCCCCTTGCTTTTCCCTCTGCTTTACTCAAGCAGGAGCCTTGCCTCATAACAGCCACAGACAGGAATGTGCTGAGTCTCTTCTGAAGTCACAGGTCTCAGAGGCTCACCCAAGGCCCTCAACGTAGTACCTGGGTATCACTGCTGGTTATTTGGGGTCCAAGGTGATAAATAGCTATTCAGTTAGCAGGTGATGAATGCTTCCAGGAATGGGTCCTTTCCTTGAAGACAGCAAGTTTCCTTCTGGCTCAGGGTGTGTCTAGAAATGCCATCTGGGAGCTAGGGCCTGGAACGGGGGCCTCATGACTCCAACCAATGTCCTATCCTGCTGTGGCTGAGCTGATATCCTAGATGCAAGGCAAAGCTTTTCCCACTCTTCCCTCTCCTCTCTTTAAGTGAAAGAAAGGGGTCTGTTTTGGAGCTGTGAGCTGTGCAGCTTGGAGTTGGGGAGGAGATGCCAGTACTCCCTTGGCTGCCCAAGCTGGTGTTTTTGTATGTCATGTGCATCCCAAGTCCGCTATTTCTGGCCCTAGTTCAGCACTAGGGCTAGCCTAAGAGTTGCAGTCCTTACAGCCTAGACTGCTTTTCCAGGTTACTTGGAGACACAGAATGCTGTAGCTCTCAGTGGTGAGATTCGCAGACACTCAAGTTCACTCAAGTTCAAGATCACTGGGATCTGTGATTCCCCTCTGGCTAGCGCTAGTGTAAATGCTTCCTCCATGAGCAGGCATCAGCTGAATTTGGTCCAGTTTTACTTTCTGCTCTAACGGACAGCACTGAGTTCAGTGCTTCACGACTGCTCTGTTCTTCCTCTCCCAGCTCCCAGAGAAGATCTCTGTACCACTCTGCTGCTGCCAGGGAGTGCCGGGGGAGGTGGTGCCTGAGATTCAGGGCTGTTTTTTCTCTCTTCAGTGCCTCTTTCAGCAATATATAGTTAAAACCAGGGCCTACGAGTGCTCACCTGATTTTTGGTTCTTCTGAGGGTGTTTTTTTTTTTTTTCCTGGTTAGATTCTTGTTAACCTGGTATCTTTGCAGGGGTATGATCAGTGGAGCCTTCTATTCCACCATCTTGCTCCTCTGCCTTCGTAATTGGCTTTCAAACTAGCAAAATTATATTTACATTTCCACCTGTATCTTAGGTTTACTTATGCACACACCAATTGTGTGATGCTCCCTGGAGTGGAGAATAATAGGAGAGTCCTTACAGCAGAAATCGGGTAAGAAATACTGGCCCCCAGAAGGTACATCAGTGGCATTTCTTCAGTGGGTCCCAGAAAACAAACGACTCTTTCTGAAAACAACCATTAGATGTATTTAATCCTGTTTTGTTGGCATCCTGGAAGTGGACCATGGTAGAATTGATCAGAATACTGATATATTTTAAAGGAAGAGCAAACTATATTTCTTGGTGAATTGGTTGTGGGTTGTGATAAAAAGAGAATAAAGAATGACTACCAAGATTTTTGCCCAAGACTCTGGAGGAGCAAAGAATTCATAAACTGAGATCGGCAAAGCTGTGGATGGAACACATTAAAGGAGAAGACTATTAGGAGATCAGCTTCGGGAATCTTGAATTTGACTTGCCTGTTGTATGACCACGTGCAGACAGTTTACTATATGAGTTTAGAGTTTAGTAGATAGGTCTAAATTGGGGATGTAAATTGGGGCCTGTAACAGATAACATTTCAAACTTGAGAGGTTGAGATTATCAAGGGAGTAAGTGCAGCTTAAAAAGAGAAGGGGAACAGCATCGGTCAATCCAAGATAAAGAGGTCAAGAGAAAAGGAGGAAGCAGTAGAGGACACTGAGATGGAGCAAGAAACCAAGAGATTCCAGCGTGCTGGTGGCTAAGTGAAGAAAGTTTATCAAGGGGAAAGAATAATCAACTGGCAGGTTAAGTAAGATGAGGACTGATAACCGACCATTATGTTTAGCAATGCGCAGGCCATTAACGACTTTTATAGAAATCATTTCTATGAGGTGGAAGGAGAGAAGGCCATTTCAGACTGAGTTTAAAAAGAAATGAATGGCTGCATAAATATCTTCTTTTGAGAAGTGTCTGTTCATATCCTTCGCCACTTTTTGATGGGGTTGTTTGTTTTTTCTTGTAAATTTGTTTGAGTTCATTGTAGATTCTGGATATTAGCCCTTTGTCAGATGAGTAGATTGCAAAAATTTTCTCCCATTCTGTAGGTTGCCTGTGCATATGTACCCTAAAACTTAAAGTATAATAAAAAAAAGAAATGAATGAAGAAAATATAACAAAGTAAGAATAGGCAGTTTTTTCCTTTCGAGTAATCGATATGATTTTATCATCTATTACTATAAGAAAGCTTGCATATTCTTTAATGATTTTATCCTCTAAACCCTGCATAAAGAAGGTCAAGATTCTTTTTTTTTTTTCAAACATTTTACATTCAGGGGGTACATGTGCATGTTTGTTACATGGGTGTACTGCATAATGGCAGGGATTGGGCTTCTGGGGTACCCATCACCCAAATACTGAACATTGTGTTCAATAAGCAGTCTTTTGATCCTCACTCCCCCATCTCTTTGCACCTCTTGGAGTCCCCAGTGTCTATTATTTCCATTTTTATGTTCATGCGTACCCATCATTCACCTCTCACGTATAAGTGAGAACATACAGTATTTGATTTTCTGCTTCCGAGTTAGTTCACTTAGGATAATAGACTCCAGCTTCATCCATGTTGCTGCCAAGGACAAGATTTTATTCTTTTTATGGCTACATAGTGTTCTACAATGTATATGTAGCACATTTTCTTTATCCAGTCAACTGTTGATGGACACTTAGGTTGGTCCCATGAATTTGCTATTGTGAATAGTGCTGTAATAAACATAAGAGTCCAGGTGTCTTTTTTATATAATCATTTTTTTCCTTTAGGTAGGTGCTCAATAGTGGGATTGCTGAGTCAAAATGTAGCTTTATTTTTGATCCCTTGAAATATCTCCACACTGTTTTCCATCGAGGTAGAACAAATATACCTTCCCACGAACAGTGTACAAGCATTCCCTTTTCTCTGCATCCATGCCAACATCTGTTGTTTTTTGACTCTTGAATATTACCCAAAGGATAGGCACTTCTTTCAGGGAGATTTGTGGCAAGAGGAGGCAAAGAAATGAGGCCACAGCTAGCAGAAGAATGAGATCAAGAGATGGACATTTCTTTATTGTTGTGGCCTTAAACTTTTAATTGATGGTGGGGTTGCAGTTTTATTGAAGCAACTCCACAAATGGAAGGTTTTTCTTGTTGTTATTCACTATTTAAAGAAAATTCTTTCCAACATTTTCAGAAGTATTCTTGAGATTGTTGGCCTCACTCTATTTTTATTTGCTTGACAGCACTGGGATTGACTCTGCTGAAAGTTAATTCAAAGCCCTCGATGTGGTACCTGGGTGTCGCTGCTGGTCACCTTGACATCAACTTTCTGCTTCATACAATCATTGAAAAAAGTGGTTTATAGACCCTGAATCTGGAAACATGTCAATGGAGCAGTTTAATTGGCTTTCTTTTTATTTCAATCTCTTTGTTAAATACATCTGATAGAATTCTGAATTCCTCTTATGTTATCTTGAATTTCTTTGAGTTTCCTCAACACAGCTATTTTGAATTCTCTGTGTGAAGGGTCACATATCTGTGTTTCTCCAAGACTGGTCCCTGCTCCCTTATTTAGTTCATTTTGTGAGGTCATGTTTTCCTGGTTGGTGTTAATGCTAGCAGATGTTATTTGGTGTCTATGCATTGGAGGGTTAGGTGTTTATTGTAGTTTTCACTGGCTGTGCTTATTTGTAGCCATCCTTCCTGGGAAGGCTTTCCAGATATTTGAAAGGACTTGGGTGTGGTGACCTAAGCTGTATATACTTCACTGGATGCCCCAAGCCTAATAACATGATAATACTCAAGAAATAGGCACTTCTTTCTTTTTTGTTATTATTATACTTTAACTTCTGGGGTACATTTGCAGAACGTGCAGTTTTATTACATAGGTATACTCGTGCCATGGTGGTTTGCTGCACCCATCAAACCATCACCTACATTAGGTATTTCTCCTAATGCTATCCTTCCCATAGTCCCCCACTCCCCGACAGGCCGCAGTGTGTGATGTTCCCCTCCCTATGTCCATGTGTTTTGTTTGTTCAACTCCCACTTATGAGTGAGAACATGTGCTGTTTGGTTTTCTGTTATTGTGACAGTTTGCTGAGAATGATGGTTTCCAGCTTCATCCATGTCCCTGGAAAGGACATGAACTCATCCTTTTTTACGGCCACATAGTATTCCATGGTGTATAGGTCCCACATTTGCTTAATCCAGTCTATTATTGATGGACATTTGGGTTGGTTCCAAGTCTTTGCTATTGTGAATAGTGCCGCAATAAACGTACATGATAGGCACTTCTTTCAAGGAGATTTGTGTCCTTACAGACTGTTGGAGGTATGGCCTTGATGATCTTGGACAAGATCCAGGAGAGTTCTCTGGATTACCAGGCAGAGACTCTGTTCTCTTCCCTAAATTTCTCCCAAACATACAGAGCCTCTCCGTGCTGAGCTGCCTGGAGCTGAGGGAAACGTATCACAGACACCCCTGTGGCCACCACCACTATAAGTGTGCTGGGTCATACCTGATGGCAGCACAGCACTGAGTCTCCACCCACATCTGCTGTAACAACTGCCAGGCTGCTGCCTATGTTTGCTCAAGGCCCTGGGGCTCTAATATCAGCAAGTGGCAAAGCCAGCCAGGCCTGTGTTTTTCCCATAAGATCAGGGAGATCTCCCAGGCCCCAGGTGGGTCCAGAAGTGCCATCTGGGAGTCAGGGACTGGACTCAAAAACCTTAGAAGTCTACCTAGTGTTCTATTATATTGTGGCTGAGGTGGCACTCAAACTACATGACACAGTCCTTCCCACTCTTCTGTCCCCTTTCCAAAGGCAGAGAAGCCTGATTCTGTAGCTATTGCCTCCCCAGGCCATGAGGAGTACTGCCAGTCTACCACTGATGTTCCCTTAGGACCCAAAAGCCCTTAAGTCAGCTTGTAGTGGATGTTGCCTGGCCTGGAGCTTACCTTTCAGAGCAGGCATCAGCCGAGTTTGGTCCAGTTCTTCTTTCTAGTCTAGCAGGACAGCACTGAGTCCATTGCCTCACAATTGCTGTTCTTCCTCTGCCACCGCCCAGAGATGCCCTCTGTACCACGCTGTTGCTGCCAGGGAGTGTGTTTGGGGGGGCTGGTGGTGGTGGGCGGAGATGATGCCCCTGATTCAGGGCTGTTTTTGCTATATTTTCAGTGCTTCTTTCAGCGATATGAAGTTAAAACCAGGTACTATGAGTGCTCACCTGGTTTTGGTTCTTATGAAGGTGTTTTTTCCAGGCAGGTACTTGTTATCCTCTTGTCCTTTCATGGGGGATGATCAGTGGAGCCTTCTATTCCACCATCTTGCTCCTCTGCCTTCGTAATTGGCTTTCAAACTAACAAAATCATCTTTACATCTTCACCTGTGTCTTAGGTTTACTTATGCACACATTGATTGCATTATGTTCCCTGGAGTGTAGAACAATAGAAGGGTCCTTATGGCAGCCATCAGGAAAGAAATACTGGCTCCCAGAAAATACATCAGTGGCATTTCTTTTTCAATGGGTCCTGACAAACAAACATCTCTCTCTGAAAACAACCATTAGATGTATTTAATCCTGATTTTTTGGCATCATAGAAGTGGATCTGGTAGAATTGGTCAGAATATTGATATGTTTTAAAAAAAAGTGCAAACTGTATTTCCTGGTGGATTGGATGTGGGATGTGATAAAAGGGGAAGAATTGAGAGTAACTACCAGGATTTGGCCCAAGGCACTGCACTGTTGAAGAAGCCATCAACTGAGATTGGCAAAGCTGTGGATGGAGCACGTTTAAGGGGGAAGGATATCAGAAGCTCAGCTTTGGGAATCTTGAACTTGAGATGCTTTTTTATGTCCAAGTGCAGAGAGTTGAATATATGGGTTTAGAGTTTAGTAGAGAGGTTTGGATTGGGGATACAAATTGGAGGGTTGTAACAAATAGATAACATTTCAAATTTGAGAGATTGCCATCACCAAGGGCGTAAGTACAGCTAAAAAAAGGAAGAGAAACAGCATTGGGTCGATCCAAGATAAAGAAGTCAGGAGAAAAAGAGGAAGCAGTAAGGGACACTGAGATGGAGCAAACAGTGAGATGAGAAGAAACCAAGATAGTTCAGTGTCCTGGTAGCTAAGTGAAGAAAGTTTATCAAGGAGGAAGGAATAATCACCTGGCAGGTTAAGTAAGATGAGGCCTGACCGCTGACCACTGTGTTTAGCAATATGCAGGCCATTAATGCCTTTAACAGAATCATTTCTATGAGGTGGAAGGATAGAAGGCCATTCAGACTGAGTTTGAGGGGAGATGAATAAAGATATTAGAAGAAAGTAAGACTATGTTGTTCTTTTTTCCTTTTGAGTAATCAATATATATATGTTTTCATCTATTATTATATGAAAGCTTGTATAGTTATACTTTATTTTATCCTTTGAACCCTCCATAAAGAGGGTTAAATTTTTTTTTTTAATTTTAGATTTGGGGACACATGTGCGTGTTTTTTTCCTGAGTGTATTGCATAATGGTAAGGCTTGGGCTTCTGGTGTACCCATCACTCAAATACTGAACATTGTGTTCAATAGGTAATCTTTCAACCCTCACTTCCTCCTCTCTCTGCCCCATTTTCAAGCCCCCAGGGTCTGTTATTTCTATTTTTATGTCCATATGAACCCATCGTTTACCTCCCACTTGTAAGTGAGAACATGCAGTATTTGATTTTCTGCTTCTGAGTTAGTTCACATAGGATAATAGTCTCCAGCTCCAACCATGTCACTGCAAAGGACAGAATTTCATTCTTTTTATGGCTACTTAGTATTCCCTGGTGTATATGTAGCACATTTTCTTTATTCAATCAACTGTTGATGGACACTTACTTTGATTCTGTGACTTTCCTATTGTGAATAGTGCTGCAATAAACATAAGAGTTAAGGTGTCTTTTCATATAATTATTTCTTTTTTGGGATGTATATACCCAGTATTGGGATTACTGGGTGGAATGGTAGGTCTTTTTTTAATTCGTAGAGATATTGCCATACTGTTTTCCATAGAGGTAGAACCAGTTACGTTCCCACCAACAGTGTATTAGCATTCCCTTTTCTTTGCATCCATGCCAACATCTGTTGTTTTTTGATATTTTATTAGTAGTAATGCTTAAGGAATAGGCACTTCTTTCAAGGAGATTTGCGGCAAGAGGAAGCGAAGAAATGGAGTCACAGCTAACAGAAGAATAAGACGAAAAGATGGACTTACCTTTATTGCCATATTTACAGTTTTAATTGATGGTGAGTTTGCAGTTTTGTCAAAGCAACTACACAAATGGAAGGGCTTTTTTGGTTCACTATTTAAAGAAAATTCTTTTACAGTATTTTCAGAAGCTTTCTTAATATTGTTGGCCTCAGTAGGTCCTGGCAGTCAAACTACTCCCTTTAAAAAAAACCATTAGATGCATTTGATCCTGTTTGGTTGGCACTGTGGAAGTAGAGCTGGTAGAATTGGTCAGAATATTAATAAGTTTTAAAGGAAGAGCAAACTGTATATCTTGGATTGAAGATTTAATGTGATTGGAAGAGAAGAAGAAAAAATGACTACCAAGATTCTCTTGTTATAGTTTTATTAACTGTCCGTCCATTTTTATTTTGTTATTTGAAATTATTAATGGATTTTTTCCCAGAAAAGGAAGATTTTATAGGGTCAACCCAGCTTATAGCATTTTGCTATTGCAATAATAAATGTGTATGTATATTTTCAGTGGCCGATAGAACAATGGATTTGAACTATAGCTTGGACTTACCAGATATTTGAACATTCTACCCAACAGCTGCAGAATATACATTCTATTTGTCAGCAGATGAAACATTCTCCAAGATAGACCATATGATAGGCCACAAAACAAGTCTCAATAAATTTAAGAAAATTGAAATTCTATCAAGTACTCTTTCAGAACACAGTGGAATAAAATTGAAAATCAACTCCAAAAGGAGCCCTCAAAACCATGCAAATACATGGAAATTAAATACCCTGCTCCTGAATGACTGTTGGGACAAGAATGAAATCAAGATGGAAATTAAAAAATTCTTTGAATGGAATGATAATAGTGACACAACATATCAAAAACATATAGAAACCTCTGGGATACAGCAAAGGCAGTGCTAAGAGGAAAGTTCATAGCCTTAAATGTCTGCATCAAAGAGTCTGAAGGAGCACAAATAGACAATCTAAGGTCACATCTCAAGGAACTAGAGAAACAAGAACAAACCAAAGCCAAACCCAGCAGAAGAAAAGAAATAACCAAGATCAGAGCAGAACTAAATGAAATTGAAACAAACAAAAAAAAATACAAAAGGTAAATGAGACCAAAAGCTGATTCTTCGAAAAGATAAATAAAATTAATGGACCATTAGTGATATTAACCAAAAAAGAAGAGAGAAGACCCAAATAAGCTCAATTAGAAATAAGATGGGAGATATTTTGACCAGTATGACAGAAATACAAAAAGATCACTCAAGGCTGCCATGAACACCTTTCTGTGCGTAAACTAGAAAACCTAGAGGAGATGGACAAATTCCTGGAAATATACAACCTTCCTAGATTAAACCAGGAAGAATTAGAAACTCTGAAAAGACCAATAACAAGCAGCAAGATTGAAATCCTAATTTTAAAATTGCCAACAAAAAAGTCCAGGACCAGACGGATTCACAGCTGAATTCTATCAGACATTCAAAGAAGAATTGGTACAAATTGTATTGATAAGATAGGAGGAAATCCTCCCTAAATCATTCTGTGAAGCCAGTATCACCCTAATACCAAAACCAAGAAAGGACACAACAAAAAAAGAAAAGTACAGACCAATATCACTGATGAATATACATGCAAAAATTCTTAACAAAATACTAGCTAACCAAATCCAACAGCTTATCAGAAAGGTAATCCACCACAATCAGGTGAAACCCACTGCATCCCTGCATGCCAAAAAACGCAATCATGGTTTAACATACACAAATCAATAAATGTGATATGCCACATAAACAGAATTAGATGCCACATAAACAGATATGCCACATAAACAAAAATCAGATTATCATCTCAATAGATGCAGAAAAAGCATTTGACAAAATCCGGCACCCCTTTATGATTACAACCCTCAGCATAATAGTCATAGAAGAGACATACCTTAAAGTAATAAAAGCCATCTATGACAAACCCACAGCCAATATAATACTGAACGGGAAAAAGTTGAAAGCATTCCCTCTGAGAACTGGAACAAGACAATGGTGCCCACTCTCACCACTTCTATTCAACATAGAACTGGAAGCCCTAGCCAGAACAATCAGACAAGAGAAAGAAATAAAGGGCATCCAAATCAGTAAAGACGAAGTCAAACTGTCGCTGTTTGCTGATGCTAAGATTGTATACCTAGAAAACTTTAAAGACTCCTCCAAAAAGCTCCTAGAACTGAAAAATAAATTCAGCAAAATTTCAGGAGACAAAATTAATGTTCACAAACTAGTAGTTCTGCTATACACCAACAGCAACTAACTGAGAAACAAATCAAGAACTCAACCCCTTTTACAATAGCCACAAAAATAAAATAAATAAAATACTTAGGAATATACCTCACCAAGGAGGTGACAGACCTCTGCAAGGAAAACTACAAAACACTGCTGAAAGAGATTGTTGATGACACAAACAAATGGAAACACATCCCATGCTCTAGCATCCCATGTGAAAATTTCAACATTATGAAAATGACCATACTGCCAAAAGCAATCTACAAATTCAATGCAATTCCCATCAAAATACCACCATCATTCTTCACAGAACTAGGAAAAACAATCCTAAAATTCATATGGAACCAAAAAAGAGTATACATACCAAAGCAAGACTCAGCAAAAAGAGCAAATCTGGAGGCATCGCATTGCCTGACTTCAAGCTATACTGTTAATATAAGGTCATAGTCACCAAAACAATATGGTACTGGTACAAAGATAGGCACATAGACCAATAGAACAGAATAGAAACCCCAGAAATAAAGTCAAATAGTTACTGCCAGCTGATCTTTGACAAAGTAAACAAAAATATAAAGTGGGGAAAGGACACCCTATTCAACAAATGGTGCTGGGATAATTGGCAAGCCACATGTAGAAGAATGAAACTGGATCCTCATCTCCCAACTCATAGAAAAATCAGCTCAAGGTGGATGAAGGACTTAAATCTAAGACCTGAAACTATAAAAATTCTAGAAGATAACATCAGAAAAACCTTTCTGGACATTGGCTTAGGCAAAGGCCTCATGACCAATAACTCTAAAATAAATGCAACAAAAGCAAAAAGATAAATAGATGGGACTTAATTAAACTAAAAAGCTTCTGCACAGCAGAAGAAACAATCAGGAGAGTAAACACACAACTCACAGAGTGGCAGAAAATCTTTGCAACCTTTACATCCAACAAAGAACTAATATCCAGAATCTACAAGGAACTCAAACAAATGATCATGAATAAACCAAACAGTCCTATCAAAAAGTGGGCCAAGGACCTGAACAGAAAATTCTCAAAAGAAGATAAACAAATGGCCAACAAACACATGAAAAAATGCTCAACATCACTAACGACCAGAGAAATGCAAATCAAAACCACAATGCAATACCACCTTACTCCCGCAAGAATGGCCAAAATAAAAAAATAAATAAATAAATAGTAGATGTTGGTGGGGATGCGTTGAAAAGGGAACACTTTTACACTGCTGGTGGGAATGTAAACTAGTACAAACACTATGGAAAACAGTGTGGAGAGTCCTTCAGGAAACTAAAAGTAGAACTACCATTTGATCCAGCAATCCCACTACTGGGTATCTACCCCGAGGAAAATAAGTCATTATTTTAAAAAGATACTTGCACACAACGTTTATGGCAGCACAATTTGCAATTGGAAAATATATAAAACCAGCTCAAATGCCCATCAATCAACGAGTGGATAAAGAAATTGTGGTGTATATGTATACCATGGAATACTACTCAGCCATAAAAAGGAACAAACTATTGGCATTCGCAGCAACCCGGATAAAATTGGAGACCATTATTCTAAGTGAAGTAACTCAGGAATGGAAAACCAAACATTGTATGTTATCATTCATAAGTGGGAGCTAAGCTATGAGGATGCAAAGGCATAAGAATGATACGATGGTTTTTTTTGTATGTCAAAGATATAATTGATATTTGGATAGTGAATTACAAGATTTTCATCAGAACAAAGGTCAGCTCAGCTGGTAAACACTGTCACACTCATAATGACAGCCTGCCCACACTCTGCATCTGTTCCCCAGAATGTTCCCTCACTTGTTCTACTGACTGAACTTTTCCACCCAGCTGAAAATCCATTTTTGTTTCATTTTCTCTTCTAGCCATAAAACTATTAATAGATTCAAATGAAATGCATAGTCCAGACATACCTTGCCACTCAATCAACTGATAATTCCTGAGAAATACTCTCTGGTTTGAATTGCAGGAAGAAGTTACAGGAAGAGATATTTATTTCTTAGAAATGGAGTTATCGAGCATCTGCTGTGAGCCAGACACTTAGTAGTAAACACAAAGCTGCTGTCAGTGAACTGGCAGACAATGAGAAGTGGCCATGCTATGGCTATTCTGTGAGAGTAGAGGCATGGGGTTGTCCTGTCAGTCATGTGAAGAGTGTGATGGAAAGACAAAGGCCAGGAATCACACTGATGTTTCTGTATAAAAGAAAGGAAGGGAGGGAGGGAAGGAGAAAGGGAATAAATGCGGATCTTCTTAAAAGAAAACACCGGTTATCACTACATGGCATAAAACCATGGCACTGAAAGTTATGCATTCAATGAATATTTATTGAGCACTTACCTTGTGACAGGCAATTTATGTGGTGCAGGGATGTTCCAGGATAGAGAGGTGACTGAGCAAACCCACCTTGCTGTATAGAGTGTTAGAACATCGCTGGAGGAACAGGAAAAACAGAACACAAAATAGAAAGAGTGCTCTGTAACAAGAAGCATGGTTGCTGGGTTCCAAACTGTGATTAAATTTTTTAAAAATTTTAACTGTATTATGACCTTTATTTTTAAAATGTTTATACAAATCATTTAAGTAATATAATACCTTCTTGTGGGTAAAATTCAAACATTACAGATTTATACCTTGACCTCATTTCTTCTAAACCCAGTGTCCCCCCCTACAAGGAATGCCTTCTTTTGACATTTTCTAGTGCATTTATGAATGTTTGTGTGTACTTATGAGATCAATTTTATTTTTTTGTCGTTAAAATAATTGGTCTCGTATTATGCATGTTTTCTTCATGCCTTTTCATACTACAGCATTTCTTGAAGATATAGCCATGCCAGTACTGATAATTTTGTTTTTCTTTTATATATAGTCTATGTACTGGCTACTTAATTAAAAACTGTACTGTAAAAAATTTCAAATGTTTGCAAAAGGAGAGAACTGTCATCCCCAGATTATTTTAGAGCAAATCCCAGATATTATATAATTTCATACACAAAACCTAAAGTTTTTCGGGGGAACAGTGTGTGCTTGGAAAGATGTAGTTGAAAAGAAAGACTGAAAGCAAGTCGTAGGGCATAATGGATTTCTGAAGAAATAGTTGCAACCAGCAGAAGTATGGGCTATTGTGCAGAGGATATGGAAGTTAAAGAAGATCAATCTCTCTGCATCACTGAAAGGATTGCTGGAATGCCTGAGAAGTAAATAACATCAACATCTTTATCCACAGCTTACTAGGTGGCCAGACGCCCTGAACTGATATTTCTTCCCCAGTTCAGATGAATAGCTGGGATATTACTCAAAATTCTATTGCATATCTGTTGCAAGGAAAAGCAGTTCCTCTTTCCCTTCTGTGGTAATTTCTTACAAGCTACAGTTCTGGGCAGGGTGTGAGGGTGGTTGCCTAGAACGGGGTTTCCAAAGCTCCTTAATTGTGGCCTCTGACCCTTTTCATTGCTTCCATGTCCATACCCAGAGTCAAAACCCAAGGAATGCAGTGGGATGACATTACAAATTAATCTTAAGGAAATACGTTATATACCAAAAGAACTGTGTGATTGTGCTGATTTATATGAGCAGAATCTTGGAGTGCATGCTTGGAAATGAATTGTCAAGGTTTTAGATCAGGGAAAGTGGAATTTATTGTCGGGTCAAGCACAACTAATATTAATGCTAATGCATCCTCATCGCTTAGCTCCCACTTATGAGTGAGAAATCTCACCTTTCTCCAAGAATCTGCAGGAGAACGACAGCCTCAGATTTTGATTCACATGAAAAGAAATAGGGAAATAAGAGGGCGTACCTAAAGCCCAGGTGTCTGAGAGACAGAGTGGGAGTGGCTCTCACCTGGCAGAGCCAAGGGATCTGAGGGTGGGTAAAGAAGACACAAGTGTTTTCTCTACTTCTGTCCCCAGGTCCTGCGAATGATCAAGATCTATGCTCTCCCAGAACCACTGGAGAAGGAGGAGGAGGATTTTCTTTCAAAGCCAAGTGCCTTGCCCCCAGGATCTCCAGCTTTTTACCATTGCACAGGTTAGGAGAACGCACACCTTCCTGGTAGATTCTGCACAGTGGAGAAAAGGCTTCATGAGAAGCATGGAGGCTGGAACTCACACCACTCATCCTCACTCCATCGTCTTTATCTGTGCATTTCCCTGGTGACCCCTTCCTCCTCCAGTACCTCCCTCACTGTCGTTTCTGCTGCATCACAGGCACAGGCCTCCAAACAGGTGTGGTTGTGACTGAGTCTGTTTCTGACACCCCACCCCTTCTCACTGTGTGAGGAAACCTTCCTGGGAGGGGCTTGGAATCAGGAATAAAGCCAGAGGCAGGGCTGATAGGGGCCATTTAAATTCTGCAGCTCAGAGATTCACACAGAAGTCTGGACACAATTCAGAAGAGCCACCCAGAAGGAGACAACAATGTCCCTGCTACCCGTGAGTTAAAAAGGCACAGCCTTCAATAATCTCAGGTCACACAGAAAAGGGAAGAGGGAGATTTTATGGGATGAAAATATGAAAATTTCTACTGTGAATGCTTTACTGAGAGTTGTGGGTGTGTGGAAGAGAGACCCTAGGGCTATGGTATCTGAGATGCTCCTGGGGTAGGGGGGTAGGGGGTGTGGATGCTGGAACATTGTGACCCTCTGTGAGCATGTGATGGTATCTGATGAGAGTAAACTCTGCTAAAAATGATGTGACTTTAGACGGGATGTGTATGGCCCTCCAGGATATGGGTGGGTGTGTAAGTGATTGTAATCAGGTGACTGTGTTTTGTCTTCATGACTGTGATGTGAGTGTGTGTGTGAGCACAGCCGGACCAGTGCATGAGCATCTTTATATGCACAGTGAGCAGGTGTGTGTGACTCAGTGAGTGGCACGGCTCTGTGTGACTGTGAGTGTGTGTGCTGGAATGTGACTGGGTGTTGAACTGGGAACATGCATGTGGCCTTCTGTGCATGTGAAGGTTCCTCCCCACATAGCAGTACTCTGTCTAACTTCCCTTGTGCATCACTGTGGATCCCCGGTGACAGAACTTGTGGGATCTTGGGGCCCTTGAGTTACCGAGGACTTATCTCTGAGCATTTATGAGAGCAGAATGCATGAATTCTCAGGTGCCTTTTCCCAAGCAGAATGGGGGTGAGAAACAGACGATGGGGCTGATGGTTCCTTAGGTGGAATCTGCACACAGTGACCACTGGCTCCTGCCTCCAGCCTCAGGTCTCTCCCTGTCTCCTACCCTAGCCTGGCCTTCCCATTGAGTGCCAGGATGCTAGAGAAGGACATTGAGGGACTTGATTTAAGAGACTGAATCACCCAAAACCAGGAAGGTACAAGGCAGAGCTTACAGTGGATATTCATCAAGATGTTTGCTGAGGCCTGTAGTCTCAGCACTTTGGGTGGCCGAATTGAAAGGCCCATGTCAGGCCAGGACTGGTAGACCAGCCTGGGAGACATAGCAAGATTTCATCTTTCCAAAAATTTAAAAATTTATTGAATGTGGTGTTGCATACCGTAGTTCCAGCTGCTGGGGGGCATATGCAAGAGGTTCACTGAAGCCCAGGCCTTCAAACCTGCAGTAATTTTTTTTTTTTTTTTTTGAGACAGAGTCTCGCTCTGTTTCCCAGGCTGGAGTGCAGTGGTGCAATCTCGGCTCACTGCAACCTCCACCTCCCGGGTTCAAGCGATTCTCATACCTCAGCTTCCCGAGTAGCTGGGATTACAGGCTTGTGCCACCACTCCTGGCTAATTTTTGTATTTTCAGTAGAGATGGGGTTTCTCCATGTTGGCCAGGCTGGTCTCGAACTCCTGACCTCAAGTGATGCACCCACCTTGGCCTCCCAAAGTGCTGAGATTACAGGCGTGAGCCACCACGCCCAGCCTGCAGTGAGTTTTGATGGTGCCACTGCATTCCAGCCTAGGTGACAGTGTGACCCTGTTTCAAAAAAGAAAAATACCATCCATTTATAGATTCTAGCCAATAACTTCCCTGACCCACAATCTTCATTTGTGCAAGTACTGCGGTTGTGCTCTCAGCAATGTGTGCCCCTTCTGGGAAGGACGTCCATTGCCCATGATGATTGTGATGTATGTGCCTCCCACGCACAGGGGTTTCCTGTTCTTTCCTGTTCGTTTCCCTCTCTCTTTCAACAAGTGTTGTTTCTTTCTTTCTTTTTTTTTTTGGTGGTTAAAATGATAATAAAAAATAAAACTCACAATCTCAAGTTAGAAAAGATGCAGAGTACCTGAAACAGTCAAACGATGCTTGGAGGGATGTAAAATGATACAGCTACATTGGAAAATCGTTTGGTATTCCCATAAAATTAAACATAAAATCACCAAACAAACAGAAACACTTTACTCACCAGATTTTAGCCAAGTAAACACTTTAGTTTATGGAAAATCCTATACAGAAATGTTTATAGTGTCATTATTTGTAGCTGTTCTCAAATTGAAACTAACCCAAAGTTGTTGTTTCTTACTGGAGTGAATCTCTCTACTGTTACATCCTCACATCTTGTTTTCACAGTTTCAGAGTTGAAGATGATCGCAGGTCAGTGTTCCACAAGGACCCTCCTTGTTCAGATAGAGGACCCCCAACAGGCCCTATACGTGCCAGGGTTTAGGCTAAAGGGTTTACATCTATTAACTACTGTATAACTGAAAACATGATACAAAGTAGGTATTTCGGATTATCATCTTTGTATTGGGAAAACTGAGGCAGGGAGAGTTTAAGCAATAGATCTAAGGTCCCCTTGCTGGTTGGGCAAAGTGGCTCACCCCTGTAATCTAGGAGTTTGGGAGGCTGAGACAAGAGGATCCCTTGAGCCTAGATGCTCCAGACCAGCCTGGGCAACATCGTGAAACCCCAACTCTCCAAATACGTATAAAATTAGCTGGGTGTGGACCAATAGTCTCAGCTACTCAAGAAACTGAATTGAGAGGATGGCTTGAGCCTGGGAGGTTGAGGTTGAAGTGGGCTGTGATTGTGCCAGTTCACTACAGCCTGGGTGATTCAATTAGACCCTGTCTAAAAAAAAGGTTCAAAACATGTTAACATCTCACTGCTAGTAGTCAGCACAATAAAGGATCTAATTGAGGTAGCTCAGTTTCTGAAGCTCTGCTCTTAACCATGGGCCCCATTGTTTTGAAAAATACGGGGTCCTGACTGAGGTAGGGTGGGAGCAGGGAGGCCTGAGTCTACTGCTTGATCTCTAACTGGCTGCACCATGGGAATCTGTTACAGGAGGGGAGGCCACACCTGGCCCTGCCTCTCTCACCCACTCTCAATCCCCTGGCAGGTGCCATACACAGAGGCTGCCTCTTTGTCTACTGGTTCTACTGTGACAATCAAAGGGCGACCACTTGCCTGTTTCTTGTGAGTACTCCATGGTGCAAAGATGGGAGGTGGAGAAGAGGAAGAATATTTTCTAAGGGGGTGACCTCATGTGTGAATCATGTGGAAAGTCTAGTTGGCAGGATGGAAGTGCCATGAATGTGCAGGTCCTGGAGACCCTCCAGCACCAGGAACAAAACCTACAGCAGCTGCACTGGGGGCTAGTCATGGGTCTAGGAGTAAAGGACACTCAAGGCTTGGGGCTGTGACACTTTATCTATTAAAAGGCATAGAATATTCAGAAAATGGGCAATTCATATGACCAAGTCAGTGACTATGGCTCAGTTTCCATCTGTGGATGAGGGCTGGAGCATCTCTTTCCACCCATGGAGAACACAAGGAGCTGAAGCAGCCCCACAATGACAAGGCCTAGAATACCAACAAGTCTTTGCTCGACCACGGAAGGGGCAAAGAGACTTGTGTGTGTGTCTTGTGTGTGCCCCACAAGAAAGGGACCTGCTCAACACTGTGTGCTCTGCCCTCAGGAATGAACCATATCTGCAGGTGGATTTCCACACTGAGATGAAGGAGGAATCAGACATTGTCTTCCATTTCCAAGTGTGCTTTGGTCGTCGTGTGGTCATGAACAGCCGTGAGTATGGGGCCTGGAAGCAGCAGGTGGAATCCAAGAATATGCCCTTTCAGGATGGCCAAGAATTTGAACTGAGCATCTCAGTGCTGCCAGATAAGTACCAGGTGAGCACCCCAGGAGCTCCCCGCACCCGGCTTCCATGGGATCTCAGAGCAGGAGGCAGCTCTTCATGCCCTAACTCCAGATAACTCCCTCTGTCCCCGGCTTTTCATCACCCACAACTCCCCTTATCCCAGGCTTTTCATCACCCATAACTCCCCCTGTCCCAGGCTTTTTATCACACACACAGGGGTTCCCTTTACTTTTATCATTTCCCTCTCTCATTCAACAGGTGTTGTTGCTTGCTCTGCCATCACCTCTCCTTGCACTGCCATCCTCAGCTCTTTTCCCATACCTGACCAGGGTCAATGTCGGTTCACTTGCCATTTTCCCCAAATGGAGAATATCCTCTATCTTCCCCTTATGATGTTATTTAAATTTTCATGTAGCTAAATGGATAAGATATACACATGAATAAAATTGTTTTAGTCAGTCCAATATGAAGACTTCTCACTCCTCAATCCCAATCCTCAGAACAATATTACTAGCTTCTCTACTCTTCTTCCATAGTCTATCCTTATAGAAGCATATACATACACCCATATATACACTTTTATTTGTTTTTAAACAAATGCTGGTATCAATGTCCCTACACATTACACTTTAGGAATGACAGTTGAGTTGTACTCAAAGAATATATATTGGAGAAATAATCTATCCATGGTGCTGCCTCATTTTTTTAAGGATTACATAATATTCCCCTAGAAGGATTTCCTCAACTTGCTGTACTTGACCCTTTACAAGAGCACTGAGTTGGTTTCCAATGTTTTGCTCTCACAAATGTTACTGTATTAAGCTTTCTAATCAACCCTTTTTTCATTGCCAACTTTTCCCTATTTATATTGGAACATGATTATAAAGAAAAGGAATAACTGGTTCAAAGTTGTATGGATTTTAAATTTGAGAATGAAACCTAAAATATGACTCCCTGTGTAGCCTCAGTAATAAAGAATGTGATCAAAGTTTCTGACATTTCAAATGGGTAGGCCAAAACATTCACATTTTATTCAGATTAAAGTCAGAGGTGTTTTTCTATGTTTATACGCTGTTAAAGATAATATCCTCATAGTGGTTTTGATTTGCATTTCTCTGATGGCCAGTGATGATGAGCATTTTTTCATGTGTTTTTTGGCTGCATAAATGTCTTCTTTTGAGAAGTGTCTGTTCATGTCGTTCGCCCACTTTTTGATGGGGTTGTTTGTTTTTTTCTTGTACATTTGTTTGAGTTCATTGTAGATTCTGGATATTAGCCCTTTGTCAGATGAGTAGGTTGCGAAAATTTTCTCCCATTTTGTAGGTTGCCTGTTCACTCTGATGGTAGTTTCTTTTGCTGTGCAGAAGCTCTTTAGTTTAATTAGATCCCATTTGTCAATTTTGTCTTTTGTTGCCATTGCTTTTGGTGTTTTGGACATGAAGTCCTTGCCCAGGCCTATGTCCTGAATGGTAATGCCTAGGTTTTCTTCTAGGGTTTTTATGGTTTTAGGTCTAACGTTTACCGTCTCACACCAGTTAGAATGGCAATCATTAAAAAGTCAGGAAACAACAGGTGCTGGAGAGGATGTGGAGAAACAGGAACACTTTTACACTGTTGGTGGGACTGTAAACTAGTTCAACCATTGTGGAAGTCAGTGTGGCGATTCCTCAGGGATCTAGAACTAGAAATACCATTTGACCCAGCCATCCCATTACTGGGTATATACCCAAACGACTATAAATCATGCTGCTATAAAGACACATGCACACGTATGTTTATTGCGGCATTATTCACAGTAGCAAAGACTTGGAACCAACCCAAATGTCCAACAATGATAGACTGGATTAAGAAAATGTGGCACATATACACCATGGAATACTATGCAGCCATAAAAAATGATGAGTTCACGTCCTTTGTAGGGACATGGATGAAATTGGAAATCATCATTCTCAGTAAACTATCGCAAGAACAAAAAAACCAAACACCGCATATTCTCACTCATAGGTGGGAATTGAACAATGAGATCACATGGACACAGGAAGGGGAATATCACACTCTGGGGACTGTTGTGGGGTGGGGGGAGGGGGGAGGGATAGCATTGGGAGATATACCTAATGCTAGATGACGAGTTAGTGGGTGCAGAGCACCAGCATGGCACATGTATACATATGTAACTAACCTGCACAATGTGCACATGTACCCTAAAACTTAAAGTATAATAAAAAAAATAAATAATAAATAAATAATTTAATAACCATAAAAAAATAAATAAAGATAATATCCTATGTTTTGTAACATTAATCCAGCCCCACCTCTCTAAGAACACTTGAGTTACATTCCTTGCCGCCACTAGCTCAAATATGAGCAATTCCAGAGAGAAACTGGGTCATCAGCAGCAAATAGCAGTCATAATTTATGTAACTGAAATGTGTGCATTCAGTGGACATTGTTGAGCACTTACCCTGTGGCTGGCCCTGTGCAAGATGCAGGGATTCAAGTTTATGAAACACAGTCCCTGGCCTTGGAGATCTTCCAGGATAGAGGGGAGGCTGAGCAAATATGGCCCATGTGACAGAGAGTGACAGAGCCTCACTGGAGAAATGAGAGGAAACATTGAAAATACAGTGAGCAACTGTCTCAGATAGTTACAACAGGTAGTCTGTAAAAAAGAAGTGTGTCTACTGGGTTCAGATATATAATGAGGCATTTTCTGGTTGGATGTTTCAGGTACTATGACACCATAGAGAGCAGGCTGAAAGCTTGTTTGGTGAAATACTGTCTTTCTGATGTATTTTTTTCCTTCTGTAGGTAATGGTCAATGGCCAATCCTCTTACACCTTTGACCATAGAATCAAGCCTGAGGCTGTGAAGATGGTGCAAGTGTGGAGAGATATCTCCCTGACCAAATTTAATGTCAGCTATTTAAAGAGATAACCAGACTTCATGTTGCCAAGGAATCCCTGTCTCTACGTGAACTTGGGATTCCAAAGCCAGCTAACAGCATGATCTTTTCTCACTTCAATCCTTACTCCTGCTCATTAAAACTTAATCAAACTTCACAGAATTTGGTTCTTGCTTTCATGGGGAGAAAAAGTGGTCATCATCAAGAGGGCTTGGGGGATTTTATAGATGGTGTGAACAAGTCAAGGAGGATAAATCTTCCTGAGACACAAAAAGTAAGTGAAAAGGCCACTGAAATGTCTGAGAAGGCATTAGCAACCACATCCTTCTATAGCATCGACTATATGTCAGACACTCTGAACCAACCCTACCCAATTTCATATGAGTCACTGAGGTGTAAGCAATGGGATTGGGGGCTTGAATAACTGATCCATGACAGGGTGGGTGGGGCTGGGTCTGAGCTGAGCAGAACTGAGTAGGAACCTCACTCTTTACACTGAAAACAGAGGAGTAAGAACACTTGGGGGCTCCCATTACCCTACCTGAACTCCAAATCTCATATGTCCCTTCACTTTACTAGGAAAAATGCCAAGAAGAAAATCTCCAGAGAAAGAAACTCATATGCTCGTCCCCTCAGTTCAGGAACAAGGGGTATACAACACCATTTCTCGAAAGGTAGAGCCCAAATGCAGAAATCTGATTTGTTCATTTAAAGAATGCTCATGGGTGACCATGCCCTTCTCCCATCCTCTTTGCAAACCGAGAAAGGAAAAAGTCACTCACAGAGAAGAAGCTGTAGGCTCAAACAGTGAAAAGGGGAGATACTACTTTACAGAGTGTAAATCTTGGTCATAGACGGATAGAAGGCAAACCCTTTGATCAGGGCACACAATGACAGCTCTCACTGATGGTCTCTCCTGTAGGCCTCATTCATCTCCACCCACAGACACAAGGTTAGGACACCTCCATTTCCACTGCCTCCCCTCACCCAGTAAATCCTAACCATTGATCTCAGAAAACCCCTCCGGATGCCCCAGCCTTATCGAGAGTAAATGTTCTCCCTGGAGTGTCTCATTTGGGGAGAATTCTGGGCCAGCCCCCTCCATCTGAAATGCTTTAAAGACTTTAATCCTCAGAGTGTCTTGATCCCTGTCTTCCCAGTAGGTCTCTGTGTTTATTTTGGACAATTTATTTCTATTCACCAGTCAGAAAGGCAGACACTTTCTTGACATTTCAGGGATTCAATTGGCTTTTTGGCCACTCTCCTTGAAATAAGAAATTATCGGCACGAGGAGATCAGGATAATTTTGCAGAGAAGGCAATGTTTCAATAGCCTCAAGCTAGAAGTCATTCAATATCTATCAAGAGTAAACTGCTGAGTATGTCTTGGCCAATTTATAAAACTCCAGAGTGGAGATAAGTGAAAAGGAAGGATCTATAGCTCCACACGGCAACATAGATGAATCCTAAAAACAGAAATGTTTTAGAAAAGATGCATGACCCAATAAAAAAAATCCAAGATAAACACCTACAGGCAAAATTAAACAAAGTAATAAGACGAAAGCAAAGCAAAAAAGAAAGGCAGGAGCATGGTTGCCAGTAGGGGCAAGAAGGTCACGTGATAGGGAAGGGACACATAGGAGTCCATGTGTGTTAGCAACAAGCCACGAGTACAATTGTGGTGGCTAAATGAGTGCTAGTTTAATCATGAATTTATCATAATATACATTTTTTGTTAACTTGGATGAAGTTTTCAAAAATAGTTTAAATTCACAGTCAATAAAACTGAAGAGTAAAATAAAAAGAAAGGAGGGAGGGAGAGGGATTTGAATTCATTTCTTCTTTAAATTCCTATACAGATTTTAAGGATGTTTTCTGTTATAACAAAAAGAGAACTTGAGGAGGGGTCCTGAGTCCTCCACCCCAAGTGAAGACTGCGTTGTAGCTGAAGTCTGATCACCTGCCCCTGTCCCTGTCTTCATGCAGGTTTTGAGCTAAGTAGCACACAAATCAAGCGCTAGACTTAGGAATCTCACCTTTCTCCCAGAATCTGAGTCTCTGAGATTTTATTGCACATGGACACCCAGAGAAAAATGAGAGAGTGTGGATGGAGCCCAGGTGTGTGAGAGATGGAGTATGAATGGCCCTCACCTGGCAAAGGCAAGGGGCCTGGATGGAGTCAGGATGACACAGAGACTCTCTATACCTCTCTCCCCAGGTCCTGTTGAGGATCAAGGTCTATGGTCTCCCAGAACCTCTGGAAGAGAATGAGAGAATTTTTTTTCCAGGGCTGGCTGTTTTGCCTTAAGAATTCCCATTTTTAAAATATCGCACAAGTGAGAAAAATTCACTCATTCCAGGTGAATTCTGCACAGTGGAGGAAAGGCTTCATGAGAAGCATGGAGGCTGGACTTCACAACCCCTCACCCTAACTCCATCATCCGGATCTGCACATTACCCTGGTGACCCCTTCCTTCCCCTGGTACCCCCATCACTGTCATTTCTGCTGCATCACAGACATAGGGTTGCAAACAGGTGTGGTTGTGACTGAGTCTGTTTCTGACACTCCATCCCTTCTCACTCTGCAGGGGAATCTTGCTGGAAGGTGGCTGGAATCAGGAATGAAGCCAAAGGGCAGGGCTGACAGGGATCATTTAAATGCTTCAACTCCAAGAGATTCACACAGAATACTGGACACAATTCAGAAGAGTCACCCAGAGGGAGACAACAATATCACTGTTACCCATGAGTTGAAAAGGCACAGCCTTCAATAATCTCAGGTCACCCTAAAAAAGGAAAGAGAGATTTTATGAGATGAAAATATGAACATTTCCATTGTGAATGATTTACTGAGAATGGTAGGGGTGTGGAAGAGAGACACTGGGGTAATGGTATCTGAGATGCTTGTGGGGTGTGGTGTGTGAACCCTGGATCAGTGTAACCCTCTGTGGGCATGTGATGATGTCTGAGGAGAGGAAACTCTGCTGAGACGATGTGACTTTAGGTGGGACATGATTAGCCCACCAGGATGGGGGAGTGTGTGAGTGAATGTAAGGGGGTGATTGTGCTTTGTCTTCATGACTGTGATGTGTGAGTGTGAACACAGCCATACCAGTGCATGAGCATCTTTATATGCACAGTGAGCAGGCCTGTGTGACTCAGTGATTGGCGTGGCTCTGTGTGACTGTGGGTGTGTGTGCTGCGATGTGACTGGGTGTTGAGCTGTGAACATGCATGTGGCCTTCTGTGCATGGGAAGGTTCCTCCTCACACAGTAGCGCCTCTGATGAAGCAGCTGTGCATCTTCCCACATATGTCAATGTGGATCCCGGGTGGCAGAACTAGTGGAGATCTTGGGGATCATGAGTTACCGGGGACTCGTCTCTGAGCATTCATGAGAGCTGAATGCATAAATCCTCAGGTGACTCTTTCCAAGCAGAGTGGAAAAGAAGAACACAGTCTATTGGGGCTGTTTCTTCAGGTGGGATCTGCACAGAGGGACCACCAACTTCTGCCTCCAGCCTCAGGTCTCTCTCTGTCTCCCAGCCCAAGCTGTCTATCCCGTTCTGGGAGAAGAGGGTGAGCAGATTCTGGCTTACTAGGGAATGACATTGGGGGACATGGTTTTAGAGACAGAATCATCCAAAACAGAGAAATAACCAGTTTAGCTTTAGTTCAGGAAGAGCTTACAGTGGATGCTATTCAACAACTTGCCAGAGGCTGTGGCTCATGGCTGTAATCCGAGCACTTTGGGAGGCCGAGTTGGGAGGATCGCATGGGGACAGGAGTTCCAGACCAGCCTGCGTAAAGTAGTGAGACCTTGTATGTACCAAAAAAATTCAAAACTAGCCAAGCCTGTTTGTGCGCATTTTTATTTGTAGCTACTCGGGAGACTGAGGTAAGAAGATCACTTGAGTCCAGGAGTTTGAGGCTGCAGTGAGCTCTGATCATGCCACCGCACTCCAGCCTGGGTGACAGAGTAAGGCCCTGTATCCACAAAAAGAAAGAAAAAAAGAAAAGCAAACCAGACAACAACATAAAAAAAATTGTAATTTGCATATTCATTCCACACACAAGGGTTCTCTGTTCTTTTGTTATTTCCCTATTTTTATAAAACCGTTCTCACTGGGTGAATTTCTCTGTTTTCACATCCTCAGGTCTTGTTTTCAGCACTTCAGAGTTGAAAATGAATGCAGGTTAGTGTCCCATAAGGACGGTCCCCATTCTGTGGTGCAACCCCTAACTGGCCCTGTACATACCGGGGATTAGGGCAAAGGTTTCACACATATTAACTCCTCTGTTACTGGGAAAACCCTACAAAGTAGGAACTCCTTATACTCCTCCTTGTTCTGGAGAAACGTAGGTGGGGAGACTTCAAGTTATGGATCTGAGATTGCACTGCAAGTAAGAGGCAGAATCAGAACTGGAATCCAGGCAGCTTGGCTCCAGAACCCTTGCTCTTACCTATAGGCCCCCAATTTCTTCAAAAATATGAAACCTTGACTGTGGTAGTGTAGGGGGAGCAGTCCTCAGAATTTGCCCTTCGATCTCGAAACTCTTGCACTATGGGAATCTGTTATAGGAGGGGAGTCCACACTTGGTCCTTCCCTTCTCACCCACTCTCAATCTCCATAGGAGGTGTCACACACACGACCTGTGTCCTTGACTATTGGTTCTGTGACATTCAGAAGGACAGTGTTTTTACTTTCTTGTGAGTACCCCATGGTCCATGGCAGGATGATGGAAGAGAAAGGAGAATATTTGCTAAATGCTCACCTCATGTGTGAGTGGTGCGCAAATGTCTAGTTGGAGGATGGAGGCATCATCCAAGTGCAGGTCCTAAAGACCCTCCTGCACCAGGCACGAAACCTGCATTAGTTGCACTGTGGGCCAGTCATGGGGCCTAGGGGAGGAGGATACTCAGAGGATTGGGGCTGTGGCTCTTTACCAAGTGGCATTAAGTTTTCAGTAAATGGACAACTCATAGGACAAAGTCTGTCATTGTGTCTCAGTTTTTATCTAGGGATGAGGGGCAGAGCATCTCACTCTTGAAGGGTACAAGGAGCTGAAGCAGCCCCCCAGGGATAAAGCCTGCAGTGTCATCAGGAAGGCTCCTGTTTGGCCTGGGAAAAGGTGGAAAAGGGTTGGTGTGTGTGGAGTGTGTGCCCAACCTGCTGTGTGCTTTGAGCTCAGCAAGGACCCACAGCTGCAGGTGGATGATTCCCATACTGGAACCAATGAGAAGTCAGACATTGCCTTCTATTTCTGAGTGTACTTTGGTCATTATGTGGTCATGAACAGCCATGTGTGTGGGGCTTGGAAATGTGAGGTGAGATGCCACAATGAGCCCTTTGCAGATAACAAACCATTTGACTTGTGCATTTTTTCTTAATGATAGTGTACTTAAACTTACAGAATGAACAGTCCAAAGTAAAGGGAGAAGAGAAGGTTAAAGCAACATTCTTTAAAGCTGGAAGCCTAAATCTCAAATCATAATGAATGAGACCTAGCCTATGTTAAACTTTAGTGTAGGCTCTTTCTCTGGTTTTTGTACACACACACACACACACACACACACATACTTTATGTTCCGGGGTACATGTGCAGAACGTGCAGTTTTGTTATACAGGTATACATGTGCCATGGTGGTTTGCTGCACCCATCAACCTGTCACCTACATTAGGTATTTCTCCTAATGTTATCCCTCCCCTAGCCCCCAACCCCCAGACAGGCCCCTGTGTGTGATGTTCCCCTCCCTGTATCTATGTGTTCTCTTTGTTCAACTCCCACTTACAAGAGAGAACATGCGGTGTTTGGTTTTCTGATCTGTGATAGTTTGCTGAGAATGATGGTTTCCAGCTTCATCCATGTCCCTGCAAAGGACACAAACTCATCCTTTTTTTCTGGCTGCATAGTATTCCATGGTCTATATGTGCCACATTTTCTTTATCCAGTCTATCATTGATGGGCATTTGGGTTGGTTCCAAGTCTTTGCTATTGTGAATACTGCCACAAGAAACATACATGTTCCTGTGTCTTTATAGTACAAATATTTATAATCCTTTGGGTATATACCCAGTAATGGGATTGCTGGGTCAAATGGTATTTCTAGTTCTAGATCCTTGAGGAATTGCCACACTGTCTTCCACAATGGTTGAACTAATTTACACTCCCTCCAACGTGTAAAAGTGTACCTATTTCTCCACATCCTCACCAGCATCTGTTGTTTCCTGACTTTTTAATGATTGCCATTCTAACTGGCATGAGATTGTATCTCATTGAGGTTTTGATTTGCATTTCTCTAATGACCAGTGATAATAAGCATTTTTTCATATGTTTGTTGGCTGCATAAATGTCTTGTTTTGAGAAGTGTTTGTTCATATTCTTCACCCACTTTTCATTTGGGTTGTTTTTTAGTTGTAAATTTGTTTAAGTTCTTTGTCGATTCCGGATAATAGCCCTTTGTTAGATGGATAGATTGCAAAATTTTTCTCCCATTCTGTAGGTTACCTGTTCACTCTGATGATAGTTTCTTTTGCTGTGCAGAAGCTCTTTAGTTTAATTAGATCCCATTTGTCAATTTTGGCTTTTGTTGCCATTGCTTTTGGTGTTTTAGTTATGAAGTCTTTGCCCATGCCTGTGTCCTGAATGGTATTGCCCAGATTTTCCCCTAGGATTTTTACGGTCCTAGGTCTTATGTTTAAGTTTTTGATCCATTTTGAGTTGATTTTTATATAAGGTGTAAGGAAGGGGTCCAGTTTCAGTTTTCTGCATATGGCTAGCCAGTTTTCCCAATACCATTTATTAAATAGGGGATCTTTTCCCCATTGCTTGTTTGTGTCAGGTTTGTCAAAGATCAGATGGTTGTAGATGTGTGGTGTTATTTCTGAGGTCTCTGTTCTGTTCCTTTGGTCTACATATCTGCTTTGGTACCAGTACCCTGCTGTTTTTGTTACTGTAGCCTTGTAGTATAGTTTGAAGTCAGGTAGCATGATGCCTCTAGCTTTGTTCTTTTTGCTTAGGATTGTCTTGGCTATGCAGGCTCTTTTTTTGGTTCCATATGAAATTTAAAGTAGTATTTTCCAATTCTGTAAAGAAAGTCAGTGGTAGCTTGATGGGGATAGCATTGAATCTATAAATTACTTTGGGCAGTATGGCCATTATCATGATATTGATTCTTCCTTTCCATGAGCACAGAATATTACTCCATTTGTTTGTGTCCTCTCTTATTTCCTTGAGCAGTGGTTTGTAGTTCTCCTTGGAGAGGTCCTTCACATCCCTTGTAAGTTGTATTCCTAGGTATTTTATTCTCTTAGTAGCAATTGTGAATGGGAGTTCACTCATGATTTGGTTCTCTGTGTTATTGGTGTATAGGAATGCTTGTGATTTTTGCACATTGATTTTGTATTCTGAGACTTTGTTGAAGTTGCTTATCAGCTTAAGCAGATTTTGGGCTGAGAAGGTGGAGTTTTCCAAATATACAATCATGTTATCTGCAAACAGAGACAATCTGACTTCCTCTTTTCCTATTCCAATACCCTTTCTTTCTTTCTCTTGCCTGATTGCCCTGGCCAGAACTTCCAATACTATGTTGAATAGGAGTGGTGAGAAAGGGCATCCTTGTCTTCTGCCGGTTTTCAAAGGGAAAGCTTCAGTTTTTGCCCATTTGGTATGATATTGGCTGTGGGTTTGTCATAAATAGCCCTTATTATTTTGAGATATGTTTCATCGATACCTAGGTTATTGAGAATTTTTAGCATGAAATTTAGCATGAAAATTCTGTTGAATTTTATCGAAGGCCTTTTCTGCATCTATTGAGATAATCATGCAGTTTTTGTCATGGGTTCTGTGTATGTGATGGATTATGTTTATTGATTTGTATATGTTGAACCAGCCTTGCATCCCAGGTATGAAGTCAACTTGATGATGGTGGATACGCTTTTTGATGTGCTGCTGGATTCAGTTTGCCAGTATTTTATTGAGGATTTTTGCATCGATTATCATCAGGGATATTGGCTGAAATTTTCCTTTTTTGGTGTGTCTCTGCCAGGTTTTGGTATCAGGATGATGCTGGCCTCATAAAATGAGTTAGGGAGGATTTCCTCTTTTTCTATTTTTGGAATAGTTTCAGAAGGAAAAGTACCAGCTCCTCTTTGTACCTCTGGTAGAATTTGGCTGTGAGTCTGTCTGGTACTGGACTTTTTTTTTGATTGATAGGCTATTAATTACTGCCTCAATGTCAGAACTTGTTATTGGTCTATTCAGGTATTCAACTTCTTCCTGCTTTAGACTTTGGAGTGTGTATGTGTCCAGGAACTTATCCATTTCTTCTAGGTTTTCTAGTTTACTTGTGTAGAGGTGTTTATAGCATTCTCTGGTGGTAGTTTGTATTTCTCTGGGATCAGTAGTGATATCCCCTATATCATTTTTTATTGCGTCTATTTGATTCTTCTCTCTTTTCTTCTTTATTAGTCTTGCTAGCAGTCCATTTTGTTGATATTTCAAAAACCAGCTCCTGGGTTGATTTTTTGAAGGGTTTTTTGTGTCTCTGTCTCCTTCAGTTCTGCTCTGATCTTAGTTATTTCTTGTCTTCTACTAGCTTTTGAATTTGTTTGCTGTTGCTTCTCTAGTTCTTTTAATTTTGATGTTAGGGTGTCAATTTTAGATCTTTCCTGCTTTCTCTTGTGGGCATTTAGTGCTATAAATTTCCCTCTACCCACTGATTTAAATGTGTCCCAGAGATTCTTGTACATTGTGTCTTCATTCTCATTGGTTTCAAAGAACATCTTTATTTCTGCCTTCATTTTGTTATGTACCCAGTCGTCATTCAGGGGCAGGTTGTTCAGTTTTCATGTTGTTTTGCAGTTTTGAGTGAGTTTCTTCATCCTGAGTTCTATTTTGATTGCACTGTGGTCTGAAAAACTGTTTGTATATAATATCTTTTTGAATTTAGTCAATATGTTCATACAGTTTCCTTTGTAATATTTTTACAATTTTTCTCCAATTTGTTTAAATCTTCAGTTTTCTCTTATGTAAGGCAATTTTTTATTCTTAGAAAAAATGTATGTTTTCATGTCTTCTTATTATCTTTTACTAAACACGTTTTACTGTTTTTATATACCTTGTATATAAATATATTTTCAGTAGTCTCAATTGTGTGTCATAAAGGCAATTCTTAGCAATTTTTAACCTGAATGTAAAACCTAGTAAGTTTTTTAAATTATGTGCTAGGTGTAGGTAGAGTTTGACTCCTTCCAGTATAGTTAGGGGCATGGTTACTTCCATATGTTCCTAGACCTTATCATTTGTGAAGTAGGCAAGTTGACAGTTTTTAAAAGGCCAAAAAAAGTAGTTTACAACCTTAAAACATTTAGTAAATGTAGTACATGACCTGTGTAATTTAGACCATATTTTTACATCTTGAAGATATTTGTATTTTACCAATAATATTTAAGACTGGTTTTTCCTAAAATGTTTTAATTTAAATGAGAAAGTTATTTTATAATTAGTAAAAACATACAAAAATTTATAAAAACTAATAATCCACTTACAAATATTATTAAACAATATTTTATTTTCAGTCATTTCTATTTAGAGAAAATAGGAAGTTATTTCTAAAAATGTACTATACTAAATACACACACATACACACACACAAACACACACGTCACTTTTCCTTTCCTGCCAAGAGGATAGAAAGCCATCATAAGGCTAGATCTGCAGAGGAGCAGTCTTCATGAACCAATGACGGTTTGCTGATAAAGGAAGCAGATAGTAAAGCATGGATAAAATTAACCTACCTATGGTAACCACATTTTATGGATCTGCAACTGGAAGAGGTGGTTTATGATCAACTGAAGCCTCATCTTCTACTATTTCCCTGTCCTCCTCAGGTTTTTATTCCAAGTTTCTATTTTCAGATTCTTGAAAGTCTCATATGATTTCCTGCCTCTGCACCTTTGCAATTTCTGTTTTCTCTTCCTAGACTCCCCAGAATTGGTATCAGTTTTGCAAACAAAATTTGTAACAATAGGGTTCTCTGGCTGGTATAGTTTATAATAGAATATTTGTTTTTTGATAGTCCACATTTTCTACCCTTGGTTTTTTTTTTTTTTTTTTTTTTGTATATGTTACCTTTACAATCAGAATACAGATTTATTTTTGAGACAGGGCCTCACTCTGTCACCCAAGCTGGAATGCAATGGCAGAACTGTAGCTAGCTGCAGCCTCAATCTCCTGGGCTCAAGTGATCCTCCCACCTCAGCCTCATGAGTAGGTGGGACTACAGGCCTGCCACCATGCCAAATTTTTAAAAAAATTTGAATAGAGACGAGATCTCGTCGGCTGGTCTCCCAACTCCTGAGCTTAAGCAGTCCTCCCACCTCAGCCTCCCAAAATGCTAGGATTACAGGTGTCAGCCACCACACCCAGCCCAGATTTTATTTCTTTGCTTTTACTCATCATCTATATTTTCATGTGGTTTGACAGATTGGCAGAAGAAAAAGCTTGCTTGAAAAGTCAGTTTTGACTTAACTTCAGAGTGACAAATTGAATTAAATATGAAGCTCAGATCTTAAAATTTCAGCATGTATATAGCTGTTCATTGTGTTTTATTTCTTATGTTTTTCTTTTACTTAGCCTTTATGCTGAGCATCCTCTATTTTAGCATTTCCCCAAATAGCACCTTTCTGAGAATTACTTGCTTAAGGAAAAAATTAACTGCCTGCTCCATATATATATATATATATATATATATAATTTTTTTATTAATATACTTTAAGTTCTGGGATACATGTGCAGAACCTGCAGGTTTGTTGCATAGGTATGCACGTGCCATGGTGGTTTGGTGCACCCATCAACCCGTCACCTACATTACATATTTCTCCTAATGCTATTCTTCCCCTAGCCCCCCACCCCTCTACAGGCCCCAGTGGGTGACGTTCCCCTCTGTGTCCATGTGTGCTCATTGTTCAGCTCCTACCTATGAGAACATGTGGTGTTTGGTTTTCTCTTCCTGTGTTACTTTTCTGAGAATGACGGTTTCCAGCTTCATCCATGTCCCTGCAAACGACATGAACTCATCCTTTTTTATGGCTGCATAGTATTCCTTGGTGTATATGTACCACATATTCTTTATCCAGTCTATCATTGATGGGCATTTGGCTTGTTTCCAAGTCTTTGTTATTGTGAACAGTGCTGCAACAAATATATGTGTGTATGAGTCTTTATAGAAGAATGATTTATAATCCTTTGGGTATATACCCAGTAATGGGATTACAGTTTGGTGACTTAGTTTGCTTTGCTATAAAATTGGCATAATAGGGGGTGGAGCCAAGATGGCCCAATAGGAACAGCTCCAGTCTACAGCTCCCAGCGTGAGCGATGCAGAAGACAGGTGATTTCTGCATTTCCAACTGAGGTACTGGGTTCATCTCACTGGGGAGTGCTGGACAGTGAGTGCAGGACAGTGGGTGCAGAGCACCGAGTATGAGCCGAAGCAGGGCAAGGCATTGCCTCACCCAGGAAGCACAAGGGGTCAGGGAATTTCCTTTCCTAGTCAAAGAAAGGAGTGACAGACAGCACCTGGAAAATCGGGTCACTCCCACCCTAATACAGCACTTTTCCAACGGGCTTAACAAACGGCACGCCAGGAGATTATATCCAGCACATGGCTTGGAGGGTCCTACACCTACGGAGCCTCACTCACTGCTGGCACAGCAGTCTGAGATCAAACTGCAAGGTGGCAGTGAGGCTGGGGGAGGGGTGCCTGCCATTGCCAAGGCTTGAGTAGATAAACAAAGTGGCTGGGAAGCTAGAACTGGGTGGAGCCCACCACAGCTCAAGGAGGCCTGCCTGCCTCTGTAGGCTCCACCTCTGGGGGCAGGGCACAGACAAACAAAAGGCAGCAGTAACCTCTGCAGACTTAGATGTCCCTGTCTGACAGCTTTGAAGAGAGGAGTGGTTCTCCCAGCACGCAGCTTGAGTTCTGAGAATGGGCAGACTGCCTCCTCAAGTGGGTCCCTGACCCCCGAGTAGCCTAACTGGGAGGCACCCCCCAGTAGGGGTGGAATGACACCTCACAGGGCCAGGTACTCCTCTGAGACAAAACTTCCAGAGGAATTATCAGGCAGCAGCATTTGCGGTACACCAATATCTGCTGTTCTGCAGCCACTGCTGCTGATACCCAGGCAAACAAGGTCTGGAGTGGACCTTCAGCAAACTCCAACAGACCTGCAGCTGAGGGTCCTGGCTGTTAGAAGGAAAACTAACAAAGAGAAAGGGCATCCACACCAAAAACCCATCTGTACGTCACCATCATCAAAGACCAAAGGTAGATAAAACCACAAAGATGGGGGGAAAACAGAGCAGAAAAACCAGAAACTATAAAAATCAGAGTACCTCTCCTCCTCCAAAGGAACGCAGCCCCTCACCAGCAACGGAACAAAGCTGGACAGAGAAAGACTTTGACGAGTTGAGAGAAGAAGCCTTCAGAAGATCCAACTACTCTGAGCTAAAAGAGGAAGTTCAAACCAATGACAAAGAAGTTAAAAACCTTGAAAAAAAAAATAGACGAATGGCTAACTGGAATAACCAATGCAGAGAAGTCCTTAAAGGACCTGATGGAGCTGAAAACCATGGCATGAGAACTAAGTGACAAATGCACAAGCCTCAGTAACCGATGCGATCAACTGGAAGAAAGTGTACCAGTGATGGAAGATGAAATGAATGAAATGAAGAGAGAAGAGAAGTTTAGAGAAAAAAGAATAAAAAGAAACGAAGAAAGCCTCCAAGAAATATGGGACTATGAGAAAAGACCAAATCTATGTCTGACTGGTGTACCCGAAAGTGACAGGGAGAATGGAACCAAGTTGGAAAACACTCTGCAGGATATTATCCAGGAGAACTTCCCCAATCTAGCAAGGCAGGCCAACATTCAGATTCAGGAAATACAGAGAATGCCACAAAGATACTCCTTGAGAAGAGCAACTCCAAGACACATGATTGTCAGATTCACCAAAGTTGAAATGAAGGAAAAAATGTTAAGGGCAGCCAGAGAGAAAGGTCGGGTTACCCACAAAGGGAAGCCCATCAGACTAACAGCTGATCTCTTGGCAGAAACTCTACAAGCCAGAGGAGAGTGGGGGCCAATATTCAACATTCTTAAAGAAAAGAATTTTCAACCCAAAATTTCATATCCAGCCAAACTAAGTTTCATAAGTGAAGGAGAAATAAAATCCTTTACAGACAAGCTAATGCTGAGAGATTTTGTCACCACCAAGCCTGCCCTAAAAGAGCTCCTGAAGGAAGCACTAAACATGGAAAGGAAAAACCGGTACCAGCCACTGCAAAATCATGCCAAATTGTAAAGACCATCAAGGCTAGGAAGAAACTGCATCAACTAACGAGCAAAATAACCAGCTAACATCATAATGACAGGATCAAATTCACACATAACAATATTAACCTTAAATGTAAATGGGCTAAATGCTCCAATTAAAAGACACAGACTGGCAAATTCGATAAAGAGTCAAGACCCATCAGTGTGCTGTATTCAGGAAACCCATCTCACGTGCAGAGACACACATAGGCTCAAAATAAAGGGATGGAGGAAGATCTACCAAGCAAATGGAAAATAAAAAAAGGCAGGGGTTGCAATCCTAGTCTCTGATAAAACAGACTTTAAACCAACAAAGATCAAAAGAGACAAAGAAGGCCATTATATAATGGTAAAGGGATCAATTCAACAAGAAGAGCTAACTATCCTAAATATATATGCACCCAATACAGGAGCACCCAGATTCAAAAAGCAAGTCCTTAGAGACCTACAAAGAGACTTAGACTCCCACACCATAATAATGGGAGACTTTAACACCCCACTGTCAACATTAGACAGATCAACAAGACAGAAAGTTAACAAGGATATCCAGGAATTGAACTCAGCTCTGCACCAAGCAGACCTAATGGACATCTACAGAACTCTCCACCCCAAATCAACAGAATATACATTCTTTTCAGCACCACACCACACCTATTCCAAAATTGACCACATCGTTGGAAGTAAAGCACTCCTCAGCAAATGTAAAAGAACAGAAATTATAACAAACTGTCCCTCAGACCACAGTGCAATCAAACTGGAACTCAGGATTAGGAAACTCACTCAAAACTGCAAAACAACATGGAAACTGAACAACCTGCCCCTGAATGACGACTGGGTAAGTAACGAAATGAAGGCAGAAATAAAGATGTTCTTTGAAACCAATGAGAATGAAGACACAACATACCAGAATCTCTGGGACACATTTAAATCAGTGGGTAGAGGGAAATTTATAGCACTAAATGCCCATAAGAGAAAGCAGGAAAGATCTAAAATTGACACCCTAACATCACAATTAAAAGAACTAGAGAAGCAAGAGCAAACACATTCAAAAGCTAGCAGAAGGCAAGAAATAACTAAGATCAGAGCATAACTGAAGGAAATAGAGACACAAAAAACCCTTCAAAAAATTAATGAATCCAGGAGCTGGTTTTTTGAAAAGATCAACAAAATTGATAGGCCGCTAGCAAGACTAATAAAGAAGAAAAGAGAGAAGAATCAAATAGATGCAATAAAAAATGACAAAGGGGATATCACCACTGATCCCACAGAAATACAAACTACCATCAGAGAATACTATAAACACCTCTACGCAAATAAACTAGAAAATCTAGAAGAAATTGATAAATTCCTCGACACATACACCCTCCCAAGACTAAACCAGGAAGAAGTTGAATCTCTGAATAGACCAATAACAGGCTCTGAAATTGAGGCAATAATTAATAGCTTACCAACCAAAAAACGTCCAGGACCAGATGGATTCACAGCCGAATTCTACCAGAGGTACAAGGAGGAGCTGGTACCATTCCTTCTGAAACTATTCCAATCAATAGAAAAAGAGGGAATCCTCTCCAACTCATTTTATGAGGCCAGCATCATCCTGATACCAAAGCCTGGCAGAGACACAACCAAAAAAGAGAATTTTAGACCAACATCCTTGATGAACATTGATGCAAAAATCCTCAATAAAATACTGACAAACCGAATCCAGCAGCACATCAAAAAGCTTATCCACCATGATCAAGTGGGCTTCATCCCTCGGATGCAAGGCTGGTTCAACATACACAAATCAATAAACGTAATCCAGCATATAAACAGAACCAAAGACAAAAACCAGATGATTATCTCAATAGATGCAGAAAAGGCCTTTGACAAAATTCAACAATGCTTCATGCTAAAAACTCTCAATAAATTAGGTATTGATGGGACGTATCTCAAAATAATAAGAGCTATCTATAACAAACCCACAGGCAGTATCATACTGAATGGACAAAAACTGGAAGCATTCCCTATGAAAACTGGCACAAGACAGGGATGCCCTCTTTCAGTACTCCTACTCAACATAGTATTGGAAATTCTGGCCAGGGCAATCAGGCAGGAGAAGGAAATAAAGGGCATGCGATTAGGAAAAGAGGGAGTCAAATTGTCCCTGTTTGCAGATGACATGATTGTATATCTAGAAAACCCCATCGTCTCAGCCCAAAAATCTCCTTAATCTGATAAGCAACTTCAGAAAGTCTCAGAATACAAAATCAATGTGCAAAAATCACAAGCATTCTTATACTCCAATAACAGACAGAGAGCCAAATCATGAGTGAACTCTCATTCACAATTGCTTCAAAGAGAATAAAATACCTAGGAATCCAACTTACAAGGGATGTGAAGGACCTCTTCAAGGAGAACTACAAACCACTGCTTAATGAAATAAAAGAGGACACAAACAAATGGAAGAACATTCCATGCTCACGGGTAGGAAGAATCAATATCATGAAAATGGCCATACTGCCCAAGGTAATTTATAGAATCAATGCCATTCCCATCAAGCTACCAATGACTTTCTTCACAGAATCGGAAAAAACTACTTTAAATTTCATATGGAACCAAAAAAGAGCCCACATTGCCAAGTCAATCCTAAGCCAAAAGAACATAGCTGGAGGCATCACACTACCTGACTTTAAAGTATAATGCAAGGCTACAGTAACCAAAACAGCATGGTATTGGTACCAAAACAGAGATACAGACCAATGGAACAGAACAGAGCCCTCAGAAATCATACCACATATCTACAACTGTCTGATCTTTGACAAACTTGACAAAAACAAGCAATGGGGAAAGGATTCCCTATTTAATAAATGGTGCTGGGAAACTGGTTGGCCATCTGTAGAAAGCTGAAACTGGATCCCTTCCTTACACCTTATACAAAAATTAATTCAAGATGGATTAAAGACTTAAATGTTAGACCTAAAACCATAAAAACCCTAGAAGAAAACCTAGGCAATACCATTCAGGACATAGGCATGGGCAAGGACTTCATGTCTAAAACACCAAAAGCAATGGCAACAAAAGCCAAAATTGACAAATGGGATCTAATTAAACTAAAGAGCTTCTGCACAGCAAAAGAAACTACCATCAGAGTGAATAGGCAACCTACAAAATGGGAGAAAATTTTTGCAACCTACTCATCTGACAAAGGGCTAATATCCAGAATCTACAATGAACACAAACAAATTTACAAGAAAAAAACAAACAACCCCATCAAAAAGTGGGCGAAGGATATGAGCAGACACTTCTCAAAAGAAGACATTTATGCAGCCAAAAAACACATGAAAAAATGCTCACCATCACTGGCCTTCAGAGAAATGCAAATCAAAACCGCAATGAGATACCATCTCACACCAGTTAGAATGGCGATCATTAAAGTCAGGAAACAACAGGTGCTGGAGAGGATGTGGAGAAATAGGAACACTTTTACACTGTTGGTGGGACTGTAAACTAGTTCAACCATTGTGGAAGTCAGTGTGGCGATTCCTCAGGGATCTAGAACTAGCAATACCATTTGACCCAGCCATCCCATTACTGGCTATATACCCAAAGGATTATAAATCATGGTGCTATAAAGACACATGCACATGTATGTTTATTGAGGCACTATTCACAATAGCAAAGACTTGGAACCAACCCCACTGTCCAACAATGATAGATTGGATTAAGAAAATGTGGCACATATACACCTTGGAATACTATGCAGCCATAAAAAATGATGAGTTCACGTCCTTTGTAGGGACATGGAGGAAGCTGGAAACCATTATTCTCAGCAAACTATCGCAAGGACAAAAAACCAAACACCGCATGTTCTGACTCATAGGTGGGAATTGAACAATGAGAACACGTGGACACAGGAAGGGGAACATCACACACCGGGGACTGTCATGGGTGTGGGGAGGGGAGAGGGATAGCATTAGGAGATATACCTAATGCTAAATGACGAGTTAATGGGTGCAGCACACCAACATGGCACATGTATACATATGTAACAAACCTGCACATTGTGCACATGTACCCTAAAACCTAAAGTATAATAATAATAAAATTAAAATAAAATGAAATAAAATAAAATTCAAGAAGATAACATTGAAAAACTCTTCTAGACATTGGCTTAGGTAAAGAATTCATGACTACGAACCCAAAAGCAAATGCAACGAAAATAAATAAATGAGATCTATCTAAACTAAACATCTTCTGTGCAGTAAAAGAAATAATCAGCAGAGTAAACAGACCACTCACAGAGTGGGAAAAAATATTCACAAACTATGCATCTGACAGAAGACTAAGATTCAGAATCTACAAGGAACTCAAACAAATCAGCAAGAAAAAAGCAACCACATCAAAAAGCGGGCTAGGGACATGAATAGACAATTCTCAAAAGAAGACATACAAATGGCCAACAAGCACATGAAAAAATGCTCAGCATCACTAATTATTAGGGAAATGCAAATCAAAACAATAATGCAGTACCACCTCATTCCTGCAAGAATGGCCATAATAAAAAATAATAAATAAAAAAGGATTTTGGCATGGATGAGGTGATCAGGAAACACTTCTATACTGCTGTTGGGAATGTAAACTAGTATGGCTGCTATGGAAAACAGTGTGGAGATTTTTAAAAGAACTAAAAATAAAACTACAATTTGATTCAGCAATCCCACTACTGGGTATCTACCCAGAGGACAAGAAGTTAATATTTGAAAAGAATACTTGTACATGCATGTTTCTAGTGACACAATTCACAATAGCAAAATTGTGGAGCCAACACAAATGTCCATCAATCAACAAATGGATTAAAAAAAGGTACATATATATCCATTGTGTGTGTAGGTATATATATATATACACACACACAATGGAATACTATGCAACCACAAAAAGAAATGAATTATCAGCATTTGCAGTAACCTGAATGAGATTGGAGACTATTATTTTAAGTGAAGTAACTCAGGAATGGAAAACAAACATATGTTCTCAATGATATGTGGGAGCTAACCTATGAGGACACAAAGGCATAAAAATAATATGATGGGCTTTGGGGACTTGGGGGGGAAGAGTGGAGGGGGATGAGGGATAAAAGACTACAAATATGACACAGTTTGGGTAATGGGTGCACCAAAATCTCACAAATCACAAATAAAGAACTTACTCATGTAACCAAATACAACCTGTATCACAATAACTTATGGGAAAAAATAAACTAAATTAATGAGTTAAAAAAATAAAAATAAAATAAAATTTCAGTACAAAGACAAAAAATATGTAAAAACTGCCAATAAATATATGAAAAAAATGTTCAACATTACTAATCATCAGGGAAATGCAAACTAAAACCATAATACCAAACACATGGAATCAACATAAATGTCCATCAATTACAGATTGAATACAGAAAATATGTTACATATACATCATGGAATATTATGCAGCCATAAAAAAGAACAAGGTCATGTCTTTTGAGGGAACATAGATGGAGCTAGAGGCCATTAACCTTAGCAAATTAATGCAGGACCAGAAGAAAAATACTTCGTGTTCTCACTTATAAGTGGAAGCTAAACGATGAGAACTCATAACCACAAAGAAGTAAATGACAAACACTGGGGCCTATTTGAGAGCAGAGGGTGAGAAGAGGGAGAAGAGCACAAAAAATAACTATTGGTACTTTGCTCAGTACCTGGGTGGTGAAATAATCTATACAACAAACACCTGTGACAAGGGGTTTACCTATATAACAAACCTGCACATGCACACTTGAACTTAAAAGAAAAGTTAAAGAATGGTAAAAATAAATAAAATGGGGAAATTTTTTAAATTTCTTTTTTATTCTATCTTCTTGGTCCATCACTTGCAAATAGAGGCCCACATACACCAATGTTTAGTAGCATCACAGATGGCATCCCAGAGGAATCGCAACACTGAGAGAGTTAGGCATCAAGGACATTATTATCACAGAGTATATTTATTCTTTGGGGGCTTCTGTTATAACTGGAAAGACCAAAAGACCTTTGAGATGAGGAGGCTTTAGAGTTCATTAAAGAGTTTCTGCTTTTTGACCAATCCCCTTTTTGCTGGGAGAAGACAATGAATTTTGATTGAGCAGGAGGAGGAAAAATGTTGAGTAGATTTTCAGAGGCAATTCAAAAATTATTAGTTGAGCATTCACCCTGGACTCTATGTAATCTCTTTGTATCTAAGATGTAATTCCTGACCACTATGAACACAGAGTAGCAGCTGAATAAAGATGAATGTAACGAATGACCTTTAGGAAGTGCACTGAGGTGGTGAATATCATTCAAGAAAGGACAATCACTGTGTGTTTGCCTAACAGGGCCGGCATGTAAAATTATGTCAGTTATTCAAATAAAATGACTGCCAGGCAAGCGGCAAGTTGATGTGAAATCCAAGTCGTTTTCTGCTCATGAAGCCAGTGGTTTCAGGATAGTTTGCATCCACTCAGAGCACAAATTACACAATTCCCCCCAAAAATGAATTCCATGCTGGTGATAGGGCCTATAATTCATTATCAAAATAAAGAAGTGATCAAGACTGTGACAGGGAAGGTGTAAGGAGGACAGTGTATCTAATCAGAACACAAGAGTTTCCAGTGAGAGGGGAGGGAATTTCATTCCATACTGAAAAGAAACAAGGAAGAGAGGCATGAAGAGTGCCATTCACTGTGCGTTGGCACCTCAAGGTATCTGGATGTTAGGTTAAAGGAGGGGTAAGCAGAGAGGCATACCCATGAGTGAGGTTGGAGTTGCAGAAACTGTTGCAGTGAACATGGAGAGAGAAAATGAGAATGATTAAAATGACACCTAAGATGGTCCTTGCAAACAAAGAGGCTATTTGGTGGGACTCTCTTCATCCTGCCTTCATTGATTTTTAGATAATATTTTGTTTCTCTTCTCCTAAGTGGTTCTCCATACATGCTATGAAGCAGATAATCACAGCTCTTACAGTGGGAAAAGGGCTGCCATTCTGCCATTTTGGTAAGAAATCCAAGAAGCTGAGAATGGAGGGTGAGGACAAGTGCTACAGAGAAACATTCCCAGAGAAAATGAAAATAGATGTCTGGTTGGTTTCACCAGTGATATGGATTAGTGACTGCTGTCTATTTTATTTTGCCTCTCTAAAATAGGTGTGTTCATTGCCTTTTTCCTATCTCTTTTTGTCTTTTTTGTTTGATTTGTATAAAGCGGATAATGTGTCCCTTTTGTGCACATGTTGAGAGAGATTGCAAGTGATAATTTGTAGTCACCTTATAGACACCACATCCTGATTAGATAAGATACAGCACTTAACTCTGAGCCTGTTCCTGTTATAGTAATGTCTTCAGAGATTCCTTACAGGGTTAGTGTTGTTAGTATGTGGGAAGTATATAAGCCAGTTACGACTGAGTGAAACTGGTTGCCAAAGATGGCTCCTCATGACTACAGTCACAATAATCACAGCTTGTGGAGTCCTCTCCTTTTGATTAGGGCTCTCTGTGTGACTCAACTTGCTCAATGTAAAGTCATAGAAGTGACACTGTCTGCCATTCAAAGGTAGGTCCTATAATGCCATGCACTGTCTCCATGAGCCTTTTGGAAGGCTTTCTTTGCTGAAAGCCAATCACCATTCCTTAAGTCCGAGAACCGTGAGACTCTCCTGATTTGAACATATTCAAGGAATGAATGGAAAGGTGTGGTAGTGAAAGAGATAACCCACCAGTTTCTAGGTGTTCATCCAGCCCTAGTGTTGAGTTGGACAGGAGGGAAGCATCCTCTGAAATCACAGCCTAAAAGATTTCTCTGTAAATGACTCTCATCACATGACCTACCACTCACATGAGTTGAATAAACCTGTAAAGCTGGCAGAGATCAAAATTAATGATTGTTTTTAGTCAATATGTGTTGGGAGGTGTGCTATGCTACAATTTGTCACTGGAACAGCAGCAAAGCAGCGTCTGCTCACTGTGTCCATGTACATGGACTGTGTCTATTCCAATAATAATCTACATGTTCTCTGATCTAAAACCATGACCACTTATTTCCAAAGAGAAACCCCTTAATTCTGCACACATAAAATGGAAAAATCTTTGAATATTTGGAAATAAGAATAATTGAGATTCTTTAAGGAAAACACTAGGCTCCAATATTTCCCTACTACTTAGATTGAAAACTTCACAATGTGCCTACACAATAAGCATCCTGAGAACAATGAAAAAAATTAAGGAATTCCACATGATTTCCCTCAAGTTACAGGTTCTGCCCACAGCCACTAGGTATACCTGTGTGGCTGTAAACAGCTACCTAACATTTCAGTGCAGTGAGTCATCTGACATTGGGTAAGGATTTTGGTTCAGACTGTCTGACATCAACTACCTACTATAGAAGAATGTTGTTTCTGATGTCTTCTCAGACATTCCAGGGACTTTGTCACTCACTCCCTTTGTCACAGGAAGGTTTATCCCCTTTGATTTCCTGATGCCTCCCATAGAATGTCCTGGACCCTCTTGGGGATGACCACTTCCTCTTTTCCCCTCTTAAAGCAAGAACCAATCATGTGAAGTTTGGTGCTGTTTTAATGATCAAGTGTAGGGGAAGGGGTGAGGAGGGATTATTCTGTTAGTAGGCTCTGGGAATCCCATGGTCAGGTAGAAAGAGGGATTCCTCAACAATGAGGAGTCTGATCATCTCCCTCAATCGCTGATAAGCACTCTGGTCAGGGAGATATCTCTGAAGACTTGCAGCATCTTCACAGATGCTGGCGGGAATCGATGGGCAAAGTTGTAAATGCGTTGGCCATTTACCATTACCTACAAGAGGAAAAATGCATCAGAAAGACAGCATGCCACCAAACAGGTTTTCAGCCCTTTCTCTTCTCTGCCCAGTTACAAATAACCTTCCCCATGAAAACTCCTAGTTACACAAGTGAACCTAGTAGACACACTTCTGTGATTTTACAGGCTATGTTTCGTGCCTATTTGAGACAGATGCTCATTTTATTTCTAATGTTTTCTCTCATTCCCCTAGTGAAGTTATACACCGTGTCACACAGTCCGTTTACTCGGCCTCCCTTCCAACCTGGAAGATCCCCATCACCAGGGACGGTGTCTCAGGAACTTGAGACCCTGCATCTCGCACAGGACCTGCCAGAGGGTTAGTGCGAGGCCATGTTCATTGAATGCATACTTTTCAGTTCCATGAACTGTGACTGCCTTTCACTACTGATGGCACAGTTCCTCTTTGGAGTAGCCTACATCTGAGGTGTTAGTGGCAAAGAATGAAACCCAGGGTTCTTAGAGAGTTAAAGGAGGACAGGTCTTGTAAAACATAGGATATTATCTTCAACAACTTTTAAGCCTAGGAAAAGATCCCTCACTTGAATCTGAATAAGATGTGAATCTTTTGGCCTACTCATTAGAGAAAGCCAAAAAGAATGGAAACTATGGATATATTCCTTATGTCGAGGCTATAGAGAAAGTCACCTTCTTAGTGTTAATTTTTCAAATTTAAAATTTACACATTTTTGAGCTGTTTTTTTCATTTTTTTCTAATTATCTTCCAGTATAAGTATTGGGAAATTAGTAATGACAAGAGGATTGACTATAAAACTTAATACGGCATCATTTGTGAGAGCAAAATACTGGAAACAACTTTAATGCCCAAAAAAGGGTCAAGTTCAATAATTTTGGGTAAACTTTTTAATGCAATATTATGTAATCTTTAAAAACTGAAGCGGCACCGTGGATTGATAATGTCTTCAAGATATATTCTTTGACAACAAATCAACTTAGTTGCTAAAGTGTAATGTGTAGAGCAACTTACACCAGGATTTGCTTAAAAACAAATGCAATCATAGACATATCTACATGCTTCCATAGGAAAAGATTTCCTCTGAAAGGCTGGGCACGGTGGCTTATGCCTGTAATCCCAGTATTTTGGGAGGCCAAGGTGAGCAAATCACACAAGGTCGGGAGTTGAAGACAAGCCTGGCCAACATGGTGAAACTCTTCTTCTACTAAAAATACAAAAGTTAACAAGGTGTGATGGCATGCACCTGTAATTCCGGCTACTTGGGAGACTAAGGCAAGAGAATTGCTTGAATCTGGGTGGTGGAGTTTGCAATGAGCTGTGATCACGCCACTGCACTCCAACCTGGATGACAAAGTGAGACTCTGTCTCAAAAAAATAAAAAAATAAAAAGTTTCTTTCTGAAGAAGAGCAGAACTCTAGTAATGGTGTTCTTATGAGTAGAATTGGGCCCAAAATTGAAACATAATTTTTGAATGATTAAAACCACCTTTTTCTTAAGTATATAGTATACATTCAGCTAAATGAAAATTTTAAAAATGGCATAAGTAGAAATGAGCACTATGGGAAAAGACAGAGGAGATTCTCCACTTTGGAGGAAATGGCAGGTGAGCCGACCTTGATCTTGGTCAGATTTGGGAAAGAGCTGAGGATGGCAGTGCAAGCAGAGGGTGCTCTGTGATGAAAACCTGAAACAGGAATAGTTATGGAAGATGGGCCCCAAGGGACTGGTGGCACCAGGTCAATGAAAGCTGCCTCCTGCTCTAAGAGCCCACAGAGCTCCAGCGCTGGAAGATCCTGAAGTACTCACCTTGTATTCCTTGTGACGCACATAGATGCACAGCTCAAATGGTTTGCCATCTTCAAAGGGTAAATAGTAGCATTTCTCCTCATATCTCCATATGCCAAACACACAACTGTTCATGATTGCAGGATGACCAAAGTGCAGTCGGAATTGGAAAGCAATATCTGAGTCCTCATCCATCCCAGTGTAGAAATTCACCTCCAGCTGTGGGTCCTTGCTGAGGTCAAAGCACACAGCATGTTGGGCAGGTCCCCCCATTGTGCAGACACACACTCGCCACACACACAAATCCCTTCCCCCCTTTACCCAGGGCAAAAAGTCTCCCCGATGATACTGCAGTCCTGGTCCCTGTGGGGACGCTTTAGCTCCTCATGCCCCCAGGCAGGGAGATGCTGTGTTCCTCATCCCCAGACAAAAACTGAGCGCCAGTCAGTGACATGGGCCTATGACTTGTTCATTTCCTGAAAATTCTATGCCCTTTAATAAAGAGCCACAACCCAAACCCACTGAGTGTTCTCCTCCCCTAGGTTCCGTGGCTGGCCTGCATGCAGTTTCTACAGGTCTCATGTCTGTTGCTGGAAGGTCTCCAGGGCCTGCACTTGCATGAGGCCTTCATTATGCCAACTAGAGTTTTCCACATCACTCACACATAAGGTTAAACCCTTAGCAAATATTCTCCCTTCTCTCCTCCACCCCCTCCATTGGACCATGGAGTACTCACACAAAAGTGAGGATCGGTGTCCCTGTGATTATCACGCACGAACCAACAGGCAAGGAAACAGGCAGTGTGTATGGTACCTGCCAGGGTATGGAGAGTGAGTGAGAGCTAAAGGGTAAGGTGTAACCTCCCCTATGTAACAGATTCCCATGGTGCAGGAGGTTAGAGATCAAAGGTCAGACTCTGAGGCCTCTCCCCTTTCACCCTACCACAGTCAGGGCCCCATATTCCTGAAGATATGGTGGATCCATAGGTAAGAGCAATTGTTCAAGAGCCCGGATGCCTGGATTCCAGTCCTCATTTTGCCTTATACTAGCAGTGCAATCTTAGATCTATTACTTAACCTCTCCCTGCCTCAGTTTCCCCAGGACAAGGAGGACTATCAGGAATTCCTACTTTGTAGGGTGTTCTCAGTAATAGAGGAGTTAATATAGGTAAAACTTTTACCCTAATCCCTGGCATGTATAGGGTCAATTAGGGGTGACCTAACAGAACAGGGGAGTCCTCCTGAAACACTGACCTGCCTTATTTTCAACTCAGAAAATGAAAACAAGACTTGAGGGTGAAAGAATTTAAAAATTCACTCCAGTGAGAAACAACACTTGTTGAAAGAGAAAGGGAAATGACGAAAGAACAGGAAACCCCTGTGTGTGGGATGTACACGCACCACAATCATCAAGGGCAATGGACGTCCTTCCCAGAAGCGGCACACATTACTGACAGCACAGCCCCAGTACTTGCACAAATGAAGCCTGTGGGTCAGGGACATAACTGGAGGGAATGATTGATTTCTACGACGACTGCAAGTGGTTGATGATTTTTCTGTATTTTTGAGATAGGGTCTTGCTCTGTCACCCAGGCTGATATGCAGTGGTGCAATCACAGCTCACTGAAACATCGAACTCCTGGACTGCAGTGATCCTCACACATCTGCCCCCTCTTGTGTAGCTGGGGTGAAAGGTGTCTGCCACTCTGCCAGTCAGATATTTAAAGATTTTTAAAGAAAGCATATCACTATGATGCCTAGACCGGTCTCAAATTTCTGGCCTCAAGTTACCCTCCCATCTTTGCCTCCCAAATTGGTGGGATTATAGTCATGAACCAGTGAACCCAGCTGCTTTGTTGAGTAATGTCCACAGTAAGCACTGTCTGAATTCAGACAGCTTGTTCTTTCATGAGTGGAGGAACAAGTTTAGTCTCAGTTCAGACAGAGCTTACAGTGGATATTTTGTTTGATTCCGTCTCTTTAACCACGGCCTCTAATATTCTTCCCTGGCAAATCAGTATCTTCACACTCGCCTGTTCCACAATGGGAAGAACAGGCTGGGCTAGCGACAGGGAAGCTGAGCCTGGGAGGCAAAAGCCAGTGATCACTCTGTGCAGTCCCCACCTGAGGAACCATCTCTCCCATAATCTGCGTTCCTTTTCCTCACTCTTACTGGGAAGAGATATCTACTGATGATATATTTCGCTCTCATAAGTGATCTGAAACGAGTCCTTGGTAACTCACAATCCCCAAGATCCCCACCAGTTAAGCCACTTGGGATCCACATTGCCACACATGAAAAGACACACAGGTGCTTCATCAGAGGTGCTGCTGTGTGGGGAGGAACCTTCACATGCACAGAAGGCCACGTGCATGTTTTCCCTTCAATACCCAGTCACATCCCAGCACACACACCCATAGTCACACAGAGCCATGCCACTCACTGAGTTACACACACCTGCTCACTGTGCACATAAAGATGACCATGCACTGGTCTGGCTGTGCCCACACACACTCACATCACAGACAGGAAGACAAAGCACACTCACCCCCTTACACTCACTCACACACTTGCCGGTCCTGGTGGGTCATCCACCTCCCACCTAAAGTCACTTAATCTCAGCAGAGTTCACTCTCATCAGACACCACCACACCCTCACAGAGGGTTACACTGGTCCAGGGTCCACAGCCTACACCCACAATCATCTCAGATACCACAGCCTCAGGGTTTCTCTTCTACACACCCACAACTCTCGGTAATGCATTCACAGTAGGAATGCTCATATTTTCAACTCAGAAAACCTCCCCTGTTTCTTTCTTGGTTTATGTGACTTGAGATTATTGAAGGCTGTGACTTTTCAACTCACGGGTAGTGATGACATTGTTCTCTCCTTCTGGGCAGCTCTTCGGAATTGTGTCCAGTCTTCTGTGTGAATCTCTGAGTGGGATCATTTAAATGCTGCAACTCAGAGATGCCCTTTGGCTTCATGCCAGATTCCAAGCCCCTCCCAGCAAGCTTTCCGTGCAGCAGGAGAAAGACTCAGGTGTCAGAAAGAAACTCTGTCACAACCATAGATGTTTGCAGGTCTGTGTCTGTAATGCAGCAGAAATGACAGTGGGGGAGGTACCAGGCTGTGGATTGGGTTACCAGGGAAATGCATAGATAAGGATGATGGAGTGAGGGGTAGGGATTGTAAAGCCCAGCCTTTGTGCCTCTCAAGCTTTTTCTCCAGTATGCAGAATCTAGCCAGAAGGTGTACATTTCCTCAATTTGTACAATGACTAAAAATAAAAAATTGGGAATTTTGGAAAAAGACGTTAGACCTAGAAGGTAATTCTTCTCTTTGCCTTTAAAGGTTCTGGGAGGGCCTTTAAGGGTCAGATCCTTTTGACCTTGATCCTCAGGAGGATCTGGGAAGAGAAGTAGAGATAGTTCTTGCATGAACCTGCCTCACACTAGGCCCCTTGGATCTGCCAGGTGAGGGTCACTCTCATCTGTCTGTCACATACCTGGGCTCTAGCTGCATTCTCTGCTTTGTCTTGGAGTCCATGTAAAACAAAGTTTCAGAGATATTGTTTCTCCTGCAGATTCTGGGAGAAAGATGAGATTTTTTTTCTTTTTTCTTTTTTTTTACTTTTATTATAGGTTCAGGGGTACATATGCAGATAAAGTCATGTCATGAGGTTTGTGGTACATATGATTTCTTCACCTGGGTACTAAGCGTAGTACCCAATAGTTATTTTCTCTGCTCCTATCTCACCTTTCACCCTCCAACCTCAAGTAGGCTTCTGTGTGTGTTGTTCCCCTATTGGTGTCCATGAGTCTCATCATTTAGTTCACAATTATAAGTGAGAACATGCAGTATTTGGTTTTCTGTTCCTGCATTAGTTTGCTAAAAATAATGGCCTCCAGCTCCATCCATGTTCCTGCAAAAGACATGAACTCATTCTTTTTTAGGGCTTCATAGTATTCCATTGTGTATATGTATCACATTATCTGTATCCAATCTGTCCTTGATGGCATTTGGGTTCATTCTGTGTCTTTGCTATTGTGCACAGTGTTGCAATGAACATTCATATGCATATGTCTTTAAGGCAGAATAATTTCTATTCTTCTGTGTATACAGTAGTGTATACACCATTCCCAGTAATGGGATTGCGGGGTTTAATGGTAGTTCTGTTATAAGCTCTTTGAGGAATCACCACACTGCTTTCCACAATGGGTGAGCTAATTTACACCACCGCCAATAATCTGTAAGTGCTCCTTTTTCTCCACACCCTTGCCAGCATCTGTCCTTTTTTGACTTTTTAAGAAGAGCCATTCTGACTGGTGTGAGATGGTATCTCATTGTAGTTTTGATTTGCATTTCTCTAATGTTCAGTGATATTGAGCTTTTATTATATACTTGTTGGCCACCTGTATGTGTACTTTTGAGAAGCGTCCCCTGTCTCTACTAAAAATACAAAATATTAGCCGGGCCGGTGGCGGGCGCCTATAGTCCCAGCTACTCAGGAGGCTGAGGCAGGAGAATGGCATGAATGCGGGAGGGAGAGCTTGCAGTGAGCCAAGATCATGCCACTGCATTCCAGCCTGGGGGACAGAGTGAGACTTCATCTCAAAAAAAAAAGAAAAGAAAAGAAAAGAAAAGTATCTGTTCTCTGTTCTTGTCTTTTCTCGCCTTTTGTTGTTGTTTTAAGACAGGTCTCACTCTGACATTCAGGCTGGAGTGGTGTGGCTCCATCTTGGCTCACTGCAACCTCTGGCTCCTGGGCTCAGGTGATCCTCCCAGCTCAGTATCCTGAGTAGCTGGTACTGCATACCAGCTGTGCAGACCTCACCTAAGGGACCAGTACCCCCGTAGTCTGTATTCCTCTTCCCCACACTTATTGGAAAGAGACACCTACAGATCATACATTCTGCCTTTAAATTGTTCTTTTTGCCTTTAAAGATTCTGGGACAGCACTGCCCTTGATCCTCAGGATGATCCGGGGGGGAGGTAGAGAACGTCCTTGCATGAACCTGCCCCATGCTAAGCCCTTTGGCTCTACCAGGTGAGGGCTGCTCTCATCTGTCTGTCCCACACCTGGACTCTAGCAATACTCTCTCCTTTCTCTTGATGTCCATGTGAATCAAAGTTTCAGAGACACTGTTTCTCCTGCAGATTCCAGAAGAAAGGTGACATTGGTTTTTTTCTTTGTTTTTTAAACGTTTATTTTATGTTCAGGGGTACATATGCAGGGAAACTCGTGTCATGGGGTTTGCGGTAAAGATTATTTCACATCCAGGTACTAAGCCTAGTACCCAATAGTTATTTTTTCTGCTCCTGTCTCACCTTTTACCCTCCACCCTTAAGTAGGTCTCAGTGTGTGTTGTTTCCCTCTTGGTATCCATGGGCCTCATCATTTAGCTCACACTTCTAAGTGAGAACATGCAGTATTTTGTTTTTCATTTCCACATTGGTTCACTAAGGTTAATGACCTCCAACTCCATCCATGTTCCTGCAAAAGTCATAATCTCATTCTTTTTTGAGGCTGCATAGTATTCTATGGTGTATATGTACCACATTTTCTCTATCCAGTCTGTCCTTTATGAGCTATTAGGTTGAGTCCATGTTTTTGCTATTGTGCATACTGTTGTAATAAACATTCATGTGCACGTTTTTATGGTAGAATGATTTATATTCTTCTGGGTATATACTCAGTGATGGGATAGCTGGGTTGAATGGTAGTTCTATTTTAGCCATTCGAGGAACCATCACATTTCTTTCCACAATGATTAAACTAATTTACACTGCCACCAAAAATGTGTAAGTGTTCCCTTTTCTTCACAAACTTGCCAGTTTCTGTTATTTTTTGACTTTTGAATACTAGCCATTCTGACTGGTGAGAGATGGTATCCCATGGTGGTTTTGATTTGCATTTTTCTAACGTTCAGGGCTGTTGAGCTTCTTTTCATATGCTCGTTGGCCACATGTATGTCTTCTTTTAAGAAGTATCTGTTCCTGTTCTTTGTCTACTTTTTTTGAGACAGCCTGGTCTGACACCCAGGCTGAAGTGCAGTGGTGAAATCTCGTCTCACTGCAACCTCTGCCTGGGCTCAGGCGATCCTCCCAGCTCACCTTCCTGAGTCCCTGAGATTACAGGTGCCTGAGACAAGACTCAGCTAATTTTTCTATTTTTCATAGAGATAGGGTTTTGCCGTGTTGCCAAAGCTGGTCTTGAACTTCTGGACTCAAGCAATCCACCTACCTTAGCCACCCAAAGTGCTGGAATTACAAGCGTGAGCCACTGCACCCAGCCCTTTGCCCACTTTTTTATGGGGTTGTTTGTTCTTTTCTTGTAAAGTTGTTAAAGTTCCTTATAGAAGCTAGATATTAGACAATTTTCAGATACATAATTTGCAAATATTTTCTCCTATTCTGTAGGTTGTCAGTTGACTCTGTTGATAGGTTCTGTTGCTGTGCAGAAGCTCTTTAGTTTAAATAGATCCATTTGTCAATTTTTGCTTTTCTTGTGATTGCTTTTGGCATCTTTGTCAGGAATCTTTTGCCTATTTCTACATTCGGTATGGTACTGCCTAGGTAGACTTCCAGGGTTTTTATAGTTTTGGGTTTTACATTTAAGTCTTTAACCCATCTTCAGTTGATTTTTCTATATAACGCAAGAAAGTGGTTCAGGTTCAATCATCTGCACGTGGCTAGCTAGTTATCCAAAAATTATTTCCATTGCTTGTTTGGTCAACTTTGTCAAAGATCAGATTGCTGTAGGTGTGGGACCTTACTTCTTGCCTCTCTTTTCTGTTCCATTGGTCTATGTGTCTGTTTTTATGCAAGTACTATGCTGTTAGGTTACTCTGGCCCTATAGTGCAGCTTGAAGTTGGGTAATGTGATGCTTCTAGCTTTGTTCTTTTTGCTTTGGAATATCTTTTATTCAACCCACTCGGTTCAATTAATATTTAAAATATTCATTTTAAAATAGATTGTTCTAATTCTGTGAAGAATGTTATTGATAGTTCAATAGGAATACCATTGAATCTGTACATTTCTTTGGGCAATGTGGTTGTTTTAATGATAGTTATTCTTGCTATCTGTGAGCATGGAATGTTTTTCCATTTGTTTGGGTCTTCTCTACTTTTTTAAGCAGTGTTTTGTAATTCTCATTGTAACAATCTTTCACCTCCCAGTTAGTTGTATTCCTAGATATTCTATTCTTTTTATGGAAATTGTGAATGGAATTGCATTCTTGATTTGGCCCTGTGGTTCGTTGTCTTTGGCATGTAGGAATTCTAGTGATTTTTGCACATTGATTTTGTATGCTGAAACTTTGCGAAAGTTGTTTACCAGCTTAACGATCGTTTGGGTGGAAACTGTGAGGTTTTCCAGATATAGAATCATATCTCTAAACATGGATGGTTTAACCTTGTTCTCTATTTGGATGCCATTTGTTTCTTTCTCTTGCTGAACTCTCTGGCTGGTACTTCAAATACTATGCTGAATAAAAGTGGTGATAGAAGGCATTGCAGAAATTGTGGTTTGAAAATCCAAATTCATTTCCTGCTCCATATATCATGCATATTTTGAGCTGCAATTTATCAAATACAAAACAAAACAAAAAATTTATCTCCTAATTCTGTTTTATTAGCCCCTCACTTGCAAATACAGGCCTAGAAGCACCAGTGCTCAGCATCACGGACAGCACCCCAGAGGAAACAGCTTTGGTGGACTTAGGCATCAAGGACATTTTCAAAGACTAGATTTATTCTTTGGGGGCTTTCAGCAAAAACTGAAAAGCCCTCCAGACCTTTCAGAAGGCAAGGCTTTAGAGTCCAAGAATAACCTTCTGTGTTTTGAGCAATGCTATATTTAGTGGGAATGCTGTATTTAGTGAATTTAGGTTGAGGAGCATGAAAAAGATGTTGAGTAGGTCCCCAGAGGCAAATCAAAACTTGCTTGTTGAACATTGCTTCCTGGTCTCTATGTGTTATCTTTTTATCTGAGACATCACTCCTGGCTACCATGAGCACAGGATAGTAGGTAGTATAAAGATGAGTGTAACAAATGGCCTATGTGAACTGAACTGAGCTGGTGAATATCAGTTAAGAAAAGGCAGTCACTGTGTGTTTGTCTAGCACAGGCAGCATGTAGGACCCTGTAGGTTATTCAAATACAATTGGAATCATCCAGGGACATATAGATATGAAATTAAACTCATGTTCTGCTCAGAAATTCATGGGTTCTGGCCAGGCGCAGTGGCTCACGCCTGTAATCCCGGCACTTTGGGAAGCCGAGGTGGGTGTATCACCTGAGGTCAGTAATTCGAGACTAACCTGGCCAACATGGTGAAACCCCTTCTCTACTAAAAATACAAAAATTAGGCGGACATGGTGACAGATGCCTCTAATCCCAGCTACTTGGGAGGTTGAGGCAGGAGAATTGCTTGAAACTGGAAGGTGGAGGTTGCAGTGACCCGAGATCACACCACTGCACTCTAGCCTGGGCAACAAGAGTGAAACTCCATCTCAAAAAAAAAAAAAACTTCATGGGTTATGGGTTCCAAGATAGTCTTAATCCACTCTGAGCAAGAATTGCCTAATTGCCCAAAAATGACTTCCATGCTGGTGAGGAGGCCTATGCTCCATCATCAAAATAGAGAAGTGACCAAAACTGTGAGTGGGATGATACAAGGAGGTGAGTATACCTAACAAGAACCTGAGACTTTCCAGTGAGAGGGGAGAAAATTTCAGCTTATACTGGAAAGAAACAAAAAAGAGAGGCATGAATGTATTATTTACTGTGCATTGACACCTCAAGGTAACTGGATGTTAGGTTAAAGGAGGGAAAGGAGAGAGGCATATCTATGAGTAAGGTTGCTGTTGAACAAGCTGCGGCAATAAACATGGGAAGACAGGATGAGGATGATCAAAATGCCACCTGATATGGGCCCTGCTGACAAAGAGGCTATTTGATGAGACCCTCTTCAATCTGCATTGTTTGGCTTTTAGGTAATTTGCTGTTTATCTTCTAAGTGGTTCTCTTTTTGTTCTATGAACCAGGTGACCACAGCTCCTGTATCGAGAAAAGGGCTGTCATTGTGTCATCTTGGTAGGAGTTCCAAGAAACTGACAATAGATGGTGGAGCCAATTGTCACAGGGAACCACTTTCAGAGAAGATGAAAATAGGGTCCAATAATGTGGACGAGTGACTGCTGCCTATTTTCTTTTTTGTTCTTGTTTGTTTTTATTTGTTTCTTTGTTTTAATCTCTATTCATGTTTAATGTGCTAGCACAGTTTCTTTCATTGGATGTAAGTCTTGCATATCAATTCAAGGAAGATCACTTAGTCCAACTTAATGAAAAATATATCCTTTAAGTACTTATGGAAACACAAGCGGCACACATCAAGACAGTATTTTTGGATAAGGCCATGCTGGTTTGAGCAGATGTAACAAGAGTGAGAACCCTGGCTGAATTTTCGTGGGTAGCTCCAGTAGAGCTATTGGTGACCATCTTGCTTTCAGGGTGCTGTTTATTATTTTTTGCCCTTCTAAAATAGATGTGTCCACTGCATTTTCCTATATCTGTTTCAGTCTTGTATGTTTGATTTGTATAGGGGAGGTAATGTATTCATTTAATGCATATGTTGAGAGAAAGTGCACCTGATAATTTGTAGTCACCTCATGGACACCAGATCCTGATTAAACGATAAGACTCTAAACTTCAATCTGAGCCTGTTTCTGTAATCATATTGCATTCAGTGGTTCCTTACAGGATAGTGTTTTTGGAATGTGGAAAGCATTTAAGCCACTGAGGAATGAGTGGGAATAGTTGCCAAAAATGCTCCCTCATGACAACAGGTCAAAATAACCACAGCTTATGGAATCCCCACCCTTTGATTTGGGCTGTCTGTATAGCTCACTTTGATCAATATAATGTCACAGTACTGATACTGTGTGCCTTTCAAAGCTAGGTCCTATGATGCCTTGCACCTTCTTCCTGAGCCTTTTGGAAGGCTTTCTTTAGTGGAAGCCAATTATCATTCATTAAGTCTAAGAATCATGAGACTCTCATGATTTGAGAAAATTCAAGGCATGAATGGGGAGGTGAAGTAGGGAATAAAATAACCAGCCAGCCCCCAGATGTTCACCCAGCTCTAGTGTTGGGTCAGGCATCAGTGAAGCATCCTCTGGAATCCCAGCCTGAAAGATGCTTCGGAAAACATGATTCTCACCACATGACCTACCTCTCACATGAGTCCAGTTAACTGAGAAAGGTCAGAATAAATGATTGCTCTAAGCCAACATGTGTTGGGAGGTTTGCTGTGCTGCAATGCCTAGTGAAACAGCAGCAAAGCAAGGTCTGCTCACTGTGTCCATGTGTATGAATTCTGTCCATCCCAACAATAAACTACATATTTTCTGGACTTAAACCATGACCATTTGTTTCCAAATAGAAATCTAAGGATTCTGCCACATACATCAGAAAAAACTCACAATTATCTTTAAACATCAACATTTGAGGTTCTTTAAGAGAAATTTTTGGGCTCCTGTGATTCTCTAACTATTGTTTGGATTAAAATTTTCATGTCAGAAATGTGTCTCTTTTTAAAGGTCCTGCATGGCAGTCTTTACAGACCAAAGCACCATGTTTATACACAATAAATATCCTGAGAACAATGGAAGGAATTAGGAAATTCCACCAGATTGTCCTCAAGTTACCAAATTTCTTCCCTGAGGTACACTTGTGTGGCTGTAAACAGCTACCTAACATTTCAGTGCAGTGAGTCATCTGAGATTGAGTAAGGATTTTGTTTCAGAGTCTCTGATGTCAACAATGTGATATAGAAGGATGCTGTACCTAATGTCTTCTCAGACATTCCAGGGACCTTGTCACTCACTCCTGAAGTCACACGAAGGCTTATCCTTTTTGATTTCTTGATGCCTCTCATAGAATTCCTTGGGCCCTCCTGGGAATGACCACTTTCTCTTTCTCCCTTAAAGCAAGAACCAAACAAATCCTCGGTAGTTTGGTGATGTTTTAATGACCAAGTGTAGCAGAAACAGTGAGGAGAGATCATGCTGTTAGTAGGCTCTGGAAATCCTATGGTCACATAGAAAGAGGGATTCCTCAACAATGAGGAGTGTGATCATCTGCATCAACTGCAGACAGACATTGAGGTCAGGGAGACATCTCTCCACACTTGCACCATCTTCACAGAACATGGTGGGAGTTATGGACAAAGCTGCAACAGTGTTGGCTATTTATTATTACCTACAAAAGGAAAAATGCATTAGAAAGACAGTATGCCACCAAACAAGCTTTCAGCCTCCTCTTTACTCTGTCCTAGTACCTACAACATCCCGTGAGAAAACTCCTAGTTATATAACTGAACTCAAAACACACACTTCTGTTTGCAGATCAACTTTTGTACCTATTTGAGACAGTTGTTTGCTTTATTTCTAATTTTTCCTCTCATACTTCCAGCAAGGCTGGTCTATGTTTGCTCAGCCTCCCCTCTAGCCTGGAAAACCCCCATAGATAGTGACTCTGTTTCATGAGCTTGAATCCCTGCATCTTGTACAGGAGTCCACACAGGATTAATGCTAGACTATATTCGTTGAATGCATATCTTTCAGTTTTATGAACTCTGACTGCCACTCACGCTGATGGCCCAGTTTCTCTTTGGAGTTACCTAGATCTGGGCTGGTGGTGGCCAAGAATAGATTTCAAGTGTTTTTGGAAAGGTAGAATCGGACAAGTGTTGCAAAACATAAGATATCATTTTAAACAGCTTCTAAGCACAGATAAAGATCCCTCACTTGAATCTGAATAAAATGTGAATCTTTTGGCGTTTGCCCTACACATTAGAAAGAGCCAGAACATTTGGACATATTCTTTATTACTAAGGCTGTAAAGTAACCTTCTAGGTGTCAATTTGTTAAATTTAAAATGCACACATTTTTGAACCTGTTATTTCATTTCTTTCTGATTATTTTTCATCATAAGTAAGAGAGGTGGATAATGACAAAAGAATTTACTAGAAATCTTATTACAGCACCATCTGTGAGAGCAAAATATTGGAAATAACCTCAATGCCCATCAAAAGAGTCAAGGTCAATAATTTTGGGTAATTGCTCTAATGCAACATTATGCAATCTTTAAAAATTGAGGCAGCACCATTAATAGAAGATGTCTTCAAGATATATATTTTTAACAACAAATTAACTCAGTTCCTAAAGGGTAATGTGTAAAGCAATGTATACTAGGAATTTCTTAAAAACAAATGAAAGTATAGATCTATATGCTTCCATAAGCAAAGATTTCCTGTGGAAGGAGAACAGAGCACTGGTAATGTTCTCAGGAGTAAGATTGGGTCCAGGAATGAGATAGACTTAATTTTTGATTGACTAAAACAATTTTATTTTTAGGAATATTGTATTCATTCAGCGAAGTGAAAAATTTAAATAACAGCATAAAGTGGAAGTGACCACAATGGGAAAAGATAGAGGAGATTCTCCACCTTGGGGGAAATGCGAGGTGAGCTGATATTGACCCTGGTCAGATTTGGGAAAAGAGCTGAGGATGATGGCGCAAGCAGAGCGTTTTGATGAAAAGCCCAAAGCAAAACTAGTTATGGGAGGTGGGTCCAGAGGGACTATTGGGGCCAAGCCAGGGAGAGCTGCCTCCTGCTCTGGGAGCCCATGGAGGGCTGGGTACTGGGAGCTCCTAGGGCACTCACCTGGTATTCATTGTCCAGCACCAAGATGCTCAGATCAAATGGCTTGCCATCCTAAAAGGGCACATTGTGGCATCTCCCCTCACACTTCCAGGCCCTACACACATGGCTGTCAATGGCCAGACAATGGCCAAAGTGCACTCAGAAATGGAAGGCGATGTCTGAGTCCTCATTTGTCCCAGTGTAGAATTCCACCCGCAGCTCTGGGTCATTGCTGAGGGCAAAGCACACAGAGTGTTGGGCAAGCCCCTCCCCCTCGTGGGGCACACACTCAACACACACACATCCCTTCCCCCCTTTCCCCAAAGAAGAAAGCAGGCTCCCTGGTGATACTGCAGGACTGGTTTCTGTGGGGCTGTTTTAGCACCTCATTCCCCCAGGTGGGGACATGCTCTGTCACTCATCACAAGATGGAAACTGAGCCACAGTCACTGACCTGAGCTATTACTTGTCCATTCTTTGAAAAGTCTATGCCCCTTGATAATGAGCCACACCCCCAATCCCTGAGTGTCCTCCTCCCCTAGGCCACATGACTGGCCCAAAGTGCAACCACTGCAGGTTTCATGCCTGGTGCTGGAGGGTCTCCAGGACCTGCAACTTAATTGGTGCCTTTATCATGCCAACTAGACATTTCCACATCACTCACATGAGGCCACTTCCTGAGTAAATATTCTCCCTTCTTTTCCACCCCCGTGCCATGGACCATGGAGTACTCACAAAAAAGGGAGGATCGGTGTCCCTCTGATTGTCATGGTAGAACCAATGGACAAGGACACAGGCATTGTGTGGGGCACCTGCTAGGGGACTGAGAGTGGGTGAGAGGGGCCCGGCCAGGTGTGGCCTCCCCTTTTCTAACAGATTCCCATGATGCAGAAGGTTAGAAATCAACAGGCAAACAGTGAGGACTTCTCTTTTTCACCCTATCACAGTCAGGACTCCATATTCCTGAAGACATGAGGGTCCCATAGTTAGGAACAAGGATTCAGGAGTCAGGCTGCCTGGATTCCACTCCTGATTCTGCCTCTTACTGGAAGTGCCATCTTAGATCTATTACTTGAATGCTGCCTACCTTAGTTTCCCAGGTACCAGGAGGATTATTTAAAACTCTTATTTTTCTTTGCTTTCTTTACTTTTTACTTTTTTGTCTTTATTAGAAATTCTTACTTTGTAGGGTGATTTTAGTGACAGAAGTTAATACGTGTAAAATCTTTAGCCTAATCCCTGGCATGTACAGGGCTTGTTGGGGGTGACCTAACACTATGGATTGGGTCCTTGTGGAATATTGACCTGAGATCAATTTCAACTCTGAAACTGTGAAAACTAGACTTGAGGATGTAACAGCAGAGAAATTCACTCCAGTAAGAAGCAACACTTGTTGAAAGAGAGAGGGAAATTGAAAAAGAACAGAAAACCCCTGTGTGTGGGATGCACGTGCATCACAGTCATCAAGGGCAATGGACGTCCTTCCCAGAAGTTGTAAAAATCTTGAGGACACAGCTCCAGCACTTGGACAAATGAAAAGTGTGGGTCAGGGAAGTAATTAGAGAGAACCTACAAGTGTATAATTTTTCTTCCTTTTTGAAACATGATCTCACTCTGTCACCCAGGCTGACATGCAGTGGTGCACCAATAGCTCACAAAGCCACAAACTCCTGTGCTGAAGGGATCCTCATGCCTTGGCCTCCTGAGTAGCTGTGATGAAAGAGGCCTGCCACAATGCCTGTCTGATACTTAAAAGTTTTTGTAAACACAGCATCTCACTATATTGCCCAGGCTGGTCTCAAACCTCTGGCCTCAAGTTATTTTCCCATCTTTGCTTGACAAAGTGCTGGGATTATGGGCATGAGCCAGTGAACCCAGCTACTCTGATGATTAATATCCACTGTAAACTCTGTCTGAACTGAGGCTACACTTGTTCCTTCCTGGTTTAGGGTGATTTAGTATCCGAAACCACAGACTCTAATGCTCTTCCTTAGAGAGCCAGGATCTGCAAACTCTCCAGACCCACAATAAGAAGGGCAGGCTTTGGTGGGAGCCAGGAAGAGACATGAGGCTGAAAGACAGGAGATGGTGGTCACTGTGTGCAGAACCTACCTGAGGAAACATCACTCCTATGATCTGCATTCCTCTTTCCCACTCTGCTTGGGAAGAGGCATCTAGAGAGCATGCTTTCTGCTCTCATTAATGCTCACAAATGAGTCATTGATAACTCACAGTCCCCAAGATTCACACCAGTTCTGCCACCTGGCATCCACATTGACACACATGGGAAGATGCACAGCTGCTTCATCAGAGGCCCTGCTGTGTGAGGAGGAAACTTGACATGCACAGAAGGCCACATGCATGTTCCCAGTTCAACACCCAGTCATATCCCAGCACTCACACACACCCATAGTCGCACAGAGTCACCCCACTCACTGAGTCACAAATGCCTGCTCGCTGTGCCTATAAAGATGCTCATGCATTGGTCTGGCCTTGCTCACACACACACTCACATCACAGTCGGGAAGACAAAACAGTCACCCTTTTACACTCAGGCACATCCCACCCATCCTGGTGGGCTCTCCACCTCCCACCTAAAGTCACATCATCTCAGCAGAGTTCACTCTCATCAGACACCATCACACCCTCACAGAAGGTTACACTGGTCCAGGGTCCACACCTGACAACATGCAACGTCTCAGACACCATAGCCCCAGGGTATCAGAAACAGACTCAGTCATAACCACACTTTTTTGCAAGCCTGTGTCTGTGATGCAGCAGAAATGACGGTGGGGAAGACACCAGGGGGAGGAAGGGGTCACCAGGGAAATGCACAGACAAGGATGATGGAGTGAGGATGAGGGTGAGGGGTTGTGAAGTCCAGCCCCCATGCCTCTCATTAAGCCTTCTCTCCACTGTGCAGAATGTACATTTCCTAATTTTCCTAATCTGTGCAATGGTAAAAATAGTGAGGATTTTGGTGAAAATCATTTGCCCTGGGAGGTAACACTTCTTTTGGTCTACAGATGTTCTGACAGAACACTGGTCTTGATCCTAAGCAGGACCTATGGAGGGAGGTAGAGAAAGCCCTTGTGTCCCCCTGATCCCACACTGGTCCCCTTGGCTTTGCCAGGTGAGGGTCTTTCCCATCTGCCTCTCACACACCTGGGCTCCACCCACACCCTTTTCTTTTCTCTGAGCGTCCATGGGAATCCAAATTTTCAGAGACACCCTTTCTCCTGCAAATTTGTGGAGAAAGTTGAGATTCTTAAGTCTAGTTATTGGTTATTTGTTTCTTAGTTCCAGACCTGTGTGAGGACAGGTGCAGGTACAGGTGATTGGACTTGAGTCACAATGCAGTCTTCTTCACCTGGGGTGGAGGACTCAGGACCCCTCCTCAAGTTCTTTTTGTGATGAAAGGAAGCATCCTTAAAACCTATATTAGAATTCAAATGTGGAGTGAATTAGAATTTCCTTCCATCCTTCCTTCCTTCTCCCTCTTATTTCATTTTTCTCTTCACTTTTTTTTTGTCAAGGAATTCAAACCATTCTAATCCTTTGTCAGGCAATTAGTTTGCAAATATTTTCTCCCATTCTGTGGGTTTTCTCTTCACTTTTTGATTGTTTCCTATGCTAGGCAGTTTTTTAACTTAACATTATCTCATTTGTTCGTTTTTTTTGCTTTGTTTGCCTGTGTTTGTGGGGTATTTCTCAAGAAATTTTTGCCAGAACAAATGTCCTCAAGATTTATCCCCGTATTTTCTTCTAGTACTTTCATAGTCTGAGATCTTAGTTTGAAATCTTTACTCCATTTTGATTTGATTTTTGTACATGAGGAGATATAGGTTTCTAGGTTCACTCTTCTGCATAGTTTCCCCTATGCCATTTATTGAAGAGACTGTCTTTTACCCAGTGTATATTCTTGGCACCTTTGTTGAAAATGAGTTCACTGTAGGTGTGTGGATTTGTTTCTGGGTTCTCTATTCTGTTCCATTGGTCTGTTTCTGTTTTTATGCCAGTACCATGCTTTTTGTAGTTGTTCTTGTTGTTGTTGTTACTATAGCTCTGTAGTGTAATTTGAAGTCAGGTAATGTGATTCCTCCAGTTTTGTTCTTTTTGCTTAGGATGGCTTTGGCTATTCTCAGTCATTTATAATTTCATATAAATTTTAGGATTGTTTTTCTACACCTGTGAAGAATGTTATTGGTATTTTCATAAAGATTGCATTGAATCTGTAGATTACCTTTGGTAGTATGGACATTTTAACAAAATTGACTCTTCTAATCCATGAACGTGGAATATTTTTTTCCATTTTGGTGTCCTCTTCAACTTCTTCCATTCGTTTTTTAGACTTTTTCAGATATCTTTCAATTCTTTCGTTAAGTAACTTTCTGGGTACTTAATTTACTTTGTGGCTATTGTAAATAAGATAGCTTTTTAAATCCTTTTTCAGATTGTTCCTTGTTTGCATGTAGAAATGCTACTAATTTTTATATGTTGATTTTGTATCCTGCAACTTTACCAAATTTGTTTATCAGTTCTAGTAGTTTTTTGTGGAGTGGTTAGGTTTTTCCAAATATAAGATTATGTTATCTTCCTCCTTTCCAATTTGGATGCCCTTTGTTTCTTTCTCTTGTCAAATTGGTCTAGCTAAGACTTCTGGTACTATGTTGAATGACAGTGTGAAAACGGCCATCCTTGTAGTGTTTCAGAGCTTAGACAAAAGGCTTTCAGGTTTTCCTCATTGAGTATGACACTAGCTGTGGGTCTGTCATATATGGCTTATTATTTTAAGGTATGGGCCTTCCATCACGAATTTTTTTAGGGTTTTTATTGTGAAGAAATGTTGCATTTTATCAAACACTTTTTCAGTATCAATTAAAATGATCATATGGCTTTTGTTCTTCATTCTGTTGATATGAGGTATCATATTAATTGATTTGCATATGTTGAACCATCCATGCATTCCAGGAATAAATCCCATTTGGACATGATAAATGATCTTTCCTTCTTTTTTTTTTTTTTTATTGAGAAGAAGTCTCGCTCTGTCATCCAGGCTGGAGTGCAATGGTGTGATCTCAGCTCACTGCAACCTCTGCCTTCTGGGTTCAAGTTATTCTTCTGCCTCAGCCTCCCAAATAGCTGGGATTACAGGCGCTCACCACTGCGCCTGACTAATTTTGTATTTTTAGTAGAGACAGGGTTTTGCCATGTTGGTCGGGCTGGTTTCAAACCCCTGACATCAGGTAATTACTCCCCTCAGCCTCCCAAAGTGTTGGGATTACAGGCATGAGCCACCATGCCTGGTCAACCTTTCTAATGTATTGTTGAATTTGGTTTGTATGGGGCAAAGAAAGAGAGATCAGATTGTTACTGTGTCTATGTAGAAAAAGGAAGACATAAGAAACTCCATTTTTATCTGCACTAAGAAAAATTGTTCTGCTTTGAGATGCTGTTAATATGTAACCTTAGTCACAACCCTGTGCTCACCGAAACATGTGCTGTATTGAATCAAGATTTAATGGATTTAGGGCTGTGCAGGATGTGCCTTGTTAACAATTTGTTTGCAGGCAGTATGCCTGGTAAAAGTCATCACCATTCTCCATTCTCGATTAACCAGGGACACAATGCACTGCAGAAGGCCGCAGGGACCTCTGCCCAAGAAAGCCTGGGTATTGTCCAGGTTTCACCCAACTGAGACAGCCTGAGATATGGCCTCATGGGAAGGGAAAGACCTTACAGTCCCCCAGCCTGACACCTGTAAATGGTCTGTGCTGAGGGAGATTAGTGAAAGAGGAAGGCCTCTTTGCAGTTGAGATAAGAGGAAAGCATCTGTCTCCTGCTCGTCGCTGGGAATGCAATGTCTCAGTGTAAAACCTGACCATACATTCTATTTACTAAGATAGGAGAAAACCGCCCTATGGCTGGAGGTGAGACATGCTGGCAGCAATACTGCTCTGCTACTCTTTACTGCTCTGAGATGTTTGTGTAAAGTTAAACATAAATCTGGCCTACGTGCACATCCAGGCACAGCACCTTTCATTAAACTTATTTATGACACAGATTCCTTTGCTCATATGTTTTCCTGCTGATTTGGTAATGGTTTCCCTACCATTACCCTATAGTCCTGCCACATCTCCCTCACCAAGATTGTAGAGATAGTGACCAATAAATACTGAGGGAACTCAGAGACCAGTGCTGGTGCAGGTCTCACTTGCTGAGTGCTGGTCCCCTGGGCCCACTTTTCTTCCTCTATACTTTGTCTCTGTGTCTTATTTCCTTTTCTCAGTCTCTCATCTCCACCTTGCGAGAAATACCCACAGGTGTGAAGGGGCAGGCCCCCTTCAGGTTTGCTAGTGTTTTGTTTAGGATTTTTGCATCAATATTTATTAGAGATATTGGCCTATGGCCTATGGCCTATGGTTTCTCTTCCTTTTTTGGTGGGTTTTTGTGTGGTTTTGATATCAAGATAATGCTGGCCTCTTTTAATGAGTTCAGTAATAGTCCCTCCTCTGTTTTTCTGAATAGTATCGGTAAGATTGGCATTAATTTTTTCTTAAATGTTCAGTAGAATTCAGCAGTGAAGGCATCAGGTCTTGGGCTTTTCTTTATGAGGAGACTTTATTGTGGCTTCTATTTTATTATTTATTATTGGACTGTTCAGGCTTTTAATTTCTTCCAGGTTCAATATCGATAGGTTGTAAGTATCCAGGAATTTGTTCATTTCATCTAGATTTTCCAATTTATTGGTGTATAGTTGCTCAGAGTAGCCACTAATAATTTTTTGAATTTCTGTGGTATCAGTTGTAATGTGTCTTTTTTTCATTTCTGATTTTATTTATCTATATCTTCTCTACTTTTTTCTTAGTCTGGCTAAGGTTTGCTAATTTTGTTTAAATTATCAGAAAAAACACTTTTTATTAATTTCATTTGTATCTGCTCTGATCTTTATTATTTATTTTCTTCTACTAATTTTAAGTTTGGTTTGCTCTTGCTTATCTAATTCTTTAAGATGCATCATTATATTGTTTATTTGAAGCTTTTCTCTTTTTTGATGTGGGGACTTAGAGCTATAAAATTCCGTCTTTATACTGCCCTGGCTGTATCCCATACATTTTGGTATGTTATGTTTTCATTATCATTTGTTTCAAGAAAACTTTTAATTTTCTTCTTAATTTCTTCATTGACCCACTGGTCATTCAGGTACATACTGTTTAATTTCTATGTATTTGGATAGTTTCCAAAACTCCTCTTGCTACCAATTTCTTGTTTTATTCCATTGTGGTCAAAGAAGTGGCTTGATATTATTTCAATTTTTTTTTTTTTTTGAGATGGAGTCTTGCTCTGTTGCCCAGGCTGCAGTGCAGTGGCGCCATCTCTGCTCACTGCAAGCTCCACCTCCCAGGTTCACACCATTCTCCTGCCTCAGCCTCCCGAGTAGCTGGGACTACAGGTGCCCACCACCACGCCCAGGCTAATTTTTTGTATTTTTAGTAGAGACGGGGTTTCACTGTGTTAGCCAGGATGGTCTTGATCTCCTGACCTCGTGATCCACTGGCCTCAGCCTCCCAAAGTGCTGGGATTACATATTTCAATTTTTTTTTAATGTTTCAAGACTGGTTTCATGACAACATATGGTCTATCTTTGAGAATGATCTATGTGCTGAGGACAACAGTGTGTATTCTGCAGCTAAACTGTGCTGGGGAAGAGGTCACCGTGAGACAGGAGACACTTCTCAGTGCCCAGGAAACACTTCCTGTTCTCCGTTCCCGTGACACAACATCTCACACCCACCACCCATACTACTCTTTCTGCTGTCACTACAAAGAGGTACTGAGTGAAGCCTGGACTCTATTCCCAGTTCCTTTTTGTCCACTTGCCTCTGCACATTTAGGTGCTAGGCTGAAGGTGAGCCCCTGATAAGGTCAGTGTCACCTTCTAAAATTCCACAAAAAATGAATTCCATACAGGTGATGAGGCCTATGACCTATTATCAAAATAGAAAAGTGAACAACACTGAGAGCAGAAAGGTGTAAGGAGGAGAGTGGACCTAAACTGAACCCAAGAGTGTCCAGTGAGAGAGGAGGGAATTTCATTCCATATGGGAATGAAACGTGGAAGAAAGGAATGAGGAGTAGCACTGGCTGTGTGTTGGCACCTCAGGTATCTGGGTGTTAGGTTGAATGCGGGTAGGAGAGGAGCATACCCATGAGTAAGGTTGGAGGTGAACAAACTGCGGCAATGAACATGGGGAGAGAGGATGAGGATGATCAAAATGATGCCTGACTTGGGCCGTGTGGAAAAAGAGGCTATTTGACAGGACTTTACTCAATCTGCCTTCATTAGTTTGTAGGTAACATGTTGTTTCTGCTAAGTGGTTCTCCAGGTTTGCTATGAAGCAGGTGATCTCAGCTCTTATAGAGGGAAAAGGACTGTCATTCTGCCATCTTGGTAGAAACTCCAAGAAGGGAAGAGTGGAGGGTGAAGCCGATTGTTGCTGAGAACCAGTCCTAGAGAAAATGATAAATAGGTGTCTGGCTGGCTTCAGCAATGATGTGGCCCAGTGACTGCTGTCTATTTTCTTCTTCCTCTCTTCAATTCATTCTCCTTTTAAAAATCTTCTTGTCCTTTTGATGTAAAATTCTTTTTCTTTTCTTTTTCAAATAATGCTTAAATCAGGTGTGTGAATTGCATTTTTCCTATGTGTGTTTCAGTATTGGGTGTTTGATGTGTTAAGGGCCAATAATTTGTCTCCTTAGTGCACACATTGAGAGAAAGTGCACCTGACAATGTGTAGTCACCTCATGGACACCAGGTCCTGATTGGATGATAAGATGCGGGACTTCACTCTGAGCCTCTTCCTACAATGGTATTGCTTTCTGGAGTTGTTTCCAGGGTTACTTCTCTTGGTATGTGAACAGTCTGTAAGCCAGTGGAGACTCAGTGGAACTTGGTTCCAAAAAGGACCCCATCATGACCAATAATCAAAACAACCACAACCTGTGGAGGCCCCTCCCCATGATTTGGGCTGTCTGTACTCACCTTAATCAATATAATGTCATAGAAAAGTGACACTCTCCAATTTTCAAAGCTAAGTTCTATGATGCCTGGCAGCTTCTTCTTTGGTTTCTTGAAAGTCCTTCTTTGGTGGAAGACAGTAATCATTGATTAAGTCCAACAACTATGAGGCCTTCATGATTTCAGAAAATTCAAGACACTAATGTGTAGGGGAGGTAGGGAAGGAGACAACCAGCCAGCCCCCAGGTGTTCACTCACCCTTAGTGTTGAGTCAAACATAAGTGAAGAATCCTCTGGGATCCCAGCCTGTAGGTCCTTCAGAAAACGTGACTCCCACACACATGCGTGTCTACCACCCGCATGAGTCCAGTAAACCTGCAAAGCAGGGAGACATCAGAATAAATGGTTGCTTTATGTGAATATGTGTTGGGGAGGTTTCCGGTTCTGCAATGCCAACGGTAGCAGCAGCAAAGCAGGGTCGGCTCACTGTGTCCATGTGAATGAATTGTGTTCATTCCACCAATAAATGACATATTTTCCGATCTAAAACTATGACCATTTATTTCCAAAGAGGAGATCCAGGATTCTGCCCACATAAAATAGAAAAATCTGGCAGTTCTTTTGAACATGACAAAGGGATTTTTTGAGGGAAATTATTGAACTCTTGTGGTTCTCTAACTATGGCTTGGATTGAAATTTTCAGGTATAGGCCAAGCACAGGGGCTCACACTTGTAATGCCAGCAATTTGGTGGGCCGAGGTTGCTGGATTGCTTGACTTCAGGAGTTCGACACCAGCCTGGGCAACATGGCAAAACCCCATCTCTACAAAAAAAACATGCAGAAATTAGCTGGCCATGGTGGTGCTCACCTGTGGTCTCACCTACTTGGGGGGCTGAGGCAGGAGGAATTTTTGAGCCCAGGGTGTCGAGGCTGCAGTGAGCCTTAATGGTGCCACTGCAGTCCAGCCTGAATGACAGAGCAAGAACTTGTCTCAAAGAACAACAACAAAACAAAATTTCAGGTGCAAACTTGGTCAGTATTTCCTCGGCTTTTTCAGTGCTTCCTGCACAACGCCAGACACAGTATTAAGACACAGGAAACATCCTTAGAATGAGTGCAAGAATGAAGACATTTCATATGACTTTCCTCAAATTACAAAGCTTCTCCCCAAAATCAATTATGCCTGTGAGGTTGTAAACAGCTACCCAACATTTCACTGGAGTGAGTCATCTACAATGAAGGAGGAATTTTGGTTCAGAGTGTCTGACGTAAAGTACGGGCTGACATAAAAGGATGTCTTCGTTATGTAATCTCAGACATCACAGTGGCCTTGTGTCACTTGTGTCCTTGTGCCACTTTGTCTTTTTCTCCATGAAAGTAAGAACCAGATTCTGGAAAATTTGGTGAAGTTTTAATGACCAAGTGTAGAGGAAGGGGTGAGGAGTGATCGTTCTGTTAGCAGGCTCTGGAAATGCCATGGTCGCACAGAAACAGGGATTCTTTAACCATGAGGAATGTGATCATTTCATCAATTACAGACAGACACTGAGGTCAGGGAGACATCTCTCCACACTTGCACCATCTTCACATAAGATGGTGGGAGTCGGTGGGGAAAGCTGTAAGCATTTTGGCCATTTACCATTACCTACAAAAGAAAAAAATGCATCAGAAATACAATATGCCATCAAACAAGTTTTCAGCATCATCTCACTCAGCCCTAGTGCCTACAGCATCCAACCAGAAATCCCCTAATTATACATCAGAACCCAGTAGACACACTTCTCTCTGCAGATTACCCTTGTGCCTACTTCAGACAGTTGCTCATTTATTTCCAATGCTTCCTCTCATTCCTCCAAGGAGGTTTTACCACCCTGTGTATCACAGAACCTGTTTGCTCAGCCTCTCCTCTCACCTGGAAGATCCCTATGGCCTGGGACTGTCTCTCATGAACTTCAATCCTTGCGTCTTGCACAGGGCCTGCCATGGGGTTAGTGCTGGACAGTGTTCATTGAATGCATACATTTCAGTTCCATGAACTATAACTCCCATTCACTATGACTGCTGATGGCCCAGTTTCTCCTTGGAGTTGCCCAGAGATGTAATGGTGGTGGCAAAGAAGGAAATTCAAATGTTTTCAGAGAGGAGGAACAAAACAGGTGTTGCAAAACGTAGGATATTATTCTGAACGGCTGAAAGGCATAAGAAAAGGATCTCCTACTTAAATATGGACGAAATGTTACTCTTTGCATCTGCCCATTTGAAAAGATTGGGAAGAAGGCCAGGCGCAGTGGCTCATGCCTGTAATCTCAGCACTTTGGGAGGCCAAGGCAGATGGATCACAAGGTCAGGAGGTCAAGACCAGCCTGACCAATATGGTGAAACCCCGTCTCTACTAAAACTACAAAAAAAAAATTAGCCAGGCGTGGTGGGTGTGCACCTGTATTCCCAGCTACTTAGGAGGCTGAGGCAGGAGAATCGCTTGAACCTGGGAGGTGGAGGTTACAGTTAGCTGAGATCGTGCCACTGCACTCCAGCCTGGGCGACAGAGCTAGACTCCATCTCCAGAAAAAAAAAGAAGAAGAAGAAGAAGAAAAGGTTAGAAAGTTTGGAAATACTATTTATTTATTACTAAAGCTATAGAGACAGTCACCTTTTAGGTGTTAAGTTATGAAATTTAAAATGCACACAATTTTGAAGGAGTTATTCCATTTTTTGTAATTACCCTCCAATATGGAAATTGGGAGGTTCATTATGACAAAGGGTACGTTAAAAAGCTTTATTTGTGAGCGCAAAATACTGGAACCAGCCTAATGTCCATCAAAAGGATCAAGTTCAATAATTTTGGGTAACCCTGCTACAGGAATATTGTATGATGTTGAAAAACTGAGGCGGCACCATGGATGGATGATTGCTCCAACATGTAGCGTTTGACAACAAATCCACCCCAGTTTCTAAAGTGTAATGTGTAGAGAAACTTAAAACAGCATTGGTTTAAAAAGAAATGAAACCACACATCTGTATGCTTCCATAAGCATACATTAGCTCTGGAATTTGTGTAGAGAAGCTAGTAATACTGCTGTTCTGGGGGTAGGATTGGGGTTCAGTACTGAGAGAAAGACTACATTTTGGACTGATAAAATAACCTTATTCATATGCATGTTTTATCCATTTGGCTGAATGACTATGTAAGTAACAGCATACATGGGAATGAGAACTATGGGTGAAGACAGACAAGATTCTCCACCTTGGGGAAAATGGCAGGTGAGCCCACCTTGACCCTGGGTCAGATCTGGAAGAAGAACTGAGGATGGCAGTGCAAGCAGAGAGTGCTCTGTGAGGAAAAGCCTGGGGCAGGAGTAGTTATGGGAGATCGGCTCCGAGGAACTGGTGGGGTCAGCTCAGGAAGAGCTGCCTCCTGTTCTGGGAGCCCATGGAGGGTGGGTGCTGGGAGCTCCTGGGGGGCTCACCTGGTACTCATCGGCCAGCACGGAGATGCACAGGTTAAATGGTTTACCATCCTGAAAGGGCATATTGTGGCATGTCACCTCATACTGCCAAGCCCCATTCACGCGGCTGTTCATGACCACCCAATGACCAAAGTACACTCGGAAATGGAAGGCGATGTCTGAGTCTTCCTTCATCTCGGTATGGAAATCCACCTGCAGCTGTGGGTCCATGCTGAGGGTAAAGCACACGGTGTGTTGGGCAGGTCTCTCCCTTGTGGGGCACACACTGGACACACACAAATCCCTTCCCCCCTTTCCCCAGAGCAGACACAGGCCTTCCTGGTGATACTGCCAGTCTTGTCCCTGTGGGGCTGCTTCAGCCCCTCCTGCCCTTAAGAGCTCCCTCATCCCAAGATGTAAACTCAGCCACAGTCACTGACCTAGGCCTATGAGTTGTCAATTTCCTGAACATTCTATGCCTCTTGATAAAGAGCCACAGTCCCAATGCCCTGAGTGTCCTCCTCCCCTAGGCCCCATGACTAGCTCACAGTGCGGCCACTGCAGGTTTCATGCCAGGTGTTGCAGGGTCTCCAGGACCTGCACCTGCATGGTGCTGCCATCCTGCCAACTAGACATTTTCACATCACTCACACAGGAGGTCAGCCCTTTAGCAAATGTTCTTTCGTCTCCTCCCCCTGCCATGGACCATGGAGTACTCACACGAAAGGGATGATCGGTGTCCCTGTGATTATCACACAAGAACCAGTAGACAAGGACACAGGCCGTGTGTGTGGTACCTGCCAGGGGATTGAAAGTGGGTGGGAGGGGCAGGACCAGGTGTGGCCTCCCCCCCGTAACAGATTCCTATGGTGCAGGAGGCTAGAGGTCAAAGGGCAAACTGTGAGCCTCCTCCCTCCCACCGTAGCGGTCAGGGCGGCATATTCCTGAAGAAATTAGTGACCCATACATGAGAGCAATGGTTCAGGATCCATGCTGCCTTGGTTCCAGTCCTCATTCTGCCTCTTACTAGCAGTGCAATCTTAGATCCATTACTTGAACGCTCCCTGCCTCAGTTTCCCCAGGACAAGGAGGATAAGCAGAAATTTCTGCTTTGTAGGGTTTTTCCAGTAATATATGAATTAATATATGTGAAAGTTTTGCCCTAATCTCTGCCATGCATGAAGCCTGTTGGGGGTTACCCATTAGAACAGGGAGGTTGCTTCTGGAACACCGACCTGTGATTATTTTCAACACTGAAGCTGTGAAAACAAGATGTGAGGATGTAAGAGTAGAGAGATTCACTCCAGTGAGAAACAACACTTGTTGAAAGAGAGAGAGAAATGCTAAAAGAACTGGAAACCCCCGTGTGCATCACAATCATCAAGGGCCATGGACGTCCTTTCCAGAAGGGGACACCTTGCTGGCAGCACAGCCCCAGTACCTGCACACATGAAGAGTGTGGGCCAGGGAAGTCATTGGAGGTAATCTAAATATTGTTTGATTTTCATTTCTCTGTTTGGTGTTGGGGTTTGGGGTCTTTTTGATACAGGATCTTACTCTGTTGCCCAGCCTGGATTGCAGTGGCATGGTCACAGCTCACTGTGGCCTCAAACTCCTGGACTCAAGTGATCCGCCTGCCAAAACCTCCTGAGTAGTTGTGAATGAAGGTGCACACCAACATGCTTGGATAATCTTTAAATTCTGGGTACAGACAGGGTCTCACTACGTTGCCCAGGCTGGTCTGAAACTCCTCACCTTAAGCGATCCTTCCACCTTGGCCTCCCAAACCACTGGGATCACAGGCATGAGCCACAAACCCTGGCAAGTTATTGATTAATATGCACTGTAAGCTCTGTATGAACTAAGAATAAACTGATTCCTTCTCTATTTTGGGCGACTCAGTCTCCGAACCCACATCCCCCAAAGGCCTTCCCTAGTGAGCCAGGATCTGCTCACCCTCTTCTCCCACAATGGGATGGACAGGCTGGGAGACAGAGAGACCTGAGGCTGGAGGCAGGAGCAGATGGCCTTTCTGGACAGACCCCACCTGAGGAACCATCGGCCCCATAGTCTGTGTTCCTTTTCCCCACTCTGCTTGGGAGGAGGCACCTGAGGATTCACGCATTCTGCTCAGAGATGACTCCTCCATAACTCATGGCTCACAACAGGCGCACCAGTTCTGCCACCCACACTGTTCACACATGGGACACACACTGACACATGGGAAGTGCCCAGCTGCTTCATCAGAGGCGCTGCTGTGTTGGGAGGAAACTTTACATGCACAGAAGGCCCCTTGCATGCTCCCAGTTCAACACCCAGTCACATCCCAGCACACACTCACCCATAGTCTCACAGAGCCATGCCACTCACTGAGTCTCACACACCTGCTCACTGTGCATATAAAGATGCTCACACACTGGTCCAGCTGTGCTCACACACACACTCACATCACAGTCAAGAAGACAAAACGCAGTTACACCCTTACACTCAGGCACACACCCGCCCACCCTGGTGGGCTGTTCACCTCCCACCTAAAGTCACATCATCTCAGCAGAGGTTACTCTCATCAGACACCACCATGCACTCACAGACGGTTACACTGGTTCAGAGTCCACACCCCACACTCCACCAGCATCTCAGATATCATAGCCGCACGGTTTCTCTTTCACACACCCACAACTCTCAGTAAAGTGTTCACAAGAGAAACTCTCATACTTTCGTCTTGTGAAATCACCCCTGATTCTTTCTTGGTTTATGTGAATTGAGTTTATTAAAGGCTGTGTCTTTTGACTTACTTTTAGTGATGACATTGTTGTCTCCCTCTGTGTAGTTCTTCAGAATAGTATCTGGTCTTCTGTGTGAGTCTCTGATTTGCAGCACTTAAATAGTCCCTCTTGGCCCTGCCCTCTGGCTTTATTTCTTTCTCTGAACCCCTGCCAGGAAGATTTCTCAGCAGCGTGAGTAGGGGTGGCAGAAATAGACTCAGTTTCAGTTTTCAGGCCTGTGACTGTGCTGCAGCAGAAACGACACGGAGGGTCACACCAAGGGGCAGGGAATCGCCAGGGAAGGCACAGATGAGGATGATGGAGTGAGGGTGGGAAGTTGTGCACTTCAGCCTCCATGCTTCTCATGAAGCCATGTCATTGTGTGCCCTGGTCAAAGGGTTTGCCTTGCATCCATCTCTGACCAAGATTGACACTCTGCAAAGTACTGACTGCCTTGTCCACTATTTGAGCCCACAGCTCCTCCTCTATGACATGACTTTTCCCATTCTAAGTCAGAAAGGAGGATGGTAGAAGGGCATGGTCATCTATGAGCACTCTTTAAATCAACAAATTAGCCTTTGCTAAGTCTGGGTCTCAACATTTCCAGAAATGGGATGGTTCATCCCCCATTCCTGAACTGAGGGCAGAGAGCATATGAATTTCCCTCTTCTTTTTCCTGGTCGAGCGGAGGCACCTGTGCACTTTGGAGTCCAAATAGGGGAAGGGAGCCCCCATGAGGTCCCTACTCTGTTTCAGTGTAGAGAGCGCAGTTCCCACTCAGCCCTGCTCAGCTCAGACACAGCCCCTTCCACGCTGCTACTCACTCAGTTATTCACGCCCGAAATCCCGTCTCAGTCCAGAAATCTCTATGCTGTCCACTATCCTCCTCTTTTCCTCACACACTTTCTCACACCTATAGAAAGTTCTCCTAGTCTCTATAGGTTTCTACTTTCCTAAAGCAACCAGGGACACAGAGATTCTTATTTCCTGCCAGTTCACCTAGGGCAGGCAAGACACTCTGTATCTACTCTCAGTGTCTTCATAGCTGTTTCCTCAAGCAGCAAATATTGTTCCTGTGATTTGTGTCTGAAATACTAACTAGAGAGTATGCATCAGACTCAAGCAGTGAATTACAAAATCAGTTTCCTCTCCACGTGGGATTTCCTGGAAATCTATTGATGTCTTCATAAGTAGAAGTGAAAGGGGAATCAAATCCTGTTTTTAAGTCGGTTCCAAGTTCAGCTGGAATTATGTGAAAGTGAAAGCACTGGAAGCACCTGGCACTGCCCAGTTGGCCCCACATCCATCCTCTGCTTATTTGCTCAGTGTCAGGTTGCAGAAGTGGAATGGACACACTCAGCAAATGGCAGAATCCCACATTGGTTGTCTGACCTGTGCAGGGAGGAATGTGATAGTAGGAAAGGGCAATGGAAGCCATTAGAGCTGCTTCCACCTACAAAAATAGGAAAGCAAAAGCAACACCGCATTCTTGGAGGGCCTGCACAGAGTAGTACAGTCATGAGGGACTTTAAGATACAAGGGTGGCGTTTTTTAGATGGAGTCTTGCTCTGTTGCCCAGGCTGGAGTGCAGTGGTGTGATCTCGGCTCACTGCAAGCTCTGCCTCCTGGGTTCACGCCATTCTCCTGCCTCAGCCTCCCGAGTAGCTGGGACTACAGGCACCCGCCACCATGCCCCGCTAATTTTTTGTATTTTTAGTAAAGACGGGGTTTCACCGTGTTAGCCAGGAACCTGACCTCGTGATCCACCCTCCTCGGCCTCCCAGAGTGCTGGGATTAAAGGTGTGAGCCACCATGCCTGGCCCATATTTGGCAGTTTTATCTCTTAAATTTGGGTTGTTGATCCATTTTGAGTTAATTTCTGTATATAGTATAAGGTGAGGGTCCAGATTCATTCTTTTACATGTGGATATTCAGTACAAAAAACCTCCATGACAGGTTTACGTGTATAACAAGCCTGCACATCCTGCACATGTACTCCTGAACTTAAAATAAAAGTTAAAAACAAACAAACAAAAAACCCCACAAAAACCAAAAACCATTTATTCAGGAGACAATTTGTTCCCACATTGAATGATCTTGGCACCCTTGTGGAAATCAACTTACGATGGATGTTTAGATTTATTTTGACTCTCAATTCTGTTCCACTGGTCTATAGGCTTATCTTTAAGCTGGTATGAATGCATTTTGATTACTGTAGTTTTTTAAAGCAAGTTATGATATTAGGAAGCTGAGTTATCCAACTATCAGAGCATTCACTTTGTAATCTGGCATTTGTTAAGACCATGCCACCAGTTTCCTTTGCAGTTATGCCATGTTTTTAGAAATTAGATCCTACATATGGGTTTCAGCACTCAGCACTCTCTTCCCTGTGCTTGCAGGATGTGAGGGTTTCTTTAAATGCTATCATCAGGAACATCTAGTGTTCAAAGTGTGCCTTTAATTGGTAGTTGGTGAGCATGAATAAGTCCCTCTCCTTTTTTCATTCATTCATTCATTCTTTTTTTTTTTTTTTTTTAGATGGATTCTCGCTCTGTTGCCCAGGCTGGATTAAGTGGTGTGACCTTGACTCACTGCAACCTCCACCTCCTCCTGAGCTCAAGCGATTCTCCTGCTTCAGCCTCTTGAGTAGCTGGGACTACGGGCACCTGCCACCATGCCTGGCTAATTTCTGTATTATTATTTTTTTTTTTGAGACACAGTCTCACTCTGTCACTCAGGCTGGAGTGCAGTGGTGTGATCTTGGCTCACTGCAACCTCTGCCTCCTGGGTTCATGCCATTCTCCTCCCTCAGCCTCCCAAGTAGCTGGGACTACAAGCACCTGCCACCACACCCAGCTAATTTTTTGTATTTTTAATAGAGACAGGGTTTCACTGTGTTAGCCAGGATGGTCTCGATCTCCTGACCTCGTGATCCGCCCACCTCGGCCTCCCAAAGTGCTGGGATTACAGGCATGAGCCACTGCGCCCAGCCAATTTCTGTATTTTTAGTAGAAATAGGGTTTTGCCATGTTGATCAGGCTGGTCTTGAACTCCTGACCTCATGATCCACCAGCCTCAGCCTGGGATTACAGGCGTGAGCCACTGAGCCCAGCTCTTTCTTTCTTTTTGTAAAAATAATTCCAATGCAGTTAAAACCAAACCAAATACTTCCAGAATCCTATGATTCCCATTGTACCCCTACCATTCTAGTGCCACAGCTTCTGGAGTCCAGTGCTTCACCTTCTCTCAGCACTTCCTGCCAAGAACACACAGGCGACTATGCTTAGTCATTGTGAACTCGTAATTGTAATACCAAGCAATACTTAGTAATTGTGATACTTAGTATGCCATGGGTAATCACTACTTCACTTACCAGCAATGGATCTTTACAGTGATCTGCCCAATAAGAGATTTAGGTTCCCAGTATGAGGGTCCAGCTGCTTTCTATGACTTTTTCTGGCATAAGCTTGGTTTTCACCCTCACCCCGACCAAATAAGAAATGTTTCTTAGTACTCTCTGCCCAGAAGATGAAAGGAAGTATTTATCCATCTGCCCCCATCCCCAGTTGTTAAAAAGTCATCCTGTTGGCATTAAGTCTCCCACAACTTTGGTTTGCAAATGCATGGGTGCTGAGAGGATTTCTGCAAAAGTCCTATTCTACCATCTCAAAGAAGCCCAGTGCTGGAAAGAGGAAGGTACTGGAAAGATAGATACTAAGGAGAGGCACTGTCAGTGTGTACCTGCATGAAGCTAGTGAACAACTGTCTGGACCTGGTCACCTTAGCAATGGCTGGATGAAGAGGTGGGGCTGAGAGGATAACACGTGGTGCAAGAAATGCCTGATATACTGACCTCTTTTCAATTCCTCATACCACCAAGCTCATTTTCATTTTTGGAGCCTTATATATGACAAAAATTCAAAAAGCATCAAAAAATGTCATAACAAGGCAGGGAGAATGTTCTAGATTAAAAGAGACCAAAGAAGTATAGCACCAAAGTGCATGAAACCTGATTGGATAATGGATTTTAAAACAGCTATAAAGGACATGCTTTTGTACAATTGGGGAAATTAAAATAGTATCATAAATTAGAAGTTGATTCTTAGGTGGTGGCAGAGTAGAACTTCTATCAGTCTTGTGGATCTGAAGATACAAAAATTATAGGTTGTTGTCTGCCAAGTGGGAGAGAGAGTTAGGCTTTTAGTTGGAACCCTGAAAGAGATACACCCTAGAGCAGGGGTCCCCAACCCTCAAGCCATAGAGCAGTAACAATCCGTGGCCTGTTAGGAAAGAAGCCACAAAGCAGGAGGTGAGCAGTGGGTAAGCATTACTGCGTGAGTGGCCTCCTGTCAGATAAGCCCCAGCATTAGATTCTCATAGGAGCACGAATTAGAATTTTACAACCAGAATTCCACATTGTGGGTGCCACAGTGTATAGTTTTATCACAAATAGTAGCATAACTATAACAATTCCCACAAGAGTGGGATAGTAAAAAACATTTGTTTAAAACTTTACTTGTCAAGATATAACATTTCCCTTTGGGGATTTACGGAGTTCCAAGTGCAATTTCATTTATCATTAAAATTTTCTGCAATTATACATTAAAAAGAAGTTTTAATATTTGGTGGCAAATTTTGACAGGAAAGGGCAGAAATGACAACAAGTATATGTTGAGGTAAATGTGGGACTGAGTAAGATGGGTAGACCTTACTCAGTTACTTAATTTTTGTGATTTTTAGCTTAACATTTTCTGCTTTTCCACATGGACATTCTGGATGTTTCTCTGGACTGTTAGGGGTTGCTCCCCCAGCTTTTTAAGCTTTGACTTTAGTGTGATGTATTCAGGAGTTGATTCCTGTAAATTTTACTACTGAGAGGGTTGAAAGAAGAACAGTGGAGGGCCCTTCCCAGCTTGGCTTAGGGAAGGAGAGAGATGAGATTTTTCACTAATACTAAATTTCCTGGATTAAATAAAGATGGTTTTAGTTCCTGGACTTGGGCTTTCACTAGTTGTGTTAATGCCCTGAGACTTCCTTGCCTCTGTCTTAGCTGGCTGACCAGTTAATTTATTTCCTTTGCTTACCTTATTTATTTTCTTTTGATGTTCCCTACAATGCATCCTGCTATTTCTTGTGGAAGAAAAACTGAGGATAATAACCTATTAATTTCCTGGTGATATTTTATGGGAGATTCATTAGTGGTAAGAAAATGCCTTTCCTTTTAAATAGCAGCATGAGCATGGACAATTAGGAAAGCATACTTGGAGTTAGTAGAAATGTTAGCTATCTTTCTCTGGCTTAATTTAAGTGCTCTTGTAAGAGCTATTAGCTCAGCTAATTGAGTGCTTGTGTTTGGGGCAGTGACTACTGCTCATCCTGCCTTATGTACTTCTTGCTTTACTGGCTGTTTACTAGCTAAGAGCTCCCCTTAGAGGTCAGTGATCCTGCCACATTATGTGGGCTGTAAACAGTTGAATTATTTCCTAGGGTTAACTTGGAGGCTTTTTTGACTAGTAGAGCTATTATGACAATGACTTGGAAGCACGTGTAAATAGGTCTTTCTAACTACAGCTAAGGTTGAAAAAAATATTGGATTAGAGTTTTTCCCGAGATGCCCTTTACAGTTGTGCTATGAGAAGAGCGGAGGCCTGGATTAGAGAGGAGAAAAGAGAGAGACTGGCTCTAGTGCTTAGAAGGAGGTTTACTTTCCTTTTGTAAATTTCCAGAATCCTCTAGGACTCCTGTGCTCTATGGCAGTTTGAGTCACTGGAGCCAATGTTGGAGCCCTTGGACCCATCATTCCTGCTGGACCATCTGTGAGGCTGATTTTGAACCCAGTGACCTCTGCCTCTGGGGGTAGTTCTGTTTCCAGTGGTTTTTGCCACAGCCTGGATAGGGTTGAGTTTGCTTCATCTTGCTGCCTGGGCATTCCTTTTAAAAATGCTCTGGGCTGCCATGCCAATAGCAACTAGTGGATGTACCTTGGGGATTCTGGACTTTACAAGCTTGCAAAGCTGCTGCTGGAGCCTCTGTCCTTCTCTTGAGATTCCCCCGCTTTTGTTGGGACTCCTCCTTGTCCCTATTATAAAAGACCAAAGTCGCCACTTGCAGGAGGTTCTCTAAGGTGGTATTTTGTCCTAAGCTTGCTTTTTTAGTTTTAATATCAGGAGCTGCTTTTGTAATAAACTTCTCCTTCAAAATGAGCTGTTCCTCCATTGAATTAGGGGATAAGGAGATGTACTCTATTAGTGCCTCTCTTGGCCTTTCCATAAAGGCTACAGAATTATTATCTGGCTTTTGGTTCATTATAGACAGCTTAGAGTAACTGAGAGGTTTGGCCCTGGTTTCCTCTAGGCCTTTTATAGTGAGTATTAAAAAGTACTTCCTTTTCCTATCATTTCCTGAGCTATTGAAGTTTTAGTTAGGGTTGTTTATGAGAACCGCTTCCCTCCCATTTAGTAAAAATGCCATGTCCTTGTGCAAAAGAAAATAAATTGCTTTTCTCTTTACAGTTTTGAGATTAAGGAAGTTTCAGTGTTTCAGAGTGCACTCCAGAGGGGTGCAACCTAAAGATAATTTATTATCCATTTAGAAAAAGAAGAAAGAATACAAAGCATCTTCTTAGTCTCCTTCCTTTTGGTATGACCCAGAGTGGAGGAGCAGACAGGGAGCATCCTCTGATTACTTCCCCTCCCTGGTTTCTGGATCCCGGCACCATGTTAAATGTGCCACCCATGGCTGTAGGTGTGGTCCTCCAAGCCATAGAGCTGGATGAACTAAGTGATGGGGCTACCCGTGCTTACCCATGCAGTCTTAGCTTATCTGCCTTGTGTGATTTACCTTTGATTTCCTAAACATGTGCAGTTTGCCTGGCTCCCTGAAAACGGATCTCCGGGGAGACTGTGTCACCTCTGGGCAAGGCTCCTTTAATGGAGGCAATGTGCTAGATTGCCTGCTATTATGACCCGTGCTAATGCATTTACCCTTTAAAAAAAACTGTTCTGGTTAACTTCTAAACTTAATATCCCCTTACCAATTAAGTACTGTCTTAATTGGAGACAGAATAGGTGCCTTAAAAGAGTGTAGGAACCGAATGGCAGTTTTCCTACTGATGGGACAATATTGGGACTAAAATCTGGCTGTGGAAGACATCTTACTCCTAATGGTTGAAACCAGAGTTTCCCGTCCACAGAAGTAGCAGTAAAAAAGTGCAAAATGGAGAAATTGTGAAGCTGCAACGTACCACAGAGAACCAAGTGTCTCATGAAGAGGATTTTTATTTCCACCAGGTGGCGGTTTTGGCTTAGAAATACCATGTGCTCACCAGCGAAACCTTAGAGAGACAGACGTTTATTGAGTTACTGCCTGCCTTGATTCATGATCTTCTCTAACAGACCTGTTTCCCTGAACTGTAAAGATTCCTGCACATTAGACACAGTGAGAGAGACAGTAAGAGACCGCGGGTAGAGAGAGAAAGAAAGTTTGGTGGCAGGATAGCTGGAAGAGAGCCTAGAGATTAAAAGACAGATTTAAAGTTGAGATTTGCTCCATACTCACCAGTCTGATGAATGAATTCCCATTCCTGGCCAATGCACCTAAAAGATATGGCTCCGATGACTGGAGGGAACCAGGGTCCTTGGTCTCGTGCTGATAAGATTAACAACATGGACACATGTGGAGTGGTTTTAAGGGGTGAAAAGTTTCATAGGCAAGAAAGAAGGAAGGAAGAAAACAGCTCCCCCGTACAGAGACAGAGAGAGGGGGATTCGAACAAAAAACCCCCCATGCTCCCCACCCTGTGTCCAAGTGTTCTCATTGTTCAATTCCCACCTACGAGTGAGAACATGCGGTGTTTGGTTTTCTGTCCCTGCGATAGTTTGCTCAGAATGATGGGGGGAGGGAAAGCATTAAGAGAAATACCTAATGTAAATGACGAGTTAATGGGTGCAGCACACCAACATGGCACATGTATACATATGTAACAAACCTGCACGTTGTGCACATGTACCCTAGAACTTAAAGTATAATAATAAATAAAAACCTATCACACACACACACATAAAAACCATGTGTGGTGGAAAAGTGATTGCTTATATTGGGATGCTGGAGGAGGCGGCTTCTGGTTTCCATAGGGCCCAGGGGATTGGTTTGACCAGGTGTGTAATTTCTGTAGCCTGTGAAAAATCTGGCCCTCCCATCTTAGCCCTTTAATATGCAAATGCGGGTTGCCATGATGTTTCGAACACATGGTGTTATCTGAAAGTGGCCATGACACTTGGTACACCTGGTGACAAGGAAAAGATGGCAGGAATCACCACATTGAGTGAACCTCGTTTCTAATGACCCAGTATTTGCATATCAAAGCTTGCTCTCCTGGCCCTTCAAGCCACCTTTTCTGTTAGAAAAGAGATGGTTTGGGGGTTGTTTCTTATTACAGGAAAATTTCCACCAAGAACTTTTACCCTTACTATCTACCTAAAAATTATTTCTTAATAACTCCTGTATCACAAGGATGAGAAATAGTGTCCATGTAGGTCCTGAGAATAAAAAAAAAGAGCCTAATCCATGATATATAATACCTAAAAATGGCTTTGGAAGTGCATATTTTATTGTGGCCAATGTTTGACCTCTTTAAAAAGCTATAATATCATGACAGTGTGGTGCTGGCTTAAGGAGAGGCATAGAAATCAAAGGAGTAGAATAGAGAGCCTAGAAACACTCACAGAGGGTCACCTGAGAGTCCACAATGGGCTACGACCATCGCATTGGAAAAGGACAGACTTCTCAACACGTGATGCTGGGAAAACTGGACTTACACATACTGGTCCCTTAGCTTATAACATATACAATAGTGAACTCAAAATGTATCAATGAGTAAACGTAAGACCTTCAATGATAATGATAGGAGAAATGATAATGACAGGCAGATATCATCATGACATGAGATTGGGCAATGATTTCTTGATTATGGGCTGTAAATACAGACAAAGTGCACTTTATCTGTTTTTTCTTTTTTTTTTTTCTTATGTCATTTTCTTTTTTAAAAAATTATTATTATACTTTAAGTTTTAGGGTACATGTGCACAATGTGCAGGTTAGTTACATATGTATACATGTGCCATGCTGGTGTGCTGCACCCATTAACTCATCATTTAGCATTAGGTATATCTCCTAAAGCTATCCCTCCCCCCTTCCCCCACCCCACAACAGTCCCCAGAGTGTGATGTTCCCCTTCCTGTGTCCATGTGTTCTCATTGTTCAATTCCCACCTATGAGTGAGAATATGCAGTGTTTGGTTTTTTGTTCTTGCGATAGTTTACTGAGAATGATGATTTCCAATTTCATCCATGTCCCTACAAAGGACATGAACTCATCATTTTTTATGGCTGCATAGTACTCCATGGTGTATATGTGCCACATTTTCTTAATCCAGTCTATCAACGTTGGACATTTGGCTTGGTTACAAGTCTTTGCTATTGTGAATAGTGCCACAATAAACATACGTGTGCATGTGTCTTTATAGCAGCATGATTTATAGTCCTTTGGGTATATACCCAGTAATGGGATGGTTGGGTCAAATGGTATTTCTAGTTCTAGATCTCTGAGGAATTGCCACACTGACTTCCACAATGGTTGAACTAGTTTACAGTCCCACCAACAGTGTAAAAGTGTTCCTATTTCTCCACATCCTCTCCAGCACCTGTTGTTTCCTGACTTTTTAATGATTGCCATTCTAACTGGTATAAGATGGTATCTCATTGTGGTTTTGATTTGCATTTCTCTGATGGCCAGTGATGGTGAGCATTTTTTCATGTGTTTTTTGGCTGCATAAATGTCTTCTTTTGAGAAGTGTCTGTTCATGTCCTTTGCCCACTTTTTGATGGGGTTGTTTGTTTTTTTCTTGTAAATTTGTTGGAGTTCATTGTAGATTCTGGATATTAGCCCTTTGTCAGATGAGTAGGTTGCAAAAATTTTCTCCCATTTTGTAGGTTGCCTGTTCACTCTGACGGTAGTTTCTTTTGCTGTGCAGAAGCTCTTTAGTTTAATTAGATCCATTTGTCAATTTTGGCTTTTGTTGCCATTGCTTTTGGTGTTTTAGACATGAAGTCCTTGCCCATGCCTATGTCCTGAATGGTAATGCCTAGGTTTTCTTCTAGGGTTTTTATGGTTTTAGGTCTAACGTTTAAGTCTTTAATCCATCTTGAATTAATTTTTGTTTAAGGTGTAAGGAAGGGATCCAGTTTCAGCTTTCTACATATGGCTAGCCAATTTCCCCAGCACCATTTATTAAATAGGGAATCCTTTCCCCATTGCTTGTTTTTCTCAGGTTTGTCAAAGATCAGATAGTTGTAGATATGTGGCGTTATTTCTGAGGGCTCTGTTCTGTTCCATTGATCTATATCTCTGTTTTGGTACCAGTATTATGCTGTTTTGGTACCAGTATTATGCTGTTTTGGTTACTGTAGCCTTGTAGTATAGTTTGAAGTCAGGTAGCATGATGCCTTCAGCTTTATTCTTTTGGCTTAGGATTGACTTGGCGATGCGGGCTCTCTTTTGGTTCCATATGAACTTGAAAGTAGTTTTTTCCAATTCTGTGAAGAAAGTCATTGGTAGCTTGATGGGGATGGCATTGAATCTGTAAATTACCTTGGGCAGTATGGCCATTTTCACGATATTGATTCTTCCTACCCATGAGCATGGAATGTTCTTCCATTTGTTTGTATCCTCTTTTATTTCATTGAGCAGTGGTTTGTAGTTCTCCTTGAAGAGGTCCTTCACGTCCCTTGTAAGTTGGATTCCTAGGTATTTTATTCTCTTTGAAGCAATCATGAATGGGAGTTCACTCATGATTTGGCTCTCTGTTTGTCTGTTATTGGTGTATAAGAATGCTTGTGATTTTTGTACATTGATTTTGTATCCTGAGACTTTGCTGAAGTTGCTTATCAGCTTAAGGAGATTTTGGGCTGAGACAATGGGGTTTTCTAGATATACTATCATGTCATCTGCAAAGAGGGACAATTTGACTTCCTCTTTTCCTAATTGAATACCCTTTATTTCCTTCTCCTGCCTAATTGCCCTGGCCAGAACTTCCAACACTATGTTGAATAGGAGTGGTGAGAGAGGGCATCCCTGTCTTGTGCCAGTTTTCAAAGGGAATGCTTTCAGTTTTTGCCCATTCAGTATGATATTGGCTGTGGGTTTGTCATAGATAGCTCTTATTACTTTGAGATACATCCCATCAATACCTAATTTATTGAGAGTTTTTAGCATGAAGGGTTGTTGAATTTTGTCAAAGGCCTTTTCTGCTTCTATTGAGATAATCATGTGGTTTTAGTCTTTGGTTCTGTTTATATGCTGGATTACATTTATTGATTTGCATATATTGAACCAGCCTTACATCCCAGGGATGAAGCCCACTTGATCATGGTGGATAAGCTTTTTGATGTGCTGCTGGATTCGGTTTGTCAGTATTTTATTGAGGATTTTTGCATCAATGTTCATCAAGGATATTGGTCTAAAATTCTCTTTTTTGGTTGTGTCTCTGCCAGGCTTTGGTATCAGGATGATGCTGGCCTCATAAAATGAGTTTGGGAGGATTCCCTCTTTTTCTATTGATTGGAATAATTTCAGAAGGAATGGTACCAGTTCCTCCTTGTACCTCTGGTAGAATTCAGCTGTGAATCCATCTGGTCCTGGACTTTTTTTGGTTGGTAAGCTATTGATTATTGCCTCAATTTCAGAGCCTGTTATTGGTCTATACAGAGATTCAACTTCTTCCTGTTTTAGTCTTGGGAGGGTGTATGTGTCGAGGAATTTATCCATTTCTTCTAGATTTTCTAGTTCATTTGAGTAGAGGTGTTTGTAGTATTCTCTGATGGCAGTTTGTATTTCTATGGGATCGGTGGTGATATCTCCTTTATCATTTTTTATTGCGTCTATTTGATTCTTCTCTCTTTTCTTCTTTATTAGTCTTGCTAGCGGTCTATCAATTTTGTTGATCCTTTCAAAAAACCAGCTCCTGGAAGAATGCTCATTTTTATAAGATAATCCAAATTATTTTCCAAAGTGGTTGTTCTAATTTAAACTCTCACCTCCTGTATTAATTCGAGATGATCTTGTTGATCCACAGTCTCTCCATATTTGTTGATATGGTTTGGCTGTATCCCCAACCAAACCTCAGCTTGAATTCTATCTCCCAGAATTCCCACATGTTGTGGGAGGGACCCAGGGTGAGGTCACTGAATCATGGGGGCCAGTCTTTCCTGTGCTATTCTCATGATAGTGAATAAGTCTCATGAGATCTGATGGGTTTATCAGGGGTTTCTGCTTTGGCTTCCTCCTCATTTTCTCTTGCTGCTGCCATATAAGAAGTGCCTTTTGCCTCCTGCCGTGACTCTGAAGCCTCCCACACCATGTGGAACCGTAAATCCAATTAAACCCCTTTTTCTTCTCAGACTTGAATTTGTCTTTATCAGCAGTGTGAAAATGGACTAATACAGTAATATGGTACCAGTGAAGTGGGGTGCTGCTGAAAAGATACCCAAAAATGTGGAAGCGACTTTGAAACTTGGTAACAGGCAGAGGTTGGAACAGTTTGGAGGACTCAGAAGAAGACTGGAAAATGTGGGAAAATTTGGAACCTCATAGAGACTTGTTGAATGGCATTGACAAAATGCTGATAGTGTTATGAACAATAAGGTCCAGGCTAAGGTGGTCTCAGACGGAGATGAGGAACTTGTTGGGAACAGGAGCAAAGGTGACTCTCATTATGTTTTAGCAAAAAGAGTGGCAGCATTTTGCCCCTGCCCTAGAGATCTGTGGAACACTGAACTTGAGAGAGATGATTCAGGGTATCTGGTGGAAGAAATTTCTAAGCAGTAAAGTATTCAAGAGGAGACTCAGATGATGTTAAAGACATTCAGTTTTATAAAGGAAGCAGAGCATACAAGTTTGGAAAATTTGCAGCCTGACAATGTGATAGAAAAGAAAATGCCATTTTCTGAGGATAAATTCAAGCTGCCTGAAGAAATTCACATAAGTAGTGAGAAGCTGAATGTTAATCCCCAAGACAATGGGGAAAGTGTCTACAGGGCATGTCAGAGATCATCACAGCAGCCCCTCCCATCACAGGCCCAGAGGCCTACAAGGAAAAAATGGTTTTGTGGGCCGGGCCCAGGATCACTGTGCTGTGTGTAGCCTAGGGCCTTGGTGCTCTGTGTTTCAGCCACTCCAGCCATGGCTGAAAGGGGCCAACATAGAACTCAGGCCATGGCTTTGAGAGTGCAAGCACCAAGCCTTGGCAGCTTCCACCTGGTGTTGAGCCTGCAACTGCACAGAAGTCAAGAATTGAGATTTGGAAACCTCCACCTAGATTTCAGAGGATGTATGAAAACGCCTGGATGTCCAAGCAGAAGTTTGCTACAGGGGTGGGGCTCTCATGGAGAACCTCTGCTAGGGCCATGTGGAAGGGAAATGTGGAAGGATCAGAGCCCCTACACAGAGTCCCTACTGGAGCACTTCCTAGTGGAGCTGTGAGAAGAGGGACACTGTCCTCCAGACCCCAGATACCTTGCACCATGAGCCTGGAAAAGCTTCAGACACTCAACATCAGCCCATGAAAACAGCCAGGAGGTGGGCTATACCCTGCAAAGCTACAGGGGCAGAACTACACAAGGCCATGGGAGTCCACCTCTTGCATCAGCATGACCTTGATGTGAAACATGGAGTCAAAGGAGATCATTTTGGGGCTTTAAAATTTGACTACCTGGCTGGATTTAGGACTTGCATGGGGCCTGTAACCCCTTTGTTTTGGCCAATTTCTCCCATTTGGAACAGCTGTATTTACTCAATTACCTGTACCCCCATTGTATCTAGGAAGTAACTAGCTTGCTTTGGATTTTACAGGCTCATAGGCAGAAGAGACTTGCCTTTTATCAGATGAGACTTTGGACAGCAGACATTTGGGTTAATGCTGAAATGAGTTAAGACTTTGGGGGACTGTTGGGAAGGCATGATAGGTTTTGAAATGTGAGGACATGAGATTTGGAGGGGCCAGGAGCAGATTAATATGGTTTGGCTATGTACCTACCCACATCTCAGCTTCAATTGTATCTCTCAGAATTCCCATGTGTTAAGGGAGGGACCCAGGGGGAGGTAGTTGAATCCCTTGGGCTGGTCTTTCCCATGCTATTCTTGTTATAGTGAATAAGTCTCACAGGATCTGATGGGTTTATCAGGGGTTTCGTCTTTTGCTTCCTTCTCATATTCTCTTGCCACTGCCATGTAAGAAGTGCCTTTCATCCACTGCTATGACTCTGAGGCCTCCTTGGCCATGTGGAACCATAAAT